>NC_000002.12:48069140-48372170 GCF_000001405.40 Homo sapiens
AAGGTTGAGGGAGGGGAGAAGTCCAGGATGCCCCTTCTGAAGTAGCTTCTTAGCACCTGACACATCCAAGCCCCTTCTAAAGTAACTAATCAGCATCTAACACATCTAAAGCCAACTTTCAGTCATTTATTGATATTTGGAGCCAGCCAGCCTTTGATATAGTACAGTATAATTTTTAGAAACCAGAAAAGACTCCTGGTTTTTTGTTTGTTTGTTTGTTTGCTTTTGTTTTTGTTTTTGAGTTGGAGTCTCACTCTGTCACCCAGGCTGGAGTGCAGTGGCGCAATCTTGGCTTGCTGCAACCTCCACTTCCTGGATTCAAGCGGTTCTCCTGCCTCAGCCTCCTGAGTAGCTGGGACCACAGGCGTGCACCAGCATGCCCAGCTAATTTTTGTATTTTTAGTAGAGACGAGGCTTCACCATGTTGGCCAGGCTGGTCTTGAACTCCTGACCTCAGGTAATCCACCCACCTTGGCCTCCCAAAGTGCTGGGATTACAGGCATGAACCACTGTGCCCAGTCTTTCCCCTGTTAGTAAAAAGAAAAAAAAAATTAACCCTCAAAACAAAAAAACAAATTCTACCTGTTTAATATTGCCTAAAAATTCCTTCCAGGGAAGACCTAAGAAACCATTTTATTCCATAATAAAAGGTTTTAAATAAAAATACCTGGGGCAGTTACTACTGTAATGTGAAAGAGACAGTTAGGTATAATGATGTGATCAGATCCTGTGTGTGTGTGTGTGTGTGTGTGTGTGTTTTAAGGCTCAGGAAGGCATCCAGAATGAGGAAGGAGCAGGGAACAGAGGGGAGGGGAGGCCAGGGTGTGGCCACTGAGGGGAAACAGGAGGGGTTGGAGATACCCAAGGCAAATTTCACTGACCTCCCAGTTTTACAATTTTGCTTCAGGCAGTATTGGTTTCTCTTTACATCTGTCCAGAAAAAAATACAACTTTTGTGCAAATGTACATTATGTCCATCTGGGGTGGCTGGTGGCAACCCTTACCTCAGTAGAAACTATGCACCTCTCCCACGTGTGCCACAGGAATGTATTCCTCTCTGATGGGTGTAGGTGACCTAACGTCTAGAGTCTAAATACAGCGGATTCCCAACCCTGTCCCCGTTAGGGTATGGGTGGTTTGGGTAGACCAGGGAGTTAATGCACTGAACTAGTGTGGGAATCACTAAAGCTGGGCCTTTTATATGGTGCACCTGGGTAAATGGTCCTGGGAAACTGACCTCCCATTCACCTTCCCAGTAGGCACTCAGGAATATGCAGGGGTTGTTACTAGTTACTTATACCTAATGAGCAGGCAGGTCTCAAGCTAGAGTCTCCAGAAAAGAATGAAGGGCTAAGAAGGTGATGTTCCTTTCTCCCATTCCATGAGAAAAGTAAAGGGAGCTTCTGATGACTGGCAGCCTCCACAGCCCAGTGTGGTTGCATCATAGCAAGGGCAGCAGTGCTGCTCTTGGACACTGAGGGCTGCTGAGTCTCCATCTGTGTGTAATCGGCTGTGTCAGGGCCTCTGAGGCTATTTCTGTCAATCACTGTAATCTGCACAATCAGGCTTTTATTGTATGAAACTGTTCCTTTTCTGGGTGCCATCTATGCCCTTGCGGTACATTAAACCCGTGAAGTTATCTGCTATAATGGGTTTTGAATGATTAACTGAAGGTGGCCTTTTAATTCACTGAATTTGCACTTACTAAGCACTCACTATGTGCACTCCTATTGGAGGCCAGAGAGGTGGAACAGTCGTTGTCCTCAGGGGCTCATCACAATGACGACTCCTCTCCCAAGGCCATAGTTATCTCCCCTTATTCCTCTCTCCCAATTCCCTCCCTACTCCGCAGCTCCTGGCCTGGAGGCAGAACTGCTGAAGAAGCTCCAAGGGGTCTCAGGCTCACCCTGGCTGGTCTGCTTTCTGTCTGAGCCTTCTTCTGGTAACCAGAGGCTGTCGCCATCTTCTCTGTGTCTTATTATGACCTTCCTTGGATGTTAGCAAGTATCTGCAGGACCAGCCTCTGAGTCTTCCTTGTCAGAAGCAATGCCATCATCTCCCCATACCATTCTGGTATGAACTCCACTTCCCACACCCTACACATATTATATCCTCTGGTCCAATGTCACCCTGCCGCATCATCCTTCCTTTGCCTGCAGACTGAACTTCCAACATCTATAGCTAGGTCTAGACTTCTAGTATATGTGCCTGCCCTCTTTCCCCTAATTCTAGTGAACAGACCTAATTCCAGAATTTTCTGCCCTAATAATCAGTCCTATTCTACTTCAATTAATCATAGATGGGCAGCTGTTTCTCGAGTTATGACACAAGAAAGGAAGTAAGAAAAAAGAAATACAAGACAACATGCATACAACTGTGCAATGGTGTGGTACAGGGGACACACTTACAAAGACAACTGAACAAATTCAAAATAAGAATACAATGGGCATTCTGCTAGACCAGACCTGTGCAGTTGAGTAGAAGAGTTAATGAAGGCATATTGTTTCTCATGATGCAGCAGTAAGGTTAGAAAAAAGGGAGAAAGAACAGCAAAAAGCTGATACTCAAGCCAAAGAACAAAAACAAAGTGGCTGGCAAGCTGTACACTAAATTTCAACAAGTAAAAGAAATAGTTTCACCCATTGGTTGGAGGAATTTTGGTCCTATGGACACTTAAAACACAAGGTTAAAGTAAAATTTATTAGCCTTTCTCCAAGTTTCCTTACTTGATTGACTACACTACCCAGTCAGTCAGACCAGAGATCTTGGTATGAAAGCAAAAATGAAGACTAAGAGTCCAAACATTGAGCATGAAATAGAAGGCATTATTGTCAAGCAGAGTGGCTAATCTGGCAGAAAATCTAAGCTCTAGGGAATGAAGTTCCAACAGGTCACAGACCATCCTGTATCATGAATGCACTCTGAGAGTTATGGATCAGTCAGCAGCCGCTGAGCTTATCAAGTGGGGCTGGGCAGAGGCGGATTCTGCCATGTGCATGAAATACCCCCTTTGGGATAATGGCCCTGGCTGCTTCTGTTATGTGCATGAGATGCCAAGGGGGGACCATGACCAGCAGGAGCCTGCACTGCTGTCAGCTGTCTAGGCATCTGTTCAGGATGTGTCACTGGGAATCAACATATTTCCTCCCTCTTCCAGAAACCCTACATCCAACTGATTGCCAAGTCATTTGCTCACCTGTGTCTTTTCATTTCTCATATTTGACTTTTCCTGTCCATCCACTTTTACATAGTTTAGTCCTAATCTCTTTAAATTTAATCTCATGCACCTCCTCTTTTAACTCTTAGCCCCCTACCTACTTTTACTCCAGGTGCCTCTGGTAGCTCATTGTCTATACATTATCCCATCATAGTGCTTGATGTGCTTGTGGCTTGATAATGCTCGTGGTTGTCATTTGTTTATTAGTCTGTCCTCCTCTCTTGGACTGCGAGAGCATGAAGGGTAGTTCTCGTATCTTATTTTTTATATGTCTTTAATAGTATATCAAGATTATACTATTATAATCCTGACCTGCAGCAGGTACTTTAATAAACGAAAGTGAAAAAATGAAGACCTATTAATATTTTTTCAAAAGTTACGTCATCTTCATGTCATCCATACATGTGAATAAATGGAGTGTATGTTTTAAACTGAGATCACCTCAAAGCAGTGATCTCAAGTATATGACTCAGCTCGTCAATAATCCTGGATGGCAGTGGTGGGAAGATTTTGCTATAGTGTGAATAAAGATTTTTGTCCCCTCTTTAGCCCTATTTCAGCCTGTCCTTTTTATCAAATAATTGGGCATTCAGTTCTTATAACTCATGAGTTTCTGTATATTCATCTTCTGGGAAAATTCAGAGAACATATTTGCAAATGGAAAATAATTTGCCTGTATTTTTTCTCCTTTTTTTGCACATGAATAAACTAACTGTTCTGAACAACTCAGTATCTCTTGCTTTGCTGACTTCCTTGCCCAATATATTTGTCTTCAGCAATTTCACTGCGGTTATTATTATTTTTTTTTTTGCACAAAGAAATACGTTTCTTCACATTTAAGGGGCACAAACTGTTGATCCCACTTTCAAAAGAGATGTGGTGTTTCTTGATTTTGGAAGATACTTTCAGCTGCCAAGCTCTGTCAGACCCTGCCTTGGCTTAACAAGGAATGTTTCTGTTTTTCTTAGGCACAGAAAAAAATAAAGCCCCCAAATTATTTAAGTATCTTTCAGTTTAATTTAGGGGCCCAAGAGAAGCAGTTATGTGAAAATCTAGAGGAAAGAGCTTGGTTTGAGGACTTGGACTCAACTACCAAATGCTGAGCATGGCTTTGTGTAGATTAGTGAAGCCTCTGGGCCTCTGCTTTTTTGACAGAGGAGGTTTAACAATGTGGTCTTTGGAGTCTGTTCTAGCTCTCAAGTTCTATGACTGCACGTATTCTTCTCTGCTGTTGCTACCTAATTCTGTTTGTGCATGCCCTCTCTAAGAGCAAGACACTTTGTTTTATTATACTGAAGTGGCCGTGGACAATGGGAATGTATTGTTAGACAGTTTTTGACTTTTTGTTGAGGCCATGGTGGATGACAAGTGGTTAATCCTGGGGCAGGAGATGAAGCAGGCTTGGGCTTGGGAGGGAGGGACTTTCTCTTCTCTCTGGAAACCTGATCTGCCTGCTCATGGAAAAGGTCTGGTTTGGGGTATAGCTTGTGGCTACTGTGAAACCTCTACTGCCTGGTCACCAAGTTTCCATGGCATACCAAGGCAGGAGAACATTTTCAGGTACACGGATGTTTCCCTAAAGATCTTTGGGTCTGAAGTGCCCAAAATTGACAAGGCATTGGGAGGGAAGGGTGTGCTCATCCTCCCTGAACTCTCAGAAACCACTGCCAAACTGGCAGTGAGACACACATTCAGTGGTGATTCCTACAATGCATAAGGCCGGCACTGGACTGCTGGCCGTGGGGGCAAGGTAGGCACAATAACCTCAAGTCTTTCTGCCATGTGCCTCTGCCACCATAGCGCTACTTTTGGCTAAAGAGTCTGATGGACTTCCTGTTTCAGCAGCTCTATAGTGAAGCTGTGCTGCAACAATGGTGGCAGAGGATAGTTTCTTTGGCAGACAGAATGGGCTTTCTTTGAAGTCATTTGGATAATCACCTGTGGGCTTCTAGAATGTATCACAGGCAGGACACTCCAGGACCAGAGAATGCCTTTGGAATGGAGGTATAGAATTGTATTAATTTGATTATGAAAAGAGATATCATCTTCTTTTCAGTCTCAAATGGGTGAAGTAGATGTTTCAATTATACCACATTTTTTAGTTTTTCCCACAGAAAACACTGATTCAATAAATGCCTGTGGACTGAATGAATGAATATAAAATAGAAAGTGATGTTAAATAGAAGCTGAGAATACAGGAATTCTATGGCTGTTAGCCATTTGTCTTGATTCCTTCTCTAAGGTGGGGTTGGTGTGGAACAATGGGCGGGGTTTCCAAAAGGTGGGCAAGGATTAGGACCTTTCTTCATTTGGAGGTTAATTTTATTTCTTCCTTTCTGAGTAGATGCTAACCAACCTGAGACCCCTCCATCTTTTTCTTTTTATTTTCTCCCTTTCCCATACTCCATCCTTTCTCTTTCTCCTCTGTACAATCTTATTGTTCCAAATTTTAAAACAATAATCAAGGGGAAAAAATTACAGTTGAAGGAGACTAATCAATTTCAATATTGAGTCTGGTACATTCCTTTGAATATCTCCCATAAACACACCTGGAGACCTGAAATGGTAAGCAGGCAACAAGTTCCAAGATATGCCAAACCTCAGTCTAATAAAGTGTTCAGGGTTCCAAGTCATTTCAAGTCTGTAGGGTTGCCTGGGTACTGTACAAAGGGAAGTTCAAGTGCAGATACTTTCTTCAGGGTTAGCTACTGCCACATAACAAATGACTACCAAATTTAGTGGCTTAAAACAATCATTTTGCTATATTTCATTATTTGGGGAGTCAGGAATTTGGCAGCTCTCAGATAGGTGATTCTTTTGTTCTACCTGGTGCTGCCTGGGATTGTTCAGTAGAATTCAGCTGCAACTGGTCTGATCTGGAGGGTCCAAGATGACTTTCTTCACATTCCTGGCACCTTCACGGTAATGGCTCTGGCTGCAAGGCTGGCTTGGCTGGTTTCTCTCTCCATGTAGTTTCATGCCTCTCCATGTGATCTTTCTAGCAGGACAGCCTGGCTTTCCATGTGGCTACTCAGGGCTCTAAAAGAACAAGGAGGAAGCTGCCTGTTCTCTTAAAGGCTAGTCTTAGAACTAGCAGAGCTTCCCTTCCACTGTATTCTAGTGGACCAGCTCAGAATCAAGGGGAGGGCAAATGAAGCCCACATCTCTATGGGAGGAATGTCAAAGCATTTGCAGCCATTTTTAACCCACTATAGAGGTTTATAGGTACACACAACTGGGATTGCCCTCTGCCAGGAATCAGGAGAGTGAGGGTCTATCATTTTCTGTGCCAAGGGATACCTGGCATGGAAACATCTTGGTCCACTGATCCAATATTTTGACTACCCTGATAGAGCAGAGCAGAGGTTTGTGTGCCATGAGATCATATACTAACATCTGCCAAAGGTTCTGGTTCTAATAGCTGAAGTTAAAAAGAATTTTAAAAGTGCAATCTCTAGTATTGGCTGTTGGATGGTTTCCCTTTGGATCCCTGAACTGTTTCCTCTTGTTGGCAGTGACACAGAGAACACTGGATCCTTAGCCTGAGTGTTCTTCGATGTCACCTCAACTCCATTTCATTTTATACTGCTAAATTCAGCCTAACTTTTTGATAAAACTAACACAAAAACTCCCAATTATAGAGCGGCTGGCACTGTATACATTTTCTCTAATTTTCCCTGTAACTGTGCAAGTTCCATATGCTAGCGCAATTTTCAGATGAGGGAACAGCAGCTCAGAAAGGTTAAGGAACCTAAGGTGGAGGTTACATAGAAAGCGATATATTTGCAAATTTGAACCAAGACCTTCTGGGCTCCAAAACCTGTTTCCACTACTCCATGTGATCTTTGGAAAATCACAGAACCTTAGAAAACATCTTTAGTGTACGGTCTGAGAAAGCACAGAGCCAGTGAGGCCAGCAGGAACATCCCAGCTCGGTTTTGCACTCCCCAGTGTTGTCCGCTCCCACTGAGGCTACGGCTGGCCTACAAACTTGTTTTGACATCAGCTGCATTCCTTTTGAGAAATTTTGATATGCACACAAAAAAGTGCAGAGTGATTTGTCCTTTCTCAAAAAAATCTTTTTTATAAAATATTGCTCTGCTAAATTCCTTACGACAGATAGCCTTCACATGATATTTAAGGAATGATTCAACATGCAAAGAAGTGTGAAAAAGAATCACCTTGATATTAATTCCCCTCATAATACCTGAGTTAGCCTGGATCCTCAGAAAAGCCTGTGTGATAGAAACTGAGGTGAGCCAGTAAGGCTGGGATCAGACCCTGAGAGAAGGTGACAGTGAACGGAGATTGGGTGGAGGTGTCCTAGACCACGGTGCAGTCTAGCGAAGATTTGACAAGGCTACCAGGAGTCTTTGAGCCAAAACTGTCTAGCCAAAACCATATCATCTAGGAATGGGCCTGCCCAAGAATTCCTGTCCTGCTCAGTCACTGGCCAAGAGTGGCCTCTGGAGTGAGAGTGGCCTCAGCGCCAGGGAAATGGTGGATTTCAGCAGATGTTGGCTTCTTGGACAACTGAGCTCCCTGTAGTAGCTCTCATGGCTGCCACACTGCCACTGTACTGGGCATACATAAAGTGCTGAATAAATGTCTATTCGTAAATGGTCTTCAAAGTAATCTACTACTCTGCATTTCCAACTTCTGTGACTTTGCTCAAATTTTTATCTGCTTTGCTTGCTCTGCTCTCCTGTACCAACATTCAGAAAGCAGTGCAGATCCCACCTCCAAGCAGTTTTCTCCGATCTCCACAGTCAGAATTAATCTTACAAATCCTTTTTCTAGGCATCTGCAGCACACGCTATACTTTTGTCATTGAATCCAGTACAGACTAATACATACGGGAATTACTCGTTGCATAGACGTGGTCCTGGGGACTTAGGGTAGTGGCTTATTCACTTTTTGTGCCCCACCAGTACCCCTATAGCATTCTGCACAGGGCTTTGCACATAGTAGGTGCTTAATAACCAGTTGTTGAATTTGTTGAGATTCTTGCAACAAGATGTACTCAAATAAATCTTTAGGGAAAGGGTAGTACGGTTCTGCCCAGAATCTCTTACAAGAACTTCCAACTCAGCATGTCCCAAGCTGAACCCCGTATCTTCTCCCCAAACCTACTTCACATCTGCTCTGCCAGTGCCCACCACCCATGCTCCAGTCCCTAAGCCAGAGAACCTCCGCGTCCCCCTGGACTGCTGCTCTGCATCACCTGAATCTTGCTGGTGCTGCTTTGGAAGGGCCCCCCTGATCTTCTCTCCTTCCCTGAAGCCATCATCCTCTTTCACCAGGACTATTGTACTGGCCTCCTTATGGCCTGCTCTGATATATGTCCCCCTCTTCCTCCAGGCCTCTGTATTGTCCCCAGAGTTATGGCTGAGATAGGGTGGGGTAAGTGAGGTGCCAAGGGCACACAATTTAAGGAGGCCCTACTTCCAGGATTGTGCAAGCGCTGAAAGTGAAGGCCTTACATTTTGTTTCTTAAGGCTGGCGCAGTGGCTCACGCCTGTAATCCCAGAACTTTGGGAGGCCTAGGTGGGCAGATCACCTAAGGTCAGGAGTTCAAGACCCGCCTGGCCAATATGGTAAAACCCCATCTCTACTAGAAATAAAAAAAATTAGCCAGGTATGGTGGCATATGCCCATAATCCCAGCTACTCAAGAGGCTGAGGCAGGAGAATCGCTTGAACCTGGAAGGCAGAGGTTGCAGTGAGCTGAGATCAGGCACTGCACTCCAGCCTGGACGACAGAGCGAGACTCGATCTCAAAAAAAAATGTGCTTCTTAAGTGCCTCTCTAATCACCTGGGTTCCCACGCTGCCCAGAGCCCAACTGCGATAATGACTTTCCTTTACTGGAACTCCTTCTAGCAATCTTTGTTTCAGTGGGTCCCAACCATGGCTGTGCATTAGCGGTACCTGCAGAGCTTGGTGAAAATACAGACTCCTAGGTCCCACCCAGATTGAATCAGATCGGAAGTGGATAGGGCTTAAGAATCTGCACAGTTGCACAGTCAGGTTTGGGAACTGCTGGCTCATAGGACCAAGTTCAGACTCCAGAATAACATTCCAGGTTCCTCTCAATCCAGCACCTGCTTGAGTTTCTGGCTTCATTTTCAGCTGGTTTCCTCCTGGCAGGCACCCCACAGGCAGATCACACCAGACCACTCATTGGACCTCACATATGCCTGGCATCTTTATGTCTCTGTGCCTTTTTTTTGTTTTTGAGACAGAGTTTTGATCTGTCACCAGGCTGGAGAGCAGTGGCACGATCTCGGCTCACTGCAACCTCTGCCTCCCATGTTCAAGCTATTATCCTGCCTCATCCTCCCAAGTAGCTGGGACTACAGGCGCCCGCCACCACAACCAGCTAATTTTTGTATTTTTAGTACAGATGGGGTTTCACCGTGTTGGCCAGGATGGTCTCGATCTCTTGACCTCGTGATCCACCCACCTCAACCTCCGAAAGTGCTGGGATTACAGGCATGAGCCACCACGCCCGGCCTGTCTCTGTGCCTTTTCTTGGGCTGCTCCCTCTGAAAGAATGCTCTTCTTCTCCCTGCTCCTTCCAAGAGGCAAGATTCCACTAAGGACCTACTTGAAATGCCATCTCATTTCCGAAACCCTTTTGAATCTTCATTTCTACCCTTCGATATAACTCTTTCCCCATCTAGACTCTGCTGTATTTTATTCATAACATCAGCAGCACTTCTCATGCTGTGTCACATTGGTTCTATGAGGGTCCTCCTCCCTGCTCAGCTCAGAAACTAATAGTCAGAAACTATTAGGTTGGTGCAAAAGTAATTGCACAATTAGTATCTATTCACATTGGATCTGCAGCACCTTGTGCGTTGCCTAGAAAACTGTGAGAATGGATTAACTGTGAATTGAATAGAAATAAGTGCTACCTAGTTAAATTTAACTTTTCACAGCACCTAACACAATGCCTTGAGCACAAAATCTTTAAAATTATTTGTTGAGTGAGTAAATGAACAAAGGAGTGAGTATGGGCCAGAGTTTGTCATCACCACTTAGCCAATTCCCGGGAACTTGTATGTGTTTGGGGTTACCTGGTAGAACTCAAATGTCAGTGTGCATAAATAAGAATCACCTGAGACATTATTAAACATGCAGACTCCCGGCCACCCTCCCAGAGATGCTGATTCAGTAGTTCTGGGTGGGGTCTAGAAATTTGCATTTTTAACAAGCATCTTGGGTAATTCTGAGACAGGTGGTCCACAGACAGAGTCTGAAAAGTACTTCAGGAGGCATTTGGTGTTCAGCAGGTGGTGTTTACTCTGTGGATGGATTCTTAGACCAGCTGCCTAGGAGTTCAACCCTTAAAGTCAAAGATATTGTGTAGTCCTATCAGGAGGAGCTGGTAAAAGTAGCAGGTCTAATGTGGCATCTGATGGGCCTTCAGATTCTGGGAAGGCCATTCCTGGGAAAGCCACAGTGTCCTGCAACAGCAGGAAGAATGAAAGAATGACAAGCCAGGCAAGCTTCACCTTGGATACAGAGTCTCTTGCTTCTAGCTCATTTCTGCTGCTAGGCTGCCCTGGTCTGACAAATGGCCTTGTTTGAAGCCCCAATTCCTGATACTCACTGGGCCTGGGTGACTCCTTGGCTTACTCCTATTCTTTAGGCTCAGCTTCTGGTGGTTCCCATGGGGCCACTGTTTTCATCACCATCATTCTTTGTCCAGCCTCACCTCCATTGGGGTGAATTGGTGTTGGTCGGGTGGAAGGAGTCCAGGTGGATGAGCCTGCAACCCTACATCCTGGTAGGAACTCTGCCACTAACTGCTCACCAGACTTGCCAAAGGCCACTTACACAAAGTAAACAGGCATTTACTAAATACTTGCGTTATTTGTCTGGGTTCTGCAGAGAAACAAAGCCAACTAGAAATAGATTTACTATAAAGATTGGCTCACAAGATATGCAGGCTGAGAAGTCTATGATCTGCAGTTATTAAGCTGGAGACCCTGGGGATCTGATGGTGTGGTTCCAGTCTGATTCTGAAGGCCTAAGAACTGGGTGAGTTGATGGTGTAAATTCAAGCCTGAGTCTCAGTATGAAGGCAAGAGAAGACTTATGTCCCAGCTTGAAGACAGTCAGGCAGAAAAAGAGAATTCTTTCTTACTCAGCTTTATTTTTTTTTTTAATTCAGAACTTCAGTGGATTGGATGAAACGGATCCAACCTGCTTTACTGAGTCTACCAATTAATTCAAACATTAATGCCATTCAGAGACCCTCCCAGACACACCCAGAGTAATGTTTAACCAAAGAGCTAGGCTCCCTGTGGCCCAGTGAAGTTGACACATAAAATGGAACTATCACAATCTGCTATGTGCACAGCACTGTCAGCGGAACCTCTGGGGCCCCAGATTCCTCAAGTGTGGTGTCTCTTGCAGTTCTAATTGTGCCAATTGAAGGCAAAGCCAACCAAATAAAACCTATTTCCTTTGAGGAGCAGGAACAGAAACATTCTCTCAGAATAAAAACAGGAACTAGAAGGTCAATATTGAGAGTGGAGAGTCTGTTTCCCTCTGAAAGATCGCTTGAGGGAGTTAACGATGGGTCTTCATCTTCCCTTCTGTCCTTAGTGTTCTTCTAGGTTCTATATGGTGATGGAAGAAGCAGCTGACTGGACTAGAGAGAGGAACTTCTGGGTGTTGGAGCCCAGGAGCAGAGCTGCATTCTGGGAAAACTTCAGCCACAGAAGCGGCATCTGGAAACTGAGGAGTCAGCACCCTTAGGGAGTGGAAAAGGGGTTGGGGAGGCTGGGGACAGAATACTTGTACACCTCTGCAGTTCAGCTACATGCCTCTAGGCCATCTAACTGAGCATGCTAACTTAGCACCCTCTTCTCAAGTCTAGACAGAAAGAAGGGAAGTGGGTACAAACACAGATAAGCTTCCAGTAAGGACAAGAGCCCGTGAACAACACCATGGGTCACTCCAGCTTGGTACATCGTAACCAAATCTCACTAGTCTCAGAGCCTGCACTTTCCACGCCAGCAGGCACGTCCCTCGACCCAGGGTTTTGATCCTTGCCTGCACTTCTTACTGAGATGTCAGCGGCTGCAGGTGCCCACTGCCGGAGCTTCCGTCTGACCCATAAGTGTCCTAGCAGGCCTCTCCCTAAAATGCTTTTGGTATTTTCCTCAAGGGCTACCACATTTGGAAGAATTTAGTCCACTGATTACATTTATTTTGTAGGTATTAAGTTGGTGCAAAAGTAATTCAGGTTAAAAGTAATAGCAAAAATTAAAAGTAATAGCAAAAACCTCAATTACTTTTGCACCAACCTAATATTTATTTACTACTTATCTAGTCATGGTAAATAAGTCAGTCACGCTTTTCTCCATTTTTATTACTCAAAGATGATCCAGCTCAGAGGCAGTCTGTCTTTCCCTCTTGGCTATCCCTGTAGTGTTCTTTGTGCCAAAATGACTTCTCAACTGCTCTTACTTTTTCTTTTCATACTAAATGTCAGAAAAGCTTTAGAATTACACTGAGCTATTATTTGATGTCATATCCAAAATAGCTATTTCTCTATTCTCTAATAAATGGGAATGAATGGATGATTTTCAAAGAAATTCTTATCAAAATAGACTCAGAGATCTTCCAAAAAACCAAGCCATGGAAAAAGTGGATAATGCTACCACAAGCTCCCAAGGCCCAGGTCATTTAACAAGTTGCTCATTTTAAACCTTTAAGGGAGAGAAGATTTTGTTGCTATTTAACTCATCCAAAGCTTAAAGGAAAAATTCTCCTACCTATTTTAGGAAGCCAACGTATCATTGGTACCAAAACCTCATAGAGATAACACTTATGTACCACACACTATGCAAAAGCATTGTTCCCCCACCAGACACACACACACAAACACTGCACGAATACAAACATCCACACAATTCATGCACACATCACACATACCACACTCTACCCAAATAAAAATGTGCCTCACATACATATACACACAACACATATACCACACCACACAGATTCACCTTATATCCACACCACCCACACCCCAACACACATGCACTGCACAGATACAAACATACTGCACACACATAGCCCATGCCACACACCTATACCCATCATACACACACACACATACACACATATCTCAGGGTAATCTTCCTTTTAAATACAATGTAAAAGCTCTAATAAAGATATTAGGAAATAGCCAGGCATGGTGGCTCATGCCTATAATCCCAGCACTTTGGGAGGCTGAGGCAGGCAGATCACTTGAGGTCAGGAGTTTGAGACCAGCCTGGCCAACATGGTGAAACCTTGTCTCTACTAAAATTACAAAAATTAGCCAGGCATGGTGGCACACGCCTGTAGTCCCAGCTACACCAGAGGCTGAGGCACAAGAATCACTTGAACCCGGGAGGTGGAGGTTGCAGTGAGCCGAGATCATACCACTGCAGTCCAGCCTGGGTGACAGAGCGAGCTATCTCAAAAAACAAAAAAAAAAAAAAAAGGAAACTAGCAAATAGAATTCAGTAGTCCATTTTAAAATACCAAAGTGGGACTCATATCAGCTGGATTCAATTTTAGGAAATCTATTACTATAATTAACCCTGTTAATAGTCAAAGGAGAAAAGTCATGATTACTTTCAAAGGTATAGAAAATAAATGTAACAAATTTCAGTGTTCATTCACGTAAAAAAAGTAATAAGAGCTAACATTTATTTTTCCCTTATTATGTATTGGGCACTATCTGATATGCTTTGTGTGCGTTTTCTTATTTAGTCCTCAACCATCACATAATGAGGGAGGTACTACCTTTCCCATTCAGTCTGTAGATAAGGACACTAAAGCCTAGCAAGGTTAACAGTCTTGCCTCAGGTCACATATTAGGTAGTGGGTTGCATACAGCTAGTAAGTGGCATGTTCTTATGTTCTTAATGACTGTGTCAAAATAGGAATATAGGAATACTTCCATAATACAATAGACAGATGTATCCTAAATCATAAACCAACATCACAGTTGACAGACAAACAATAGAAAGGTTTCTGCTTAAATCAGGAATAAGACAAGCATGTTCACTATTACTGCTATTAACTAACATTTTTTCTGGAAAAACTTTATAATTAGATAAGATAACCAATAAAAGATATAAATATTGTAAGAGAGGGAACAAAATTATAGTTACTGCAGATGATGTGACAATATACTTGAAATCCCAAGAGAAACAACTGCAAAGCCATTAGAAACAATGTAATTCAGGGAAGTAACCAGTTACCTATTTAATATTTTAAAAACTCATAATTTTCCTGCATACTGAAGAACAATCAGGTAGAAAATTAAACTGGAAGAAAAGATCTTATTCCTAGTAGTAATTTAAAAACACTTCAGGCCGGGCATGGTGGCTCACTCCTGTAATCCTAGCACTTTGGGAGGCCAAGGAAGGTGGATCACCTAAGGTCAGGAGTTTGAGACCAGCTGGGCCAACATAGCAAAACCCCAACTCTACCAAAAATACAAAAATTAGCCGGGCATGGTGGCACACACCTGTAGCCCCAGCTACTTGGAAGGCTGATGCAAGAGAATCACTTGAATCCAAGAAGCAGAGGTTAGAGTGAGCTGAGATCACGCCACTGCACTCCAGCCTGAGTGACAGAGGGAGTGTGTGTGTTTCAAAACACACACAGACACACACACACACACACTTAAGAATAAGTTAACAAAACTATATAACCTGTGCTATATGAAGAAAAAAGGCATAATATTGAGAGACATAAAAGATTTGAATTCATAGAGAGGTCTATTTTTTGAGTAGAAAAAATATATGAAGTGCCAATTCTCTCCTCATTATAAATTTAATGCCATTCTATCAAAATATTTGCAGAAATTTTGTAAAGAACTTGCCAAAATTTAGACTTAATCTAGAGGAATAAACTCCTGAGAACAGTCAGGAAAACTATGGAAAGTAAGGGAGGGAAAAAAACCACATGGGATATTAGGCTGTATTACAAAGTTACAGTAACTCTAACACTGGTTCCAGCTCAGCAGGAGACTGGCAGGACAATGAAACAGAATAGGGTGGCCTAGAACTGGACCTTCAAGCTTCTGGCAATTTACACAGAAAGCAGGATATGATACAAGTGTTATTTCCAACCTACGGGGAAAATGCATCAATAAACAGCCTGTGACAACCATGTGATCACCATTTGGAAAAATAAGAATACTGGATTGTCACCTGACCCTTATACTAAAATACATATCAATGGGATAAAAAAATTAAATGTATAAATGAAGCCATAATTGTATTAGAAGAAAACATTGGCATCTATTTCTATAATTTGGGGGTGGATAAGGTCTTTCTAAGAATGAAAATTCCTGGTTTCTGAAAAGAGAAAGGTAACCATATAAAATAATAAGCTTCCAGCCTGGCCAACATGAAAACCTCGTCTCTACTAAAAACAGGAAAATTAGTTGGGTATGGTGCTGCACGCCTATAATCCCAGCTACTCAGGAGGCTGAGGCACGAAAATCACTTGAATCCAGAGGTGGAAGTTGCAGTGAGCTGAGATCTCATCACTGCACTCCATCCTGGGCAACAGAGTGAGACCCTGTCTCAATAATAATAATAATAAGCTTCTATGTAGCAAGAACAGAAATAAAGGACAAATTGAGAGGAAAGTACAATATATATAATAAGCAAAGAGTTTATAGATTCCTCTAGTAAAGAAAAAGCCCTTATAAATCAATAAGAAAAAGATGAATAGTACAACAGAAAAATTGGGCAAAGGACATTAGAGGCAAATCACAAAAGAAATTAGTGAAGCAAGTGAAAAATTCTTAATGTTTTTTCCTTTTTTTTAGTTCTTTATAGTAGTCAGTACAGCAAGTGAAAATTTGCTCTATTTCACTAATAAAAAATACAAAATAAAGTAACAATCAGTTATAAATTTTGCCTATCAGATTAGAAAATAATAGAAAATTTATAATATCCAGTGTCCATGAGAAACTGGTACTCTCATAAACTGTTGATGAGAATATACATTGGCATAATGTTTTTGAAGAAAATGGCAGCATCTATTAAATGTTTAAAGCCTTTATCCTTTGAAAGATGTTATGAGTTAAACTGTGTCCCTTCCTTCCCCTACTTCACCTGCTCCCCACACAGAAAAGATATGTTGAAGTTCTAACTCTCAGTTCTCAGAATGGGACTTTATTTGGAAATAAGGTTATTGTGGATGTAATTAGTTCAGCTGATAGTGGAGTGGGGTTGGTCCCTAATCCAGTGTGACTGGTGACCTTATAAGAAGATGGCCATGTGGAAACAGAGACACACAGGAAGAGACACCATGTGATGTAGAAGGCAGGGACTAGAGTTACACAGCTGCAAACTGAGATTGCCAGCAAACCACCAGAGGCTAGGAAGAAGCACATAAGAATTTCCCCACAGGTTTCAGAGGGAGTATGGCCCTGCTGACACCTCTATTTTGGACTTCTAGCCTCCAGAACTGTGAGAGAATGCATTTCCATAGTTTTGAACTCCCCTGGTTGTGGTATTTATATAACAGCTCTAAGTGCAAGTTCAAAGGTCAAATTCCATATCTATATTAGTCTATTTTCATACTGCTATGAAGAAATACCCAAGGCTGGGTAATTTATAAAAAAAGAGAGATTTAATGGAGTCACAGTTCCACATGGTTGGGGAGGCCTCACAGTCATGATGGAAGGTGAAGGAGGAGCAAAGGCATGTCTTACATGGTTGCAGGCAAGAGAGCAGGTGGAGGGGAGCTCCCCTTCATAAAATCATCAGATCTTGTGAGACTTCTTCATTATCATGAGAACAGCATGGGAAAACCTGCCTCCGTGATTCAATTACCTCCCACAGGGTCCCTCCCATGACACTATTATGGGAGCTACAATTCAAGATGAGATTTGAGTGGGGACACAGCAAAATCATATCAACATCTAAGAATTTATTCTACCCAAATACTCACTCAATTATACATATTCAAAGATGTTCACTTCACTATTGATTTTAATGTTGAAAAATTAAATACTATCTAAATATTCATCAGCAGAGAACTGTTTCAATACTTATGGGATATCCTTGTGATGGTTAATACTGAGTGTCAACTTGATAGGATTGAAGGATACAAAGTATTGATCCTGGGTATATCTGTCAGGGTGATCCCAAAAGAGATAAGCATTTGAGTCTGTGGGCTGGGGAAGGCAGATCCACTCTTAATCTGGCAGGCACAATCTAATCAGCTGTCAGCAAATATAAAGCAGGCAGTAAAACGTGAAAAAGAGACTGGCCTAGCCTCCCAGCCTACATCTTTTTCCTGTACTGGATGCTTCCTGCCCTCAAACATCAGATTCCAAGTTCTTCAGTTTTGGGACTCAAACTGGTTTGCCTTGCTCCTCAGCTTGCAGACAGCCTATTGTGGGACCTTGTGATCTTATAAGTTAGTAAACTCCTTTTGATATATCTATATCTATATCATCTGTATCTATATCTATATCTATATCTATATCTATATCTATATCTATATCTATATCTATATCTATATCTCCTATTAGTTCTGTCCCTCTAGAGAAATGTGACTAATACAATCCTTAATAGAATACTAAGGTGTGGTTAAAAAAGCAATGAAATAACTAAAAATGGACTAATTCATGAGACATTCAAGATAAATTAGTAAGTTCAAAGATCAAGTTGTAAGGTACAGATAGATCTTAAATTTATGTTTTTAAAAATTCATAATAACATGCTAGTATGTGAACATAAAAAGCATTGATGTACTTTTCATAAGTAGTTATTTGGGGTTGGGGGATGGCGAGAAAATGAAGAACTTTTCTGTATTATATACATATATATTTATAAGATTTGACTATATTTTTAAAATTGGCATGCATTAGTTTTGTCATCAGAAAAGTAAAATCTTTCTTGTTTAATTTTGACATGGGGTCTTTCTGTGTCACCCAGATTAGAGTGTAGTGGTGAAATCATAGCTTACTGCAGCCTTGCACTCCTGGGCACAAGTGATCTTCCTACCTCAGCCTCTTGAGTAGCTGGGACTACAGGCGTGTGCTGCCAAGCCCAGCTAATTTTCTTATTTTTTGTAGGGATAGGGTCTTGCTTATTGCTAAGTCTGGTCTCAAATTCCTGGTCTCAGATGATCCCCCCTACCTTGGCCTCTCAAAGTGCTGGGATTATAGGCATGAGCCACCGCACCTAGCCTAAAATCATTTTTATTATACATTCTATGAAGGGAGATTAACATCTCATCTTGCCTTCTTAGCCCATTTTGTATTACCATAAAGAATACCACAGACTGGATAAACAATAGAAATTTATTTGGCTCACAGGTCTTGAGGCTGGGAAATCCAAGACTGAAGGATTATCTCTGGTAAGGACCTTCTTGCTGTGCCATCACATGGCAAGAGGCACCATGAGGCAAAGGGCATGCATGAGAGGCAAGAGATTGCAGACTCAAGCCCTTTTATAATTGGCATTAATGAATTTATGAGAGTGGAGTCCTTGTGACATAGACACTTCCCATAAGGCCCCACCTCCCAATACTGTTGTATTGGGGATTAAATTTCTAACACAAGCATTTTGGGGGACACATTCAAACCATAGCACCCTCCTTCTGAGTTTTTGAGTCAGTTTCCTTAGAACAGCCACAATAATTTCTTAACTTTCCAGAATTCATCCTTCTGACAATCTCTCTATCCAGAAAGTTGGCAAGAACAAGGAAATTCAGCAGGACACATAAAAGTCCTATTTGCTCCCTCAGAGATACTCCCTTAGAAACTATTTACCTCTACTTTACACTCAATGTGGAGACCTGTTATTCTCATTTTTATGAATATTTTAATATTCATACTTATATTCATAGTTCTTATGAATATAGCAGTTTAAAAGAGGGAAATGGAATTGCTAGTGGTAGGTACACTGACAACAGAAAATAATGTTTTCAGAAAAATTATAGATATAAAAAAACTAACATTGCAAACCAGCCTGGGCAACAGAGCAAGAGACCCTGTCTCTACAAAAAAAATTTGTTTTAATTAGCTGGGCAAGATGGTGCATGCCTGTAGTCCTTGTTACTTGTGGGGTGGAGGCAGGAGGATTGCTTGAGCCCAGAACTCGGAGGCTGCAGGGAGCTGTGATTGTGCCACTGCACTCTAGCCTGGAGACCTTGTCTTTAAAAAACAAACAAAACAAACAAACAAAAAACCATTACAAGGACTTACATGTATGTAAGTCTGGATCATTTAATAGAATAAACATCTTACATGTCTCAACAACCTCTGAGGTGATTTTTCTATGTAATAAACTATCATTTTTTATAACTTGGTGAAGACAATTTTAAATTGTGTCTATTGTTTAAGAGCTCAGGGAAGAGTATGATATGTTTAATTTAGATTTCCATTTGAAATGGTTAAAATTAAAAGTCTGGAGCTTAAAGGAAAAGCGCTCAGTTATCTGAGAAATTTTACTGCCCGGAAAGACTCATTATCCAAAAATTCCGGATAACCAGGATTTTTCTTCTCTCTTCTTTTCTTCCTAGAGCATTTAATCAAGGCCACCCATAGTCTAGAGATTTTAGAAATTCCCAGTTGAGTAATTTACTCACTAGCAAAGTGAACCGGGAGGAGAATGAGTCTGGGAGCATGGGGTGCTAGGTGCGGCTCCATTTGCAGCCCCTCTTCTGAGATAGGATAAACAGTGAGGGGGCAGCAGGGGTGGGGGCTTCACACTGGCATTTCTCTACCCTCTTTCAAACTTCCTTCCCTTAGCTAAGCTCAAAAATGGTTGATTAGGCTGTAAAATAAATAATGCTTATTAAGCCTAATTACATGTAGCAAAAAAAAAAAAAAACAATTATGCAAGTCATTAAAAGAGTCAGATCAACTTTGCTGTAAGTATTTCTTTAGAAATGGCTCTGCAGTTTAAGTTTTCTCAGCTTTCAGAACTCATTGTTTGCTAGCAAGCTAGGCTGCTTTAACCACCTCCCATTAGGGAGGAGAGGAAGGGAGAGAAGGGAAGAGAAAAAGAGATACATAACACTTACACACATACTTAAACACACACACACACACACACACACACACATACACACACACACACAGAGACAGACAGAGAGACAGAGAGAATTGTCCATGAGAACATTTTAAAAATCAGGATAGATCTACACAAAGTAGGGCTATGGCAGCATGGTTGCAATCACTCTACTTAGGAGAAAATGTATGTGCTACATTCACCAATTTCCCCTTGTTCTATAACTAGAGCTAAGATTTAAGTTAAGCTGAGATTTAATGTGCAATTCACTTTTTGTTTTCTTTCTCTCTCCTCTTTTAAAAAAGCTGGTAACCAACATTAAAGACATTGTGGTTGGTATCTTTATAACTAAAATATAGCTTCATTTCTGCTCATGGAAATATGTAGTCAATTAGCCATAATGTGGTCCAGACTCCCTTTGATATTCTAAAATAAAAACATTCCAAGTTATTTACTTGAGAACAGTTGTTTCTAAGCACGGCCAGTAGCTGCTGTTTTTAATAATACTGCTTTTAATGGGTGTGGGGCATTCTGACTGAAAGGAGGTAGGGAATGTGTAGCTCAAAGTTCTGAACTATAATCACTGGATTTTTGGAATAATAACCATGAGGGGTTATATTTAGATTCAACTATTATTGAAGTTCATTCACAGACATTTAACAATTCTTGTACTCCTTTCTCTTTTCAGGCAAGTTGAACGGGGAGTGAGGAGTAACCAGGGAAAAGAAGCAGATGAGGACACCATTTACAAGGATGCCTTGCCCTGGGAATCCTCCCCACAGGAGTAAGAAGGGAGCTACACTTTACATAGCATGTCTGAAGAGTAGTTCCCAAATACTTGTTCTTGGACATGGCAGAGCTGGATGCCCAAGAATCTCCTGGGAAACATTAATTACAAAAACCAAGCAAAACAGAACCCCTGGCTCCACGTTGATTTGGAGGGGGTAAGATGGGATGCACCAAGGGTGGGGGTGGTAACCACCGATATGGAAAGCATTGTTTTGCATTGGTAGTTAGATCATTTGGGCTTTCTGGCAATTCCCTGCTGTGTGACCTCAAGCAAATCAATCAATTCCTCTGAGCTTCATGTTGATTATTTAGAAAGTGATGATGCTATCAATAAGTCCCACATTAAAGAGTTATCCTGAGAATCAAATGAGATTAGGTATGCAAAAGCACTTATCAATCTGTCAGTTGCTCTCCAATTTTGGCTAAGCTTAGATATTTAAATCCTAGTAATATTTGTGCTAAGTGGTGTGGGAGATTAAAAAAAGAATCGGAATCTAGTTTGGGAGAAGTTTTCAACCTAGCTGGAGAGAAAAGGTATAAATGAAATGGTATGCATACTAAGCCACTAAAAAGCATTTTCAGTGTGCACCATGGGCTCTGCACTAGGGTAGATTATGTGGGTGATTGAGAAGTATAGTATACAACATGGATACTCTTCTGAAAGGGCTCCCAGTTTTGGTGGAGAAAAGAGACTCCTCTATAACAGCAAATAACAAAAAGATAATATATATAATCAAAGTAACTGCTAAATGTTATGGTACAGTCTCTAAAAGGTTACTAAGGGAAGTTCTGAAGAAAGAACAATAGGAATTGCTGTAGTCCAGGAAAGGAGAGAACTTTAGCTGGGTCTAGAAGTTAAAACAGCAGAAGGAACAGAAAGAGGCTCATTTGTCAGGGGAACAGCAAAAGCCAAGCATAGAGGCAGGAATGATCAGGGTGTATGCAGTACCACAAAGGAGATCAAACTGGCTAGAATGGTGGGACAGATTACAGAGGGCCTTAAAAGCTCAGCTGAGAAGTTTGTACTTGATACATCAATGCATATTTTGTATGTTTGTTGCTAGAATTCCAGACAGTAGACTGTTTATACACTTACCCTTGAAACTCTAGAATTGTGTTGCCCAATATGACAGCAACTAGTCACTGTGGCTATGAAGCACTTGAAATGTGGCTAGTCTGAACTGAGATGTGCTGTAAGTATAAAACACATACTAGATTTCAAAGATTTAGTGCAAAAAAAATAAAATATTTACATTATTTGTTGAAATGATACTATTTTGATATATTGAGCTAAATTTTAGATATTATTAAAATTAATTTATCTGTTTCTTTTCCTTTTTAAAATAAGGCTACTAAAAACTTAAAGTTACATAAGGGGCTTGCATTACATTTCTTTCAACAGTACTGTTCTAGAATGTCAAGATGGGTATTAAAGAATTTTATTTGCACAAGGAGCCTGGGAGAAAGAAACAGATAGACATTTAGGTAGATAGCTATGAAGATGCCTAGGAGGCCAGAATTAACAGTATTGTATATTGTATCCCCCTCACCACACACAGACACACACCTGGGATATACATTGAAGTCAAGGCAGTGGAACCTGGTCCTGGGCCAATGAGTAAAGAATGATATAAAGCATTATTTTTGTGTGCAATACTGAGGGATATCCTTCCACGAGAAGAGCCACTAAGAAACTGAGAGAGCAAGTAATGTACAAGAACTGTAATAGGATTCATGTTTAAGCATCAGAGCAATAAAAGTCATAAATCTGAATGAGAGAAAGAGACCTGTCCCACTTCAGAAGAATATCACTAGTGGCTTCATGGGCCGCATGCTTTACCACTGGGTAGGGCCAGAGGAGCAGAATAGCCATGGCCAGAAGAAAAAGGGGGTAGAAATGGCTCCAGCTACTAGGCAGCTGAGTGGAGACCAGCAGTTCTGACAAAAGAAGAGCAACCTTCTCCAAGGAGAACAACGTGCCCACAAGAGACTTAGCCAGGAGGTTTCCTGGCTAAGAGGAAAAAGTGTTTGGGCTTAGAGTCAAAAGTGATTTCTATTGTTACCCACACATTTTGAGAGAAGTATATATTTCCTTATATCAGAGGGAAAGTTTTGTTTTCTGTAATATGACTAGGCTCTAAAGAGAATATATTACATTAATGTAGAGGTTTTTTTCCCCCTGAGCACTGTGATGAACATGTTTAAGTAAATTTGGGTAGAATCTACACCCTACTCCCTTCCCAGCTTCCTTTCAACCACCCCACATCCTCATCCAGGCTCTGGATGTTAGTTGGCACTAAGGTTTCAGAGAGAGAGAAAAATTATTATGTTTAATCAAGTGAGAAAAATTTGGAGGGGACCGTGTGTAGAGAGGAAGGACAGCAGAGGGAAGGAAGGGCTGGGAAGACGGGAGAAGGCTTCTTATTCTGTGATGTGATCCTTTTCTTGTAACTTCACCAAAGCTAAAGTTAATTCTACTAAACTCACCCAAATTTGGCATGAGTGGATTGCTTGGTAAAACCAGCGAAGAGACTGAGTGTTGCCTCTGGGGTAATCTGGGGAGAAATATACAGCATATCCAAAGACCAAGCCTGACCTCAAAATATAAATCACTTGTGTTCCATCTCATATTAGGGAGACAGAGAAATATTTTTAAAAGAAGGAATTAAAAATATAGAATTGGAGTTTAGAGATATAAAAATTGTAGTCAGAAATAGCATGTGGGGGAACTGGCCCTATTGACCCTGCCCCGTGTTCTGGTCAACAGGGTTTAAAGGGAGTCTCTGACTCTACAGGCTGTGCTGTTTTAAAGAACTGCTTGTCTCTCCAGGAAGGAGTGCTGAGCTTTTCCAAAGCTCTTTATCTCATCCTCTTAGAAAATTGTCTTTCAGTTTTAGTAGAGCCTTAGTTGCCTCCAAGGCCAAAATGTTGAAAGACTGAGAAGTAAAAGATGCTGGGTCTCCAGACTTAAGCATTAGAGCTGCTTCAGATCCAAAAGTTGGGGGAAGAGGAGGAGGCTGGAATGGTCATGGGAGGGAGCCAGGGAAACAGGGAGGGGTGGGATCATGACACTTGCTTTCCTGTTCTCCTACTCATCTGTTAGTATTAGAATGAGTAGGCTTCTGGAATTCAGCTGAGCATTGAGGTTTTTTTTCCTGTTTCTTTTTGGGCTCCATGTGTTAAATGAGGCTTCCCACATAGAGCTCCTCAGACTTTGAGCCTGCTCCCCAGCTGGCAGTGTGTGTTTCTGCCTGGCATTGGGGAAGGAGTGAGCAGGAAGAGGCACCTCAGTAAAGGGGAGAGATTCTCAAGAGAGGATCTGATGTGTCTTCAATGAAGCTTTCTCTGTCTGAGTTGACCAGCAAAGCTGTATTTACTCCAGCAAGAATCACCTTAGCAACCAGCATAGCCAACGGAATCTATGGATATGTATATAAATATGAATTCTGTATGTACATGTGTGCATATACAGATAATGCTGTGTGTACCTTTTTTCATGTGCTTGGCCATATTCATTTTCACACTAAAGAAGAACCCATCAGTCCGACATAATGAGATTTTCTCAGGCGATTTGCTTATATTGTAACCATGCTGTCAATCCTTTGATGGTACTTTGGGTAACATTGAAAATATGCTGAATACTGTATTTCACAATATGGTACTGTAGTCAATGTAGGGGAGTGGAGGGAGGGAGGTCTCTGCTGGCCAGCTATATTTTCCATTTTCACAGAGCATCAGATCTTCTGGGCTCATCATGGACCTGGGGCCTGGTCCTCAGCTCATTAGGTCAGCCAGATACAGTTCTCTTATGAGTGATCAAGTTCTAGGATTCCCAACCATCAGACTTATTAGCTATTTTTAAATAACAATTGCTAAGAGTACAACATAAATTCTTTCCAGAAGGAAGAAAAGCGAGAAGTAACATAATTCCAGGAAATTACTTGATAAGCACAGAAAGTCAGGATAAAAGGAGGTGAGTTATCCTAAGAAATACTGGTGCTTGGCTGTAACAACCATCTTTTTGCTAAAAGATGCCAGCCAAATGACCAGAAACATCTATATTGGGGTATGTTTTTGTCCCTGGTTAGTACAGGGACATACCAAGGCAAATGCTCACTTCAGAGCTTTTCTTTCTTAGATTATAAGCCCTTTCTACCCCAATCTTAGACAAAGTTAATCTGCTTCTGAGAGAAGAGTAGAAACAAAAAACATCTGTCCCTGGAGAAGGGCAGGAAACCTGGTCAGGCCCAGTATCCTGTAGTGACACAAACAACATATCTGCTCTCACTGGAAGTGAGGCAGGAAACCCTCTCTTGCCCAAGAATCCATACAGGTACAAGGCAGAAAATGGCTTCCATGGATGTGGGAGGGGCAGCAATGCCAAGCAAGTTTCACCCTCAAGGCCCAGGCACACAGAACCTAAGACTGAGGCTGAACTATGATAATAAAAAAGCCTTCCTTGCCCCAACCAAGAGCCTTGCACTGAGTAACAAGCCACTGCAGCCTTATCACTGAGGCAGAGGCAAGAGCATGGAGAGATGCCCCCATCCCCACCTGTAGCACAAGAATACAAAGTCCAAAGAGAGATGAGAGTGGAACAGGAACACTGAGAACACTCCTCCAGTGCTCCAGGCCCCACACTAGGAACAAGATAATAGCAGCTGATTATTTAAATTCTTTGGTGCACTAAAGATCATTGTAGCAAAAACAAAACCCAAACCCAGCTCAACTACTGAAAAATTTGACAGAACTTCCCACATGAATAGTTGAACTGAGGAAAGACTTCATTTCCAAGAGTAACTACTATTTACATCAGTCTCTACTATTCCTTTATCACAGGGTCCAACATTCAGTAAAAAATTATGAAACACGCACACATACAAACACCAGAAAAAAGACAACCCATTGTCCAAAGACAAAGCAATCAACAGAACCAGATCCAGAGGTGACCCAAATATTGGAATAATCAGGCAGTTCACTTTGAAATAATTATGAGTGTGGTATTATGGGATCTAGTGGAATGGATAGACAAGAGGCATAAACACTAGCTGGGCATAGCGGCATGCACCTGTAGTCCCCGCTACTCGGGAGGCTGAGGCAGGAGGATCGCTTGAACCTGGAAGGCAGAGGCTGCAGTGAGCAGAGATGGTGCCATTGCATTCCAGCCTGGATGACAGAATGAGAACCTGTCTCAAAAATAAATAAATACATAAATAAAAATAAGCAAATAAAGAAATAAAAGACAAGAGGCATAAACATATACACAGACTTATCAGCAAATTGGATACAGTAGAAAGAGTCAACAAACCTAAAGATAGGTGGATAAAAATGATGTAAAGTGAAATACAAATGAAAAAAAAGAATGAGGGAGATAAACAGAATATAGCAACCAAGAGCTGTAGGACAACATCAAAGAGTCTAATATACATATAGTTATAGAAGAAGTAAAGAAGAGAAATTTGAAGAGATAATAGCTGAGAATTTCCAAATTTGATGGGAAAAAAAACAAACAACAAATCACAAATCCAAACTCAGAGAAATAACCTGATTACAGATTGTAGGAGGTTATAAACCTTGACAGTAACCGAAAGGAAAAAAAGAAACCTTACAAACAGAGGAACAGGATGATAATGGCAATAAACTTCTCATGAGAAACAATGCAAGAAAAAAGAAAGTAGAGCAATATCCTTAAAATATTGAAAGACAAAAAATTATCAACTCAGAATATAATACCTGGTTAAAATGATCTCGAAAATTAAATCAAATCTATTTTAGACAAACAACGTCTGAGAGAACTCATTTAGCAAACCTGAAATACAAGACATTAAAGGAAGTTCTTTAGGCAGGGGTATGATACTGGAGGGAAATTTGGATCTACGCAAAATAATGAAGAGTTCCAGAATGGTAAGTGACGGTGAACAGATTACAAGTCTACCTCTGAGTTTTTGTTTTGTCATTACTATTTTGAACTTATTAAAATTAATCACAATATGGGTTATGTTATATGACTTATATTTTAACTTCTTAGCTATCTGAAAGAAACCATAGATCTTTGATAATATTTAGGAAGCATTCAAGTTTTATCAGTAACACATGTATAAGAATCTCTCAAGATAGTTTACTTAATCAAAAGTGACTAATCACATTCCTTCAAATTAATTTTATTATCTAAAATTTCATAAGGTGAACTTACCTCAGATTGTAGCAACACATGTACCTGTACACATACACAAAGATAGAAACATCTATATATGCATCATGTAAGTCCAAAGACATATAAATGGATATAAAAGATACACATATGTATTGATTCATGACTCATTTATTACTTTTTTTTTTAACTTTTATTTTAACCTCAGGGGTACATGTGCAGGTACATAGGTAAACTTGTGTCATGGGGTTTTGTTGTACAGATTATTTCATCACCCAGGTCTTAACCCTTATACCCATTAGTTATTTTTCCTGATCCTCTACCTCTTCCACCCTTCACCCTCTGATAGGCCCTAGAGTGTGTTGTTCCCCTCTGTGTGCCCATGTGTTCTCATCATTTAACTCCCACTTCTCAGTGAGAACATGCAGTATTTAGTTTTCTGTTCCTACATTAGTTTACTAAGGATAATGGCCTCCAGCTCCATCCATGTCCCTGCAAAGGACATTACCCCATTCTTTTTTATGGCTGCATGGTATTCCATGGTATATATGTACCACATTTTCTTTTTCTTTTTTTTTTCTCTTTCTTTTTATTATACTTTAAGTTTTAGGGTACATGTGCATAACGTGCAGGTTAGTTACATATGTATACATGTGCCATGTGACTCATTTATTACTTAAAGTAAGCAATTTACCTTTTACTAGGTACTATGCTAGGGTCTGGAGATAATAACCTAAATTAGTCATGATTAGTACCTGGCTTAAGGAAGCTCATGGTCTAGTGGGAGCCAAATGCAAAATAAATAAACAATATGGAACTGAATGATGTGTGCCACATTAGCCATATACATAAGACACCAAAGCTGCACAGAGAAGGGTAGAATTAATTCTCTCTAGAGGAGTCAGAGAGGACAAGTAATGGTAGAAGATCCTGCCATCACAGGAATAGACGTCTTTTCCATCACAGCAAAAAAAGTCACGTAGTGATGTGCAAAAAGATGGATTGAAGGCAAGCTACTCTCCAGGAAGTTTGTATAATGGTTCAAGTGAGAGATCTAAAGTAGTATTGGTGAGTATGTATCCTGGATAAATTTAGAATATAACAGTCAGACTTGCTGAACAATTGGATGTGGAAGGATGAGAGAGAAGAGGAATTTAGAGTGAATACTGATTTCTGGCAGGTGAGAAAATGAGTAATTATGTTACTAGCTAAGATGGAAATATATAAAGACACAAGAACAAAAGGAAGAGACATTAGCACTCAAGAGATGCAAACAAAATTTTGCAAGCTGGAAAGCAAATGGAGGCGAGAAAACTGATTGCAGAGTGTAGGAGGTTATAAATCACTGAGTGGAACACTGATGAGTGGATAATCACTTGCAAATCCACAAGAACCATGGCGGTGCGAGACATGACAATGAAAAATAGAGGGACAATTATAAGAGTTGTTGGATCCTCATTCTACTCCCTTTTTCCACTTTCAAAACTCTGAACAAATGGCATAATGCCATCTCAATGGGTGATTAGAGGATTCTTTCCCAAAGAAACTGGCTGTAGGGACAAGTGCTCAACCTATTGATATTTGGAAATTCCTCAGTGAAATAGCTGGGTCCCCACCTGATCCATGTACAGCAAAGCCTACGAGTCATAAGTTTGCTGCACACAAAACACCTTCTAGTTTCACTATCTTTTTTTTTTGAGACAGAGTCTTGCTTTGTTGCCCAGGCTGGAGGGCAGTGGTGCAATCTTGGCTCACTGCAACCTCTGCCTCCTGGGTTCAAGTGATTCCCTTCCTAAGCCTCTCGAGTAGCTGGGACTATAGGCACGTGCCACCATGCTCAGCTAATTTTTTTTTTTTTTTTTTTGTATTTTTAATAGAGACAAGATTTCACCATGTTGGCCAGGATGGTCTCTATCTCTTGACCTCATGATCCACCCACCTCAGCCTCCCAAAGTGCTAGGATTACAGGCATGAGCCACTGTGCCTGGCCTTTTTGTTCTTAAATATGAACAAATAGCAAAGGGTGATCAGATATTTGAAAACAAGTCTCTAAAATGAAAAAAGTGAAAAGCAAAATAAAAGATCTTGAAATTAACTAAAAATACTTAAAAAACAGAAGATGCAATAACTTTTAACTATTAAAATTAATACAAATTCTAGCAAGACAATTGGATATAAAAGCAATATACAAAATGAACTATTATCTGCTTCTAGAAGGTAACATAGATGTAGTTTTCCCTATTCTCATGACCATAACTAAAAATCCTGGACATTGTATATGCATAACAATCATAAGAAGGCTCTGAAGAGTGAAGGCAAGAAGACAGACTGGTTAGGAACTTCAGGACCGAGAGAGAAAACCATAGTTAGCAAGTTCCCCAGATTTGGTTTGTTTGTTTTGTTTTGGTTTTTGTTTTGTTTTGCCTCATAAGTCCCAGACTGGGTGCTAGAGAGCCTGGCATCCCAGAAATGTAAATGGGCACAGACAAAAAAAAAAAAATTGCTAAAAAAAAGCCTGCTCTCTCTAGCCAAAGGACCAGGAAATTATAAACTTAACAGGAGAGAAAATTTAGGAAACTTATGGTTCTACTTCAGCCGTATACCATAGAAAAAACTTTGACTCCATCCCTACCCATACCAGCAAAGATAAGTGGAGCACTTAGAGTTCCACCCTCACCAGTCACCTGCTGGTGTAGTTTCAGTGAAACCCAAGCAGGGCTTTCATCCCCACCAGGTGATAATAAATAACCCCCTTCCCCCTCACACATGGCATTAGTGGAGACTATGTAGGGAGCTGTGACTTCCACTCCCACCCAGCAGTAACAAAGTAACCCTATTCTTCCTAGCCAGGAAGTTATCAGTGGAAGCCTACTGAGGAACAGGAACTCTCAACCCCAATCAACTATATTGAGGAGCCACCCCTTCTCCTTGAGTATCAACAGAGGTTGAGTGGTGAACCTAGACTTCTACCCCAACCTGGCAGAAATTAGGTGGTACCCATTCTTCTCTTTCCACAGTGATGTCATAGAGAGTTGGCTAAATCTTATTTAAGTAAGAATCAGAGTCTCATAATGTAATACTCAAAATTTCTAGATTTCTGCCAAAAATCACTTATCATACAAAGAACCAGGAAAATCTCAAATTGAATGAAAAAAAATTATGGCAACACTGAGATGACAGAGCTATTATTATTTGACAAAGCTTTTAAAGCTTTACTGTCTCCACAAAGAAAGAGAAAGCCTCATCAAGAAAATAGAAGATATAAGGAAGAACCAAATAGAGATTTTAGAACTGACAAATAGAGTAATAGAATAAAACACTCAACAGATGGGTTCAATCACAGAATGGCAGGAACAGAAGAGAAGATCAGTGAACTTGAAGTAGAACAATATAAATTACCTAATCTGGATAGCAGAGAAAAAAATAGAAAAAAATGAATAGCACCTCAGAGACCTATAGGACAAAAGACACTAATGATATTTATGTCATTAGTGTTCCAGAAGGAGAGGAGAAAGAGGACAAAGCTGGAAAAGGACATGAAGAAGTAATGGCTGAAAACTCTCCAAATTTGGCAAGAGGCTTAGGCTATAGATTCAGGAAGCCGAGCAAATCCTAAACAGGATAAAGTCAAAGAAATTCACAAGGAGTCACACTTTGGGGAGCTAGAGAAAGAAAAATCTTGAAAGCTATAAAAGAGAATTGACACTTTACCAAAAGGGGAAAAACAATTCCAATGACAGAGATTATGGATGCCAGAAGAAAGTGGTGCAATATTTTTCAAGTGCTGAAAGAAAGAACTGTCAACTGAGAATCCTATACCCAGTGAAAATATCATTCAGAAATAAATGGGAAACCAAAAAATATTCTCAGATGAAGGAAAACTAAAAGAAATTGGTTGGTATTGTGGCTTTGCCTGTAATCCCAGTGCTCTAGGAGGCCCAGGTTAAAAGATTGCTTGAGGCCAGGAGTTCAAGACCAGCCTGGGCAACATAGTGAGACTGTCTCTACAAAAAGAAAAATAAAAAAAGTAGCTGGGCATGGTGGCATGCACCTGTAGCCCTAGCTACTTGAGAGTCTGAGGCAGGAAGACCACTTGAGCCCAGGAGTCTGAGGCTGCAGTGAGCTGTGATCACACCATTGTACTCCACTTGAATGACAGAACGAGACCCTGTTTCTCTTTATTGTTTTAGAAAAAAATACGTACAATTTATTCATTAAGTGAGGACAAAACTTCTGTAACTCTGGCAAGTCAAGTTACATCATCAAAGTTGTTTATTTAAAAGTAGAAGTATGCATGGGCAATAGTTTTCATAAGAGTCAGAAAAATTAGGCAGGTTTTACAATATAGAGTACCCTTTCTGAGACCCTGTTTCTATTAAAAAAAATTGTCGCAGTAGACCCTCAAAGACCAGTTCAAGGATATTCTCTAAGGAAATATTCTCTAAGGAAATAATAAAAGCAGGAATCTTGGACCATCGAGATGGAAGAAAAAAATATAGTAAGCAAAAATATGGGTAAATAAAATTGACTTTCCCTCTTCCTTTGAGTCTTCTAAATTATGTTCAAGGGTCAAAGCAAAAATTATAACATTCTCTCCTGTGTTCTTCAATGTATGTAGAGGGAGTATTTAAAACAGTTATATTACAAATGGCAAAGAGTAAAGAGCTTCAAAGGAATGTTTCTATACTCCACTCAGGGGAAATAAAAAACCTCATGGAACCAAATGAAAATAAAAATACAACAAATGAAAGAAGCTAAAACAGTACTTCAAGGGAAATTCATGGCACAAAGCATATATTAGAAAGAAGGAAAATCTCGAATCAATAATCTAAGCTTCCATGTCAAGTATGTAGAAAAGCAAAGGAAAATAAAGTCAAAGCAAGAGGAAAGAAGCTAATAATAAAAAGTAGAAAGCAATGAAATTGAAACAAAAAAGTAGACAAAATCAATGCAGCAAAGAGGTTATTCTTTGAAATGATCAATAAAAGAGATAAACCTCTAACAAGACTGGCAAAGAAAAAAAGAAAGACACAAATTCCACTATCAAGAATGAAACGGGATATTTCTACAGACCCCACAGACTTCAAAGGATAAACACTCATAAAATTTAACAACTTAGATGAAATGAGCCAATTCCTTGAGAAAAACCAACTATTACAACTAACCCAATATGAAGGAGATATTTTGAATTGCCCTATAAGTATTAAGTAAATGTAAATTATAATTTTTAAAATCCCAGAAAAAGAAATCTCCAGGTGTAGATGGTTCCACTGGAGAATTTCACCTAATGTTTAAGGAAAAAGGAACAAATTATTGGTACATGACAATCTGAATGAAAATCTTGAGAACTATGCTGAGTAAAAATGCCAATCCCTAAAGGTTACATACTATATGCTTCCATTTTTAAATGACAAAATTATAGAATGAATGAATTAGTGGTTGCCAGGGATTTAGGAAGAGGTGAGGTTGGGAGTAAAATGGGTGAGGAATCCTCGTGGTAATAAAAGTGTTCTTCATCTTGAGTGTATCAGTGTTAATAACAATATTGTTATTGGTTGTGATATCATAAGCTACTTTTGCAAGATGTTACCATCAGAGTAAACTGGGTAAAGGATACGTGGAATCTCTTTGTATTACGTCTTAAGGCTATATATGATTCTACAATGATCTGAAATAAAAAGTTTAATGAAAAGAAACAACAGTTAGATAAGAAAATTACCCCCAAAAAGCTGTATACAAGTGCATTAACAGTATCAAGTACCTAAGAATAACTCTAATAATAAAACAGGTGTAAAAGCCCTTTGAGATTATTTTTAAAACCTCATTAATAGTCATTAAGGAAGACTTAAATAAATGCAGAGATACCGTCCATCTTGATGGATTGTAAGACTCACGGATTGGATATCAATTATCTGGAAATGCATCTATAGTCCATAGATTGAATGGAACCACAATAAAAATTCTAACAATTTTTTGAAACTTCATGAGCTGATTCTAACATTTATACAAAAATACAAAAGATCAAAAATAGCCAATATACTCTTGAAAAAGAACCAGCTGGGAGGAAATGCTCTTCCAGATACCACAATGTATTACGAAGTTATAATAAATAAGTAATGTGGTATTTATGTAGGGATAGACACATAACCATTGGAAGAAATAGAGAGTGCAGTCGCCAATCCAGACACATATCATCATGGAATTTATTTAAAAGGGAGCTCTGCAGAGCATTGGTAAGAGAACAGCCTTTTCAACACTGGTTGTTAGGTATCTGTATTAGTTCATTTTCACATTGCTGATAAAGACATACCTGAAACTGGGAACAAAAAGAGGTTTAATTGGACTTACAGTTCCACATGGCTGGAGAGGCCTCAGAATTATGGCGGGGGCAAATGTCACTTCCTACATGGTGGTGGCAGGAGAAAAATGAGGAAGAAAAAAAGTGGAAACCCCTGATAAACCCATCAGGTCTCGTAAGACTTACTATCACGAGAACAGCACAGGAAAGACCAACCCATGATTCAGTTACCTTCCCCAGGGTCCCTCCCACGACATGTGGGAATTCTGGTAGATACAATTGAAGTTGATATTTGGATGGGGACACAGCCAAACCATATCAGTATCCATGTGAAAAAGTTTTAAATTGAATCCTTACCTCACATCATACACAAAAGCTAATCTCAGAACAACTGAGACTGGTTGATATATGAAAGGAAAGCCAACAGAATTTGTGGGAGATAATACAGAGTAATATAATAGGGAAGAATATCTTCATGACTTTGAACATATCTTAAATAAGGTATATTAAATAAGAAACAAAAGCACCAATCATATAAGAAAAGATTAAAACATCAGACTACATTAAAATTAGGGACTTCTGTTTATCAAAATATACTAGAAAGAAATGGAAACAATAGAGTGAGAGAAGATATTCCCAACATATTCAACTGACAAAAGACTTGGATCCAGAGGCCGGGCTCAGTGGCTCACACCTGTAATCCCAACACTTTGGGAGGCCAAGGCAGGCAGATCACGAGGTCAGGAGTTCAAGACCAGCCTGGCCAACATGGGAAACCCTGTCTCTACTAAAAATACAAAAATCAACCAGGCGCGGTGGCAAGTGCCTGTAATTCCAGCTATCTGGGAGGCTGAGGCAGGAGAATTGCTTGAACCCAAGAGGCAGAGGTTGCAGTGAGCTGAGATCGCGCCACTGCACTCCAGCCTGGGTGACAGAGCAAGACTCCGTCTCAAAAAAAAAAAAAAAAAGACTTGGATCCAGAAAGGTGAAAGGACTTTGACATGTCTCACAAGTGGAAGTACAAATTGTTAATAAATATATTAAAAGGCATTCATTGCATAAATAAACAAGGAGATACAAATTCAAACCACAATGAAAACCCATGTAAAAGCATCAATTTGACAAAAATTAAGAAATCTGACAATACAAAGTATTTTCAAAGATGTGAAATAACAAGAAATTTCACACACAGCAAAAGTATGGGAGCGTAAATTGACACAACTTTAAAAACAATTTGATAGGATCTAGCAAAGCTGAAGATATGTATATACCATGAACCAGTAATTTCACTTCTAAATTTATACCCTACAGAAATGTATATACATATGTATCAGGAAATGTGTACAGAAATGGCCATGTGAATAATGGCCATTATTCATAATCAGCCCAAACTGAAATCAGCCCAAAATATCCAACAACAATAAAATGAATAAGTGAATTGTGGTATATTTACACACTTAAATACTATATAAGAATAAAAATGAATGAACTACAGCTACACAGAACAACATGGATCGATCATAAAACAATGTTGAGTGAAAGAAGTAAGACACAAAGGAATACACATGGTATTTATATAAAGTTCAAAACAAGCAAAACTAAATTATATTTTTAAGGGATGTTCATTTGGCAGAACTGTAAAGAAATGGAAGTAATTACTATAAAAGTCAGGATAATAATTATCTCTAGAGGGAAGGAAGGAGGGAGTTATGATGGGGAAGAGACACATGAAGTAAGGACTTCTGGGATCCCAGCGATGTTTTTGCTCTTGATCTGCATAGTGATTACATAGTTGTTCACTATATTCCATCTGTGTGCTTTATGTACTTTTCTTTATTTTATGATTTTAAAAGTTAATTAAAATATATATGCACATGGTTTTAAAAACCAGGCAAATGTGCATTGCAGGACTCTGGCTGGATTAATTTTTTTTTTTCAGGGCCAGGCATGTGACCAAATCAGAGCCAATGAAACACCAGTCTTTTTCCAAGACTTCTAGAAAAGAAACTTTTGCCCTTTTTCACTATTTTTTCCCACTCCAGAATGGTCTGGAGCTTCTATAGGGACAATTCTTCCTTTACTGGCTAGTCTAGTCCAGTCTAGGGTGGTCCAAGCCAATGAACTGAATAAGAAAATAAACAGTTGAACATCCAGCCACCTTGTTTCCAACTCCTGGTCAGCTCAGTGGGTGGTATAAGACAAGGAAAAAGTATGGTCCTTTATGTTGAATGATCTGACAACATAATTTTGGAGACAGGACTAAAACATACGAAACGGGGCTGTGGTGGCTGTACAGAGCTGAAATACAGCTACACATCTGTTCAAGGAAACACCCTTACATTGGTAAGGTAGTGTGGGAAAAAAGAAAAAGAAAAAAAGGAAGCACCTTTAGGAGCTAATGAAATTTTGCCAGTCCTAACTTTCTCAAATTCCTTTCTAGCCAGTCTACCAGAAAGTGGGTGTGCTTGTCACATCAAGATACAGAGGCTTTCACATGTGCAAATCCAAATTTACTTGAAAGAGACACAAAAAAGAAAATAGTAGAAATCAGTCTTGTGTCCAGCAGAAATGAGTATCGATGTGTACTAGATATGTACTAGAACCATCAAATATGCCCTATTTATAATAGCTTCCCCCAACAGACAATTACCCAAATATCCATCAGCTCTAGAACGGATAAATTGTTGTCTATTCACTCAATGGAATACCTTATAACAAGTAGAATGAATGAACTATTATATGTAAAAACATGGAAGCTTAGTGAAAGAGCCAAAGACAAAAGAGCACATATTGTATAATTCTATTTATATTAAGTATAAAAATTAAAAACTAATTTGTGCTCTTACAAGTCAGGATAATATAAGCCCAGGGTGAGAGGCGAGTAGGTGAGTGCCTGGAAGGGGCAGGCAGGGTCCCTGGGCTGCTGGTAGTATTCTGTTCTCAGTCTGGGTGCTGGTATGTTCAGTCTCAAAATTCAATGGGCTATACATTGATGACAATGTGCATGTTTCAGTGTGTAACTTATACTTCAATAAAAAGTTAAAACTATAAGAAATCTAAAAATAAAAAATTGACTTCTATGTAATTCTTGTATAGCATCTTACAAGCTGCAAGGCATGCTTAAACAACTTTGTAAGGTATGAAGTTAATACCTGTATTTTACAGATGTGGAAATTGAGCCTCAGAAAGATGAAATGACACACACATATTATCACATGGTCGTCAAGAAACAGAACTGAGAATGACCAAGGCGTGGGGGCTCTACGTTCTATGCTAGTAAATGCTGGTTATTTCCTTAGGAGAAGGAAGGCTTTTGGTTTGTCTACGCTGTTCTTCAGCAGCAGAGCTGGGGATAGTAGGAAGCAGTGCGGGGGAAGCTAGCTCATGAGCAATACGTGTAAGGTGCATAGCCCTGAGCGTGGCACAGTGCAGCCTTAATCAGCGCCACTTTTCTCCCTCCACGCAATCCCTTTTCCAGGGAAATTGCATGGGTCGGAACGTTGAACAGCACTGGTAGGTCTGGAACAAACACTGCTCACCTCCAGACAGAGTGACCAGGCTAGGGCCTCAGGCTTGTACTGAAGCCTCCTAACTTGACTGCCGGAGCAAAACTCTACTGGGATCAGGTCTGTGGAGGAAGCGCTTCTGATTTGGGTTCAAATTCCTTACTATCTATAGGGCAAGTGAGGAGTAGAGGAGCAGAGTCCAGAACACGGTGGAGAGACCCAGTGTGATAAGGAAGGTCCCTGACACTCTGATGTCCGAAAAGTGTGTGTGTGTGTGTGTGTGTGTGTGTGTGTGTGTGTAGGTGGGGTCTGTTGTGTGCCCTCTGCTGACATTCTTACTTTCACGTCATCTGAGCCAGCCTGGGCAGGGTGGAATGTATGCACTGGTTCCTGTTTAGACCCAAGCCAACTTTGTGCTCTGAGCCCCTCAGCACTCAGAAACTTGTGTTTTCCTGTCTGGAAGCCAGCCTTGTTTCTTTACCCGGAGCGGCTAAGATGATTTTCCCTGTAAGCCTCCCTGCTAGCCGTAGATTTCACATCATCACAGCGACACCTAGTGGCCAAGTGTGAAAGTCCATCCGGCCCCCCCTCCTCCATAGAGGCTCTGGAAGCCAGGGGAGGAGGAGTTTATGGATTCCAGACACTTCTGCACTTCACATACAGCTTCCAGGAGTCAGAGCTCCCCACGTTGCCAACTCCGCACAGCTCAGCTCTTAATCACATCCTGTCCTGAGTTGCCCTCGGTTTCATGTGTAATCATTTAAAATCATTTTATCTACCCAATTATACCAAGGATATGAGGCTAGGGCTATTAGAATCACATCTCTTTAGAGTTGATGACCTACTTGTTTTTCAGATGGGAAATGCAGATGCCGAGGGGTGAGGGGAATTCCCAGCTGCTGAAAAGTGAGGTTTGGACAAGAACCCGCGTCTCCTGAGCACTCCCAGGGCGGGGCTTCCCGTGGCACCATGCCATTCCCTTGCATCATCCACAGTGCCTGCACACAGTAGGTGCCTGGCACACAGAAGGTCCCCTATAGACATGCCTGACTGATAGTTCATAGTCTTCTATGCTTGCCACTGAAGTGAGTTTCACTTGTTATCTGGGTCATCTCTTACTTCTCAGCCTCTTGGGAGTTCCGATCAATTAAAGTGGGCACTCTCTCCATAGTAGGCCATTGTCTTTTTCATTTATAAAGCACACTGTAGATTCAGGAAAGACGAAATGAAGACGAGACACACAATTTAAAGTATCTCAATCCCAGCATCCGTTCAGATCAAGTGGCTACAGTGGGCTTCGTAAGCTTCAGCTCAGCGCTTCTTAAACTTTCACATGCATCTAAATCTCCTGGGAATCTTGTTCCAACACATATTCTGGTTCCATCGGTCTGGGGTGGGACCTGAGATTCTCCATTTCTAACAAGTTCCTCGAGGCTGTTGAGGCTACCCTTGCTGCCAAAGCTGGGAAGTGCACTTTGAGGAGCAAAGATGCAGATAACTACCTCCACCCCAGACAACTGCTTTTGAGAGAGCCCACCTCAGCCCCTGCTGCAGCCCCTCTGACCTGGCTTCAGGGGAAAAGAAAGGCACTAAAGCAACTGTGAGCACTGTGACCCCTCGGTGAGTCATCCCAAGTCTCTTTCCTCACCATATCCACTGTCCGGAAGCTCCTGCCCTCAGGCAGTCTGAAGGGAAGGCAAGATTGAAACTGAACAAAAATGGCACAGAAAAGGAGAGGTAGACTTGCTGCTGATGTGCCTCACAGTGTTCCTGAGGAACAGCCCTGCTTGGTTGCCATTTTATAATTAGGTACTCATGACATCCCCATAAACCACAGGCTTCTCTTTTTAATTATAAAATGTACTTTAATTTATACAGTTTAATTATAAGGTACGTTTATTCACATTTTCTTTTTCTTTTCTTTTCTTTCTTTTCTTTTCTTTTCTTTCTTTTCTTTTATTTTTCTTTTTTTTTTTTTTTTGAGACAGAGTCTCACTCTGTCGCCCAGGCTGGAGTGCAGTGGCGTGATCTCAGCTCACTGCAACCTCTGCCTCCCAGGTTTAAGCAATTCTCCTGCCTCAGCCTCCCGAGTAGCTGGGACTACAGAAGCACGCCACCACACCCAGCTAATTTTTGTGTGTTTAGTAGAGATGGGGTTTTACCATGTTAGCCAGGCTGGTCTCGAACTCCTGACCTCAGGTGATCCACCCACCTTGGCCTCCCAAAGTGCTGGGATTACAGGCATGCCACTGCACCCGGCCTCATATTTTCATTTGTACTATTCTTTTCCTACCACTGAACACACCAAAAATGTTCACTAATGCTAAATTAAGAAAAGAAGGAAATGGGAATTTATTGAGCCATTACTATATGACCAATATTATGGTGAGTATCTCCATGCATGTTATTTAATCTTCACAATGCTCCTGTAAGGTGGTGTTATTACCTTATTTACAGATGCAGAAAACTGAAGCTCAGGGAGATTGGGTAAATTACCCAGGACCACACAGTAGGGATAGGAGCCCATATATATATTTGATTGAAAAGTTATTTTTAGTCAACAAATTCAATTCAAGAAATACAATGATAATAAATACTAGCATTTGCATTGTGTTTACCACGGATCAGACATTGCTCTAAGCATAATGCATTAATTCATGTAATCCTCACATCAATCTTATGAGGTAGGATCACCCCCATTTACAGATGAAGAAACTGAGTCACAGAAGGGGCAAATGACTGACCCAAGTCACACAGCTATTAATATGAAGTGATGGAACTGGGATGGCAATCCTGATGGCCTGGCTCCAGAGAGATAGTCTCAAACACTATTTCATATTGTCTATCAATTTCCTTCTAATTTCTTAATCTTATAGTTGAGTGGAAATTGCCTCTTCCCTTGTTGTTTCACCCTTTTCTTATTCAGTGTATACTGCACTGCCCTGAAAAATTTCTGCTTACCATATTAGTAAGCATCTACAGTTCTGTTTTCCAACTAGGACTGCCTAGGGCTTTGGGCTCTCTTTGTATGCAGCAAAGGCTGGGGTCTTCCTGAAGAACCTGTTTCTCCATTAGCTGGAAGTTGAAGGAATCTGAAAGAGTTTAGGAAGTCATGAGCTTCTCCATCAGCTAGTCACCCTCTCCCACCTTGGCTGGCTGGCCTAAAGTCAGAGGACAAAAAGATGAGGCTCAAGGGCTGGCTGACAAACTGAGCCGGGCTGGCCCAGTAAGAGTCCACTCTACAGACATAATAAATGTTGGCTGTACACACAGGGCCCTTTCCCTACTACTGACAATGTTTTATCACTTTGTAATATTTTTTAACTCCAAATTTTCTATTTACCATACACACTTCTCAGTCTTGTTTTCCTACCTGAAGGATTCCAGAGGGTGAAAGTGGCTTCATATTTCTGTGTGCACAGGAGTTGCAGCTTTATAGATCTATCCCAGCTCTCCCTCTAGCTGTGCAACTGTGAGTGGGTTATTTGAACTTTTCTTGAACTTTGGATTCCTCACCTGTAAAGTGGGAATAATGAGAATCTACTTCGAAGGATTGCAGCATAGGAATAATAAATCTAAAGTGCCTTGCTTGTCATAGGCCCATAGAAGTAGCCATTGATTAATACAATTTATAAATACATTCCGAGTGAATGAATGATATGAATAAATATAAGAAGAAGTTGAGACAGCTAACCTGACTCCCCAAACCAACAACTTTCTTAAACATGGACATTTAGAATTTTTTTTTTTTTTTTTTTTTTTTTGGTGAGAACTGAGTAAAAAGACACGCTCACTTAAAGTTGTATGGGAAGAGTCCAAAGACAAACTTCCTCAATTTTTCTAGCTTTGCTAAGTTCAGGGCCTAGGCTGATCTTAGCAGCTAGGACAGGCCTCTCAAAAACTTCCTTTGTCTCAACTCTGACCCGGCTCCAAATTTAAACCCAAACCTTTCCACTCAAGACATCCAAAATGACTGGATGTTTTTCTTTTTGGGGAGGCTAGGTGAGAGGAGTGTGTCATGTCATTGCTTTCTATGGACAGAACAAAATTACATATTTTGTTGTTGCTTTCGGAGAGAAAACTAAGTTATCAAAGGAACTTAAGGTACTGTGGTAATATGAGCGCACCCACTGATAAGCGTGAAAACTCTTTTGAAAACAAGAAACAAAGTCTGAAAGCAGAAAATAGTTTTTCTTGTCTCCAGGATGATAATAGACTTTAAAATAACATGGTTTTTTTATCGGTATTTTTTTTCTGCATGCTGTATCAAATGAAGGAGGATTTGTCTTAAAAACCAATTCATTTTTCAAATCAAGATGTGCCTGGTTTACTGATTATAGAATCCCTACTTAAAAAAAAAAGGATTGTGTTTGACTTGTAAAAATAAAATAAAATACAAATAACATCACCCATATGCTCAGTGTAATGGCACACGACTCTAAGTTTGAAAACTTCTACGCTTGGGTTTCTAATGTGATTACAATGGGTTGTAAAGTGGGTGAGAGAAACTCGTTTCCCAGGTTAGGATGTCTATTTACCACCTACTGGAATCTATGACAGTTTGGAGTAAGACAATAAAAGGCTAGAAGGAAATGAGTACTGTTGACTCATGAATCCATGCACTCTGCACTAATTACAATGCCTCAGTTTCCCTATTTTATAAAATGAGGCTGTCACTTGCCCGCCTCTCTGTAGTGTTTAGAAAGTCCAGGGAGATAATAGACTTTGAGTGCTTTGAAAATACAGAATATATTATAAGTGCTAAATAATAACAATAATAATGGGGAGTCTTTAATAACAGGGGTCCTTTAATAATACTCATCAAGTATAATAACATCACTAACCAGAGTGCGTCTCTGTGCTCTTAATCATTGGTTTGTCTCATGGGAAATTGGTGGAGGATTGACGCCTCGTACGAGTTGGTTTTGATGGATTTAACACAGAGCCCCTCAGTGAGGCTTGCACTGGACTCTCCAAAGAGCAGGGTAGCTTTTAGGAAGACAACGCCCGTGCAATTGGGAGAGGACAGAACCGAGGTATCTTCAGGGAACGTGATTTTAAAATCCAGTTCCTAGCAGGTTGGGGAAAGAAGGAAAGGTACGTTTGGAACCCAAGAAAGTTGTGGGCATGCGGATCTGGCCGTTGGGCCAGTGTGGCCACCCAGTCCTGCCACAAGATGGCGACAGTCCAGCTGGAAACGCCTGCCGGGGTCCCTCGGTTTCCAGCTCCGGAAGGACTGCCCCCGCCGACACAAAGAAGGAATCTTCCGAACGGGAAAGGAGCGTGCGGTCGCCCTCCCGGCGGAGATTGGAAGAGGTGCTGACAAAGGCTGCCTGGAGAAGTGGGCAGCCTCCTTCTCAATTCCATGGGCTTCAGCTTCATGCAGCTGATTCCCCTTTGCAGGGATTTTGTGCAAAAGCACCCGAGAAATTCCAGGTTTGACCCCACCCTCTGCCCAGAGGCCGGCCAGATGCTTCCCGGGGCGGTGACATTCCCAGGATTCCGGCAGGGGGAGTGGGAGCTTCCCGGGGCGGGGCGCGGCCAGGCTGAGCCCGGCCATGCGCCCTCCCCTCCCTCCCCGGCCGGCGCCCCCGGCTGGGCAGGGCGAACCCCACCAGCCCCACCCCTGGAGCCCTGGAGCCTTTGGGGTTCAGGACCATGGACCTGAACACCCGAGACCGCAGCGCTCCGAGGCCCTGAGTCCCAGTGGCAACTACAAAGGCGCTTCCTCCTCTCCTGCCGCACAGTTTGCCTGGGGAAAGATCTAGAGGTTGTCTGTGGCTTGGGGGCCGGAGTTCTCTTTGTCTTATTTTTGTTTCGTTTTGAACATGAGGAACCACCACACCCGCGTTTGTTTCATTCAGGCTGGTGCAAACTTGCTTTGGAACAAAGTGTTAGGAAACACAGATTCCCATCTAGAGGTTCCAAATGCAGTTTATGAGACCATACTGGGCTGCAGCCCTGGGCCCTGGCCAGACTGGCCTCCATTGTTCAACTCTTGGCCGGACTATCGCAGCCCTGGGCAGATCCTTGCTCCTCCAGCCCGGGTCTTGGCTAGCACCCGGGATAGGAGAGGGAAGCCCAGAAGAGCGGGGTCACTGGCCCCAGCCTGGGCTTAGCGGGCTCTTATCTGCCCTCCCTTCTGGGCTGTGGGGTAAGAATAATAGTAGCAAAGATCAGCCAGGCGGCGGTGGCTCACCCGTGTAATCCCAGCACTTTGGGAGGTCGAGGCAGGCGGATTACCTGAAATCACGAGTTTGACCAGCCTGGTTAACATGGTGAAACCCTGTATCTACTAAAAATACAAAAATTAGCGGGGCGTGGTGGCGGGCGCCTGTAATCACAGCTACTTGGGAGGCTGAGGCAGGAGAATCGCTTGAACCCGGGAGGCGGAGTTGCAGTGAGCCGAGACCACGCCACTGCACTCCAGCCTGGGCGACAGAGCAAGACTCTATCTCAAAACAAACAAACAAAACAAAAAGCCCGGGCGCGGTGGCTCACGCCTGTAATCCTAGCACTTTGGAGGCCGAGGCGGGTGGATCACGAGGTCAGGAGTTCGAGATCAGCCTGACCAACATAGTGAAACCCCGTCTCTACTAAAAATACAAAAATTAGCCAGGCGTGGTCGTCCATGCTTGTAAGCCCAGCGAGTCAGGAGGCTGAGGCAGGAGAATCACTTGAACCCGGGAGGAAGAGGTTGCAGTGAGCCAAGATCACACCACTGCACTCCAGCCGACAGAGCGAGACTCCACCTCAAAAAAAAAAAAAAAAAAAAAGTAGCAAAGACCATGGGTTGAACATGCCAGATACGATTACCTTATTTAAGCTTCGTACCACTGCTATCTCCCTTTTACAGATGAAACAACCAAGGCTTCAGATGTTGAGTAGCCCAAGGCCATACAACTCTTAAATAGTGGGGCTGGGATTTGAATCCAGATCTGCTTTTCTCCAAAGCACCAAGCTGTGCTTGGTACCTCCTTATGTAGTTCCTACATCCCCAGTGTGAGACAACTGGGTTATATAAAGAAATACTGGGTGCAGTGGGGTGCTTAAACATCAACATGGGCTTTTAAATGTGGGCCGGAGAACTGGGCTAGTCTAGTCTGCCTTCTTTCCTTCCTTCAACAAATGTTTATGAGTGCATGCTGTATACCAAGGGCTTATCTAGACATTGAGAAATCCTAGGAAGCAAAACAGACCACACTTACTAAGCTATGTGACCTGAGCAAATCACCAAATGTGCTAGTTATTAAGCAATTGACTTTCACACCAACTTGCCTTCTGTATGTGGCTTTGAGATGGTGCATCTAAGACTCTGCAAACCACATTTCTCCTTTGCCGCTAGTCCCTGTGAAGCTCTGCCAGGGTGCTAGATAGAGGGAGACTCAAGGAAGGAGAGGAAGAGGACACTCTTATTTCTGTTGCCTTGCTATCCCTGTCAGCTTCACCCTAGCATCAGCAGTAGGTTCTGGCCTCCGGTTTTCTTCAGCACTCCCTGTCCAGTGTTGTCATGTCATCATGCCCCCTCAAATGTTTCAGCACCGGGAGGAGCAGCCACCCCTCCTCTCCAGTCTGAGCCCAGGCTCTGGGGTCCCCTCCTCTGATCTCCTAGGTTTTCATAGCCTAACCTTTTCCCCTTTGTTTCCCAGCCCTGGTGTGGTAGCTGCTTTCTACAGGGACTATCTCTGTGTTACCACAATGTTCACTGTTTTCCAGCCCTTCAATATCTATAACGAGTGGTATGCTTGTAAATATTTAACAACCAATTCTCTAGAAAAACAAAAACCACAAAGAAACCAATTTGTAATGTGTGCCAATTCCCATAATATAAATCATTCACCATGGATAGTTTTAAATTATCAACATGGCATCCCTGAATTTCACAAGCTGGTGTGAGCAGATCCAGGATACAAATGCTGGCAACCAATATCCCCTATATTAAAATGTCTGTGTTGAAGTACCTAGTTTCATTTCTGTTTTCAGGACTGGGCCCTGATTGATAACACCTCAGCTTCTGAGCATCTATTTTTGGGCTCTGAAATGGAATTACTACCATTTCTTCTAATAGAGCTGTTTGGATAATATGAAACAATATAAGTAAAACACTCTGAAAATTACTTTTAAAAATTTGAGACCATAACATAGTTTCTAGACGTTTCCACTGAAGGAAGTGAAGTCAGGATGATGAAAGTAGGCAAAGCATTTTAATGATGGCTCACAGAGGTGTTCCAGGTGCTTTTAGAACCCAGGATGACCTCAGAGCATGGGTGGAGCCTGATGACTCAGAATCAGAGAGGCAGTCATATCAGTGACTGGATTATGATGTCACAAGGCGTGTGTGTGGATACTTTGTTCTTCAAGGATTCTGAGACTGAATATTGTGCAAACCAAGAAAGCACATAAACCCAAAGGGCAAACAATTTATGTAATTCAACTAATACCACAGATGTGGGGCAGGGTTGAACTTTTACATGAAAATCTACTCAGTTGTACAAAGGAAATAAAACTGTAGTTTTCCATAACTGGCTAAACTTTTCCCTCAAGATGTCAACCCACTGAGCACCTTGAGAAGGAAACAGTCTTTAAACTTGCAAAATCACTAGGATCTCCATTTCTGCCATTTAAGTAACCTCTTTGGAATGACTTAGAGTGTGCGCCAATGCTCAGTCTTCCCAATCTCCTCTCCCTGCTCCTTTCCAGGGTCACATTCTAGGGTATGTGGGAGTGTATATGATCTTATGGCACAGGGAGGAGGCCTCAGATTCACATGTCCTCTGCCTTCTCCCTCTTCTCTTGCCTGATCATCTAGTTTTTTGTCTCTTCCTGACACAAATACCGGATTCTCAGACATGTCTTTCTGATGTAAAAGCAAAACAAAACAAAACAACACTACATGCTGAGGCTTCTTAATCCTGACCCCAGATTTTGGCTATCTGGTCAGGCCTCAACCCCTTCATGTCATCCAAATAGGACACTTGGGAACTTTCAGGTACTCTGTACACTACACGTAGGCTATAGGGACCCAGGGATGCTGCCTCTGCTGCTTCTGCCTTCTTTGAGACTACCCGTCACTGCCCCTCACTGTTGGGTGTAGTGAAGCTAAAAGCTAGGCTCCTCCTAGAAGCCTGTGGACTCCCCAGACCATGCCTGGGAATGGAGCCACCACATCCAGTTAACCTGGGCTCCCTGATGCCCAGCTGGGTATCTCTACACCTTCGTCTCCTTGAGGTTCAGCAAGGGAAGGCTGGCTAGAACCCTGGCAGTGGCATCTAACCAACTCTGTCTTCTTCTGGATCTGCCTATGTTTTCCTTTCTCATGCTTTTACCTCTTCAGAATGAACAACCCTCACCATAGCCTCCTTCCTCCTGGGGGCACCAGGCTTCCTGGCTAAATGGCTAAGAAGAATCCTCTTTATGCTGTGGAAGAAGCTTTGGTCTGAGTTGATATGGGAGCCTCAGTAAAACTGGGCATTATGAGTTACTGAGGATAAAAATACATTGGGTTAGTACTCTCAAACTATTGCCCCCTTTATATATATATCTATATACACACACATATATATACACACATACATACACATATATTCAATATATTTTATATTCAATATATATTGAATATTATATTCAATAATATAAGTTGATTGTTATATTCAACTATATATATAGTTGCCTTCAACTATATATATTTGTTATATTCAATTATATATATCAACTATATGGTTGCCTTCAACTATATATATATATATAGTTGAATATAACAATCAACAAAGACAAAATATAGTAATAGTTCTGGCCAAGAAAATTTATTTTTATAGTTAAAAAAAGATCCTTGGTTCCCCTGCTTACTGAAGTTATGCATACTTCTGGTAAAACAAGTGAACAAACAATCTACAATATGTTTCTAAATGTCCAACAAAGGGAAGAGAGCACCTCTGTTCTCCTGGTTTGGCCAAGGGCTACTGCTCATAAAACATCCTAGTTCACAAAAAGCTTGTTTAAAAAAACTTCCTTTATAAGGTGCCAGCGTCTGTTCAGGGGCTAGCTAGGCATTGTCCTTTCTAAGCCACTGGGAATCTCTTCCTTTCGAGAGTCAGAAAGAATATTTTCTCTTGAGTTTGGAGACTATAAGCTAGAAAAGAAGAATGAGGCCCGGGGACCAGGTTGGAAGGTGGAATGGATATGAGGAGTAGGAGAAGTCATGGATGCAAAGTGCAATAGAAAATTGTTTCTGGGGCCAATCTAGATTGAATTTCCAACTGGGCTTCTGCCATACCTTCCTTTATGAGTACACATGCACTCTGGTTTGTTTGGATATGTTCTACAGCATTTGATGATGTTTATAGAATGAGATGGGGATACAAGCATGGTGGTGTCCCTTCTCAGTTACAAAGTGCTGGAAGTAGGATGCTCTGCTGAGCCCCAATAGAATACAAGTATTTTCCTGAGTGCCATATGCTTTCTCTTCCATTTTCCTATATGATCTTCCAAACAGTCCCATGTGGTGGGAAACCCCATTTAATAAATGAGGAAATGAAAGCCCATGGCAGTTAAAATGACACAAAGTAGAACTGGGACCACACTCAGGTCTCCTAATCCTCAACCCAGGGCTCTTTTCTCTATGCCAAGTTGCCCTACAATGCCAGTGCAGAAGAGCCAACTGACTTTTCCTTCAATCTCTTCCCAAGGCTGAGTTCCATATGAGAGCTGAGGTTTGCCAACCTGTTTTGCTCTGCTCAAAAGTGATGGAAATAGCATAGAAATCACAGTGTGCAAATATCCAAGTTGGCCTTTTTGAGTTGTTCCCCATCCAGAAAGGCAAAGTATTGATCACAGAGGAACCTGAACAGGAGAACAAGAGAGTACATGCTCCATTTGGTGGGTTAGCAGATTGTGAGTGCAAGAGTTAGGGAAAAGAGAAGATAAAGAACAGAACAGCCAATGACTGAAGACAGGATTCCTGGGATATCGGTGTTCAATGGACAACTTGAAGGTCAAACCCAGGCAGCTGTAAGTGAATAAGTAGGTGACTTTGCAGTACCCCCGTCTGCATTCCCAACTCAGAGAGGAAAAACTGTTCCTCTACCCTCTTATGTCCAGTTTTGGGGGGCCTGCAAATTAGACAGATGATAGATTAGCAAGAAAAGACAGATTTTAATTATGTATATATGAAAGGGAGTTCACAAAGAAATGTGACTCAAAAAGGCAGTTAGAATTCGAGGTTTAAATATATCTTAATAGGTAAAGGAGAGTGAGTAAAAGAGTGCTTATGGGAAAGCAAATGACTTTTAGGAAAGCTAAATGGATGCTTAGCAGAATAAATGGGAGCTATAATACGTTTGTGACAATGACTGTTGGTGTGGTGCCTACTTCTCATTGTCTGATTTCTCATTGTCTCTGATGATAAAAGTCATTCTTCCCTGGTTGATTTATGACAATTGAGGTCTATTCAAAAGTCCTGCTTTTAGGCAGTTAAGGGATCTCAGGAACTCAAATGCTTTCAGCTCAAAATATTTTTATGCCACAGTGGCTTATCCTAAACACCTTCACTACCTTCTACCTCGCACTGAACTCACAGTCTATTTCCTCCAAGGAGGAAATTTGCGCTTTTTATATTATATGTATTATTTGTAATTAAAAGTCTTGATAAACTTTTTTAGTAGCCAAAGGTGTGAATCAGTAATTACCAGAAAACGATTTCAATTTCCTCTCAAATCACTTCTACCTCAACTTCTTATTGGGAAAGTAGGAAGGTATATATTAAAATATTTTTTTAAAAATCTAGTAGTAGGCCAGGCATGGTGGCTCACACCTGTAGTCCCAGCACTTTGGGAGGCCAAGGCAGGAGGATTGCTTGAGCCCAGGAGCTCAAGAGCAGCCTGGGCAACATTAGTGAGATCCTGTCTCTACAAAAAAATTTAAAAATTAGCCGGGCATGGCAGCACATGCCTGTAGTTCCCTCTAATCAGGAGGCTGAGGTGGGAGGATTGCTTGAGCCTGGGAGTTTGAGGCTGCAGTGAGCTATGATTGTGCCACTGCACTCCAGCGTAGGTGACAGAGCAAGACCCTGTCTCAAAAAAAAAAAAAAAATCTAGTAGTACACTTACTTATAAGTTCATTCCTGGAGCTAATTATGAAGTTAATACGGGAGTAGGGGTGGACTGGGGTGGGGTGGAGTTCATAGTTCAGCGGACTGAGATTTCTGTTTCCATAGAGCTGTAGTTCTGGGCTAGCAACATCAACTATCAGAATCACCTGGGGGCTTGCTAGAAATGCAAATTATCAAGCCCCACCCCTAACCCTAGTAAATAAGAAACTCTGGAGATGGAGCTCATCATTCTGTTTTTGTTTGTTTGTTTTTGAGACAGACTCTTGCTCTGTCACCCAGGCTGGAGTGCAGTGGCGCAGTCTGGGCTCACGCAACTTCTACTTCCCTGGCTCAAGACATCCTCTCACCTCACTAGCCCCCTGCCTCCGGCTTCCCTGACCAACCCGGGGAGCTGGAACTACATGAGTGCACCACCACACCCAGCTAATTTTTGTATTTTTTGTAGAGACAGGTTCTTGCCAAGTTGCCAGGCTGGTCTCAAACTCCTGGGCTCAAGCGATCCACCCACGTCAGCCTCCAAAAGTGCTGGGATTACAGGTGTGAGCCACTGTGCCTGGACACATAATTCTGTTTTAACGAGCCCACCAGGTCATTCTGTTGCTCCCTCATATGGTTTAGTCTGGGCTGCACGTTATCATCACTTGGTTATGTTTTAAAATTGCTCATGTCTAGACCCTATCCTAGATCGTCTACATCAGAACTTCTAAGCCTGAGGCCAAGGTGTCTCCATTTTTACAGTTCCCAGGTGGTTCCAATGTGCAGCCAAGGACAAGAACCACTGCCACAGAGATTGCTGATGACTATGGGGGATGGCTCCAAAAAGTGGTAGTATTGTGAGAGGCGTTTGAACCAGAGCAACTCCATCTTGAATAGGAGGCGGGTAAAATAAGGCTGAAACCTACTGGGCTGCATTCCCAGAGGGTTAAGGCATTCTAAGTCACAGAATGAGATACGAGGTCAGCACAAGATACAGGTCATAAAGACCTTGCTGATAAAACAGGTTGCAGCAAAGAAGCCGGCTAAAACCCACCAAAACCAAAATGGCCATGAGAGTGACCTTTGGCTGTCCTCACTGCTACACTCCCACCAGTGCCATGGCATTTGCCAACATCAGGGAGTTACCCTATGTGGTCTAAAAAGAGGAGGCAGGAATAATCCACCCCTTATTTAGCATATAATCAAGAAATAACCATAAAAATGGGCAACCAGCAGCCCTCAGGGCTCTATTGAGTAGCTATTCTTTTGTTCCTTTACTTTCCTAATAAACTTGCTTTCCTTTTAGTCTATGGACTCGCCCTGAATTCTTTCTTGTGGGAGATCCAAGGACCCTCTGTTGGGGTCTGGATCAAGATCCCTTTCCTGTAACAGTATCAGTGGCTGTTTTACTTATTTATTTATTCCACAAATAGTGAGCACATACTCTTGTACTCTCTATACTTCTTACAATATAACAATGAATAAGAAGCAGTCATTGTCTTCCAGAGAGACGTCGACACACATATTTCAATACCGCAGTGGGAGCTCCAGAGGGTAGCTTAGGGGAAGAAGTGGGCATAATCTCATCTACTTCTACCTCCATTATTTGAAAAAAAAACTTACTCTTCTCAATCTTATGTGAAAAAGATAGGCAACTGTAGCTTCAAAAGAAGTTCCATTACAAACCCCAACCAGATTGTCACTCCTAATCTCCTTCAATAGAGAAATTCTGAAGGCACCACCACAATGCTAGGGTGTAAAATTCTATGATGTGGGTGTGTAGAAAGTGCCATGAGCATAAGAGAGAGCATCTAACCATATGTTAGAACTATGGTAGCCAGATGGAAGGTTTTAGAGTAATTTTAACGTGAGCACTTAGCCTGAAGATGAAAAGGAGGTTTCTACTGGGACAGATCTATTACACAAAATGCACTCAACACGTATTTGTTGAATGAAGGGATAAAAAGATGAAGGAATGAGTGGATGAATGGATGGATGAATAGATGAACGACAGGATGCTCCAGACAAAGGAAACAGTATATCTAAAGCACCCAAGTGTAAAGGGCATGCTGTGTTTGAGCAGCTGTAATCAGTCCACCATGGCCAGAGTTCAAGGTTATGTAGATAAGGCAGGAATCAAATCATAAAGAGCCTTCTAAGCTGTGATGGTAGATTATGTTATTCTTCGTAAATTTTCTTTTCTTTTTTCTTTTTTTTTTTTTGAGACAGAGTCTCATTCTGTTGCCCAGGCTGGAGTGCAGTGGTGTGATCTTGGCTCACTGCAACCTCCGCCTCCAGGTTTCAAGCGATTCTTCTGCCTCAGCCTCCCAAGTAGCTGGGATTACAGGTGTGCACCACCACGCCTGGCTAATTTTTGTATTTTTAGTGGAGACAGGGTTTCACCATGTTGGCCAGGCTGGTCTCGAACTCCTGACCTCAGGTGATCCATCCACCTTGGCCTCCCAAAGTGCTGGAATTACAAGCAGGAGCCATACATCCGGCCCTTCACAAATTTTCAGTGCCCCTCTCTGTGGGAGCACTGTGTATCCCTACCCTGTTGAACTCAGATGTGGCCATGTCACTTGTTTGGCCCATAAAATGTGAGTGGAATTGATGTGTACCACTCCTAGACAGAAACTGTGAGAGCCAGCCTGTGGTTGCCATACTCTCTTTTCCCTGTTTCTGCAATTGTGGAGATATGTGAAGAAATGGCACCTCCATCAGCCTGGCCCCTGAGTGACTAGAAGACCATTTGCTGACTCATGATGGATAAGTGTCATGAACAAGAAATAAACCCTGTTGCAAGCCATTGTGGTTCTCTTTTTGACATTGCATCATATCTAGCTGATCCAAACTGATAAATTTGTGAAGGAACCACCGAAAAACAACTCTGGTAGAACTGCAGTATAGATTGGATGTTTGATTCATTTGTTTGTTTATATAATAAATGTCTTTGGGCATGTACTAAGCAAAAGCATTAAAGAAGATAGAAAGATATGTAAAGCATAGTTCCAGCATTTAAAGGAGTTTACATTCTAGTGTGCCTATTCGAAACCTGAATAAAAAGTGTAAGAAGTAGGTTAACATTTATTGAATATGTATGAAGTATCAGACACTATATTAGCTGCATGCATAGTGCTTCATGGTATGTGATTCTCAATAATGGGCATGTGTTTTACATTATTTTGTAGTACCTTGGCAGTTCAGTGACTTGCTGAGATTCAAATCCAGTGTTTCTCCCTTCATCATGTACCATAAAGAACTAAATAACACTTAATTTTCCTGCTAAGACCAAGATTCTGAACTAGAAAGTAGAGTCTATGACTTGAGTTGGCTAGCAATGGGAACTGGTGGAAGAAAGAGATGAAACAATTGGATTAAGAGAGAGAGAGATAGGAAAGAAGAAATAATTGTGCTCATTCATTCATTCATTCAATCATTCATCCTACAAGTATACGTTGAATTTGTGCTTGTGTTCAGCATGTTTTAAGATACTTGGGAAGTATAATAGGAGCAGGAGAAGACAGAATTTATGCCCAACGAGTTATATCTAGCTGGGAAGATAAGGTGAACATACAGGAAACAGGGAATAGGCCAAAATAGCCTATATCCAAATGTTAAGCTCACTGCAGGTGGCACAATGGAGACAATACTGGTGTAAGGTCAGAAGACTCAGCATTGTTGGTGGGAATGTAAAATGGTACAGCTGTTGTGAAAAACAGTATGTGGATCCTCAAAAAATTAAAAATAAATTGCCATATGACCTTGTAATTGCACCTCTGGGTATATACCCAAAATAATTACAATTAAAAGCAAGGTCTCAAAGAGATAGTTGTATACCTACATCCATAGCAGCATTACTCATAATAACCAAAAGATGGACGCAAACCAAGTGTCCATCAATGGATGAATGGATAAACAAAATGTGATATATACATACAATGGAATATTATCTAGTCTTAAAAAGGAAGAAAATTCTGACGCATGCTGCAACATGCATGAACCTTGAGGACGTTATGCTAAGTGAAATAAGCCAGACATGAAGTAACAAATTCTGTAGTATTCCACTTATATGAGGTAACTACGGTAGTCATATTCATAGACAGAAAGTAGAATAGTGGTTACCTGGGACTAGGGGGAGGGAGAAATGGGGGATTGTTTTTCAGCACAGAGTTTCGGTTTTGCAAGATGAAAAGAGTTCTGGAGATTGGTTGTACACCAAAGTGAATGCACTTAACACTACTGAACCATACACTTAAAAATAATTAGGATAGTAAATTTTATGCTATATGTATTTTAACACAAATACATAAATTAGGCAACAATGGTCAAGGTGGCAGATATATTAAGAATCATATTAGGGACCGAAGGCCTTTGGGCTTTGTTCAAAAAATGAAAAAAAGAAATCAAGAGCAAACTGACTGAAATGTAATTCATTAACCATACCATTTGTAATTTAGGTATTTTACATCCATAGAACATTTTTGCCAGCCTCTAGATTTGCCTAGAATGACAAGAATAGAATCATTCACATTAAATTGTCAAGTGCTATATACTGAATGTTTATGTCCCCCCCAAGTTTACGTGTTGAAATCCTAATCCTCAATGTGATGGTATTTGGAGGTGGAGCCTCTGAGAGGTGATTAGATCATGAGAGTGTAACCCTTATGAATGGGATTAATGGCTTTATAAAAGAGGCCCCAGAGAGCTCCCTTGCCCCTTCCAGCAAGTGAGAACACAGTGAGAAGATGCTGTCTATGAACTAGGAAGTGGGCCTTACTAGACACTGAACCTGCTGGGCATCTTGATGTCAGACTTTCCAGCCTCTAGAAGGAAGAGAAATAAATTCGTGTTGTTCATAAGCCACCCAGGCCATACTATTATGTTATGGCAGCCTCGACAGACTGCTATAAGACATCAAGATTAACGGAGAAGGCCTTTAGAAACAGCTAAAATAAGCAGTAGGACATGCTGTATAATAGGAAAAGATCTGGCTGGGTGCAGTGGCTCACACCTCTAATCCCAGCACTTTGGGAAACTGAGGTGGGCAGATCACTTGAGGTCAGGAATTTAAGACCAGCCTGGCCAACATGGGGAAACCTTGTTTCTACTAAAAATAAAAAATCATCTGGGCGTGGTGGTGCACATCTGTAGTCCCAGCTACTTGGGAGGTTGAGGTAGGAGGATCACGTGAGCCTGGAAGGTAGAGGTTGCAGTGAGTGCTGATCATGCCATTGCACTCCAGCCTGGGCGACAAAGTGAGACCTTGTCTTAAAAAAAAAAAAAAAAAAAAAGGGTAAGAAAAGACCTGCTTAGTTGTGGTGAAAGGCCAGAAGGTCAATGACCTCAGAGAAAAAATGGACTCTAAAATCTATAGCTAAGAATTATATCCCATAATAAGAAAAAATGTCAAGAATATCCACCCTGGGAAGGGAAAGTGAATTACCTAGCTCTAGGACACTTCCTATTCCTCTGAATTAGCAGTCCCCAACCTTTTTTGGCACCAGGGACTGGTTTCATGGAAGACAGTTTTTCCATGGACCAGCAGGGGTGGGATTGTTTCAGGATGAAACTGTTCCATTTCAGATCATTAGGCATTAGATTCTCATAAGGAGTGCACAACCTAAATCCCTCACATACACAGTTCACACTAGGGTTTGCACTCCCATGAAAATCTAATGGCGCCACTGATCTAACAGGACGTGGAGCTCAGACAGTAGTGCTCATTGGCCACTCACTTCCTGTTGTGCAGCCTGGTTCCTGATGGCATTGGTCCACTGCCTGGGGGTTGGGGACCCCTGCTCTGTATGATTTTTTTTTTTTTTTTTTTTTGAGACGGAGTCTCGCTCTGTCACCAGGCTGGAGTACAGTGGTGCGATCTCAGTTCACTGTAACCTCCACCTCCTGGGTTCAAGCAATTCTCCTGCCTCAGCCTCCCAAGTAGCTGGGACTACAGGCGTGCACTACCATGCCCAGCTAATTTTTTTGTATTTTTAGTAGAGACGGGGTTTCACCATGGCCAGGATGGTCTTAATCTCCTGACCTCATGATCCGCCCACCTTGGCCTCCCAAAGTGCTGGGATTACAGGCGTGAGCCACCGTGCCTGGCCTCTGTATGATTTTTGAACAACTCATGAATGAGTCATAAAACTCAGCTGAGCTAAAACATAACCAATAACAACAACAATAAAAAAGATCTGTAAACTTGAGAATCAGAGGAGAAAAATGACAAAAATATAAGGAATGCTAAAAAGTAATAAGATTCAGTTCATTCCCTTCATGAAGACACCAGAATATTGTATGTCCAAGTGAACATTTTCCTTTTTTAAAGAGGTCAGTCAACCTTACCTTCTTGGAAGCAATTGCTACTTACTCCAAAGATTCTACCCTTGTGTCCAACATTTTTAGGAACTCTTACACTGAAAGTTTCTTCAAAAGCTGTGGCATTTGCTTTTGACTACTTTCAGTGTTGGCAAGCCTTCATCCCTTAGAGGTCAGCTTGCATTTTAGTAACTGTACTAGTACTATACTGCATCAACCTACCAAGTTGAACTACATGTCCCAGAATGCTCTTCCATATGTAGTGCCAGGTTAGGGTTGATTATGAGAGAAATTTGCAGGCAGGATTTGGAATGTGGAATTGAACCAGCAGCATAATGTTCTGAAGGTTAGTGGAGGGTGCTAGCTGTCTCTGCAGGCTGCATGCATTATTGGTCCGGGGGCTCTTCCTGTGGGCCTGGGGCAGCAGCGCGGCTCAAAGGAGATACTGCATTACCTGTTCCAGCTTCCCTGAATACAGGGCCAGAATCCAGACACAGGTGCAGCTCTGTAGCAAAGCTGTTTCTGTAGGTCATGCACATTATCAAGGAAGGAGGCCGTGAGAGACCCACATGGGGTCCAGTTTGTCCTCATGCTCCCCAACTTCATGTTAGATTTTCTTGCTGACTGTTGATCCTACTGGTCTAAAGAGACCTCAGACCCATACTAGATGCAGAGGCAATGAGCATCTTTACCAGATTCCGTAATTGTGTAAAGTCTAATCCATATATAAAGCCCTTGTTCTATTTCACTTACAGTGGCTCTGATTTTCTGACTGAACATTGCTGTGGGAGTTCAAGACCAGCCTGGCCAACATGGCAAAACCCCGTCTCTACTAAAAGTACCAAAAATTAGCTGGGTGTGGTGGCGGGCGCCTGTAATCCCAGCTACTTGAGAGGCTGAGGCAGGAGAATAAGGCGGGTGCCTGTAATCCCAGCTACTTGAGAGGCTGAGGCAGGAGAATCGCTTGAACCCGGGAGGCGGAGGTTGCAGTGAGCCAAGATTGCACCACTGCACTCCAGCTTGGGCAACAAGAGCTAAACTTTGTCTCAAAAAAAAAAAAAAAGCATTTGGAATCAAGTCTGAAAAATAAGGTAGCTGAGTAAATACTGTTTGGGGCTGAAAACTCAGGGTCACAATAAACAACAAATCTTTCTTCTACAGTTCATGAATGAGATCTGAAGGCCATTTCCAAAGAAGAGTTACAAAATTATTTTGAATGAGGACTATCCGGAATGAAAATGTTTATTTGGACACAACTTTGCAATGTTTATTTACAGGTTCTCTATTTTGTTTGTTTGTTTATTTATTTATTTATTTATTTTTTGAGAGGAAGTTTTGCTCTTGTCACCCAGGCTGGAGTGCAATGGCGTAATCTTAGCTCACTGCAACCTCTTTCTTCTGGGTTCAAGCAATTCTCCTGCCTCAACCTCCCAAGTAGCTGCGATTACAGGTGCCCACTACCATGCCTGGCTAATTTTTGTATTTTTAGTAGAGACGGGGTTTCACCATGTTGGCCAGGCTAGCCTCGAACTCCTGACCTCAGGTGATCCAACCCCCTCAGCCTCCCTAAGTGCTGGGATTACAGGCATGAGCCACTGCAACCAGCTTATTTTGTTAATAGTCACTCTCCCCTATATGCTGGTTTACAGAAGTATGATGTGACCCACAGTAAATGACAGCATGCAGTGAAACAGAATGCAATCAAGTAACAGACTGTGTAGTGTCAGCTCAGAATATTGTAGAATCCTAGGCAGAAAGGGGGAGTCTGGATGAGTCACAGAAAGCTTCAGAAAGCAGGGGAAATGTGATTGAAACAAGGAATTTTATTTTTTGAGACAGCGTCTTGCTCTGTTTCCCAGCCTGGAGTGCGGTGACGCAATCACAACTCACTGCAGTCTTGGACTCCTGGGCTCAAGCCATCCTCCCACCTCAGCTTTCTGAGTAGCTGGGACTACTCAGCTACTAAAGTAAAAATTTTGTACTTTTTTGAAGAGAAGGGATCTCCCTATGTTTCCCAGGCTGGTCTTGAACTCCTGGGCTCAAGTGATCCTCCCTCATTGGCCTCCAAAAGTGTTGGGATTATAGGCATGAGCCACCCCACCCAGCCAGGAATGGAATTTTATAGAGAAGGTCAGCATAAAACAAAGTACAGAGATGATGTGGAGCAAAGAGATAAAGCAACTGACCATCTCGAGTGAGTGTATATTTGGGGAATAAAATTCATCAACCACTTCCCCTCACTGACAGAATCAAAATCAAAGTTGTTTTGCCTAAAATATGATCTTCTCCATATCTGCCCCTTGCTTATTCCTTATTCTCATTTCCCCTCTCCCATCTCTAAAACTGCCTTCCATCCATGTTAAAGAACTTGAAGAGCCCTAGCATTCATTTATTCAATCAACAAATATTAATCCCTACTATGTGTCAGACACTGTGCTGGAAGGGAAGAGTATGGCCCTGCCTTCATTGATCTTAAGATTTAATGGGGATGACATAAGTCAACAGGCAATTATAATGCAGCATGGTTGGGTGATAGGGCTATATAAGGTGTGAAGGCCAAGGAAGACTTCCACAGAAAGAGACTTTAAGCTGAGATCTGAATAATGATTAAGAGTTAACCACGTTAAGCAGGGAGGAGGGAGGTCAGAATAAGAACAGTGATGGGGACAGGGGGGAATAGCATGTGCACTCCAAAGTATACAGTTCCTCCTGTGATCAAATGCTGAGAATGGAGAGAGCTGAGGCTGGAGAGTAGGCAGGGGCAGCTCATGCAGGGCTTTGTAAACCATATGAAGAAGGCTAGGCTTTAATGCAAGGTAAATGGAGACATTGGAAGCATGGAAAGAGTGGGTCCAATTTTTGTTCTTGATAGATCACTGGATGTAGACAGTGGGTTGAGCTTGGTGGGGAAAATGACGGCAACACTAGAGGCAGATGACCAATTATGAGGTGGGGAAAAAGAATGGAACCTAAACTAGCCTAGAGGCAGTGACAATGGAGGAAAGCTGATGTTTTCAGGAGATATTTAGGAAATTGAATGGACAGGACTGGGAATCTTGCTGGCTAGGGGATGGTGGATGTGAAGGAGGGAGAGGGAGGGGTTGGGGATGATGGCCTGATGTTTTGTTGAATAGTTGGGTGGTACCATTCCGAGATAGAGAACACAGGAGGAGGAGGAGGCTTGAGGGGAGAGAGATAATGACTCTGGTTTTGGACTTAGTGAATCTGAGGCACGTGTGGAACATGCAAGCAGTAGGCAGGGAGATCTGGAACTTAGAAGATTGATGATTGCTGGGCTTCTCAACAGAGAGGTGACAAATGCAATGGCTGCCAGTGGAGGTGTTAAAATGACAAAGAAAAGGCAGCAGAAACAGCACTTGAGAAACTACACTTAGGGGAGAAGCAGGATACAGTACAGCAGTCTATGAAGGTGTGACTGCAGCTGTAGGAAACTCAGGACGGTTGAGTCATCCAAGTAAAGAGAACAAAGCAGTCAAGAAGGAAGGGGTACCCAGCAGGAGCCAACCCTTCCAAGAAGCTGAGAAAAATAAGGATGGTATCAATTAGGATTGTTTGGTTGCAGGTAACAGAAACTAACGGGTAAACTTAAGGAAAAGGAAAGAATAGATTATAAGGGTACAGAAATATCTCATGGACCCAAAAGCAAGGACTACAAACAAGAACTGAAGGCTCTTAGCACCTTGAAGCTTTTCTCTATATATCTGCTGTATTCTCTTCTTTCTGCAGGCATCTTTCCTTGGTTCATGAGGGTACATAGGAACTGGAAAATGGCACCTATAGTTCTGGCGGTATTGCTTTTCTGTTTAAAAGACTTGCTCAGATTAAACTAGAATCCCAATTCCAGAGCACGGGTAGGAAAGAAGAAGAGAAGAAAAGAGGAAAGGAAAGAGATGGAGGGAAGAAAAGTGAGGAGGAAATGGGGGAGGAGGAAGGTAGAAAGAGAGAAAGAGAAAGGGGAAGACAAAGAGAGCTAGAAAAAGGGAGAGAAAGTGATTTCCCTGGAATAAATTCAGGTGGCCATGGCTGGTCCAATCATCTATAGCCAGAGGGGAAGATCTCAAGTATAAACTGGGCCACTAGGAGTTGATCCTGATTGGGAAAGGGAGCTGTGAAAGGAGATATTAATAAATAAGCAAATACTTTAAATTAAGCTTTCTATTACAAGAACTAAAACATATCCCTGAGATTTTGTGGCTAAAATGTACATGCCGACCTTGGCAAAAGCAGTTGCTGTTTTTTTTTTTTTTTTCTGAGACTGGGTCTCACTCTGTGGCCCAGGTTGGAGTGCAGTGTTGCAAACTCGGCTCACTGCAACCTCCACCTCCTGGGTTCAAGCAATTCCTGTGCCTCAGCCTCCCAAGCAGCTGGGACTACAGTCATGTGCCACCACACCCAGCTAATTTTTGTATTTTTAGTAGAGACAAGGTTTCACCATGTTGGCCAGGCTGGTCTCGAACTCCTGGCCTCAAGTGATCCATCCGCCTCGGCCTCCTGAAGTACTGGGATTGCAGATTTGAGCCACCACACCCGTTAACAAGATAAGTTTCTATGGAATGGTATCAGCTAAAGTTGGTTTGCTGTGGGCTGAGGACTGAATGGAGGAGAAAGGAAGATAGTGCATAGAGATGACTCTATCAAGTGTGCTGTGAAGGGCATGGGAGAGAGCTGGTATTGAAGGTTTCGTTTGTTGGTTTGCTTGTTTGTTTTCTGAGCTCATACGAATTGAACATATTTATATGCTGATTGGAGAGTATGAAGAATGGGCATACTAATCATTTTGGCATCTTGATAAGCATGCAGAATCCCAGACCCTACCCAACCAGCTGTTGGAGGGTGGAGTCCAGGAACACAATTAGTGGGGTCCTGTGCAAAATGAAAATGCAGGCCTCCTGTTTTATTTTCCTTTATGGGAAAAATGCCTTTGCCTTTATTCTGTGGTCTCTTTCTCCATATGTCATTGTGGTTTTTATTTGTTATTAAATGTGTCACTCTCTCAGGAATGGGGATACTTGCTGGGGAAGTGCAGGCCTCACAGGGAGTCCAGGGCCCTCTATTTGGAAAAAGTTCTCAACATGATTATTCATCAGGAAAATGCAGATTAAAGCTACAATGAGATATTACTACTCACCCACTAGAATGGCTAAAATTAGAAAGACTAACCATACCAAGTGTTGGCAAGCATGTGTTGGGAGTATAAATTGGTTCAATCACTTTGGAAACTTGGACAGTAGCTACTAAACCTACCTTATGATTCAAAAATTTAACTCTATATAATTGCACATGCTTATCAAGAGAGATGTATAAGAATATTTATAGAATTTTATTCACAATAGCCCCAAACTGGAAACCCTCAACTATTCATCAATAGGGAATGGATAAATATAACATAGAATATGCATAGAGTACTATGAACCTAAAAATGAATAAATCACTTACATAATATCATTCATGGATGTTACTCGCAGATACTATGCTGAGCAAAAGAAGCCAGATACAAAAAAGTTTGTACTATATGATTTTATTTATATGAGGTTTAAGAAAAACAAACTAACTGATGATATAAATTAGAATATTTTGTACCCGTGGCTGGGTGCAGTGGTTCACGCTGGTAATCCCAGCACTTTGGGAGGCTGAAGCAGGCAGATCGCTTGAGTCCAGGGGTTGGATACCACCCTGGGCAACATGGTGAAAACTCATCCCTACTAAAAATACAAAAAAATTAGCCAGGCATAGTGGTGCATGCCTATAGTCCCAGCTGCTTAGGAGGCTGAGATGAGAAGATCACCTGAGATCAGGAAGCCAAAGCAGTGAGCCATGATTGTACCACTGTACTCCAGCCTAGGCAGTGAGAGTGAGACCCCTGTCTCAAAAAAAAAAAAAAAAAAAAAGAATTGTATGTACCTTTGGAGGGGTGTAGACTGGAAAGAAGCACAAAGGAATCTTTTGAAGTGTTGAAAATGTTCTATATCTTGGTCTGATAGGTGGTTATGGCTATATACCTGAGTAAAAATTCTTCAAGCTGAACACGTAAGATTTGTGCACTTTACTGTAAGTTATACCTAAAAAATAAAAAACAATGAAATTACTCCACTGCTTCAATGCATTAGAGGAAGGAAATGATTCAAAGATTCCAGTGTAGGTTGAATAAGATGCCCTGTTTATTGATAGATCTTAGTGGTTATCAATGATGGAAGCATCGCAGGGTGATGTCTAGGTCCTATGGACTCCTGAGGCTGAGTGATCTCAAACTGCTCCAATTCACTTCCTATGACAGCCTGCATCCTACCCACTCTCTCCAGTAGAAGATGGGGTAGGGTAAGGGTCTTTCCTGGATACAAAGGTGGCCCAGAAGTGGTCATAATACTCTCCCCTCCATTTCCCTTCTTCTCAGACCTGTGCAGTGGAGGAGCATCTGAATAGGTATGGGCTCTTGGGATCTTCAAGGTGAGCATGTTAGAATCTGGGGTCTGGAGGCCACTTTCATGGGAGGTGAGAACTGCTGGTCATTTCCAGGCATCTCCAACTCCAGCCCGCAGCCATGGGGTAGATGGCTAATGGGACTATGCAGATCTGATCAGTGTAATGTCAAGATCCAAATAAACACCAAATTTGTACAGAGTGAAGGTACTGAGAGTTAAATTTCCCCTTCGTTGTATGTTTCCTCCTGTCCTTTTAAAGCATGGGAGCAATGATGATAAGAATTGGCAGTTGGAATGAGGAAAGAGAGCGGCTGAGGGTCTCTGCTGTTTCCTTTCCTGCACAACTGAAACCTTGATGTTTTCTGTGACCTAGTGATGACCACGCCCATCTTTGAACTAAAAACTCTAAATTCTACATCCTCAGAGCAAAGTGCAGAATTGGAAAAATTATGGGAATCCTTCATGGCATGTGGCTCTTCCATCCGGGGGCCTCAGGAAAGGACTGGGGCTGCTTATTGGTGGGTATGATTTTGTAAGTATTGGTAGTACCCTCCACAAGGAGACAGCGTCACAAACTCAGGCCCTCGTTTCCTGCCTGGATGGGGCTTTTCTTCTGAATATTTGAGAGTGAGTAAAATAAAAAATTGTCACCAGGCTTAGTCTGCTCACTCCTTTGTGGGGAGTTGGTTCTACCCAGTCATAAAGTCTGGGTAGAGAACATGAATGTTTCCTTTGAGAAGCAGTATTAGCCTCATGTTTGCTTCCAGCATGCGTTTTGGGTCTTTTCCCAGAGGTTTCAATGAGGGATCGTGTGTCTCAGAGGTGAAAATAAAAAACAAAAATAAAAAACATTTGAGTTCTGCAAAACCACAGTGGATTGGAAACTATGTAGTTAGCCTTTTTGCTATAAATACAATTTTTAAAAATTCAAGTGCTTTTGTTTTTTCTCTTATCAAAAAAATGTGGTTTTATATACATATTACATGCTGAGGGGCCAGGTGGGGGTGTGCAGAACAAGATGTTTCTCATTCCATTTGTTTCAAGCAATAACTCAGAGGCTCTGGAGAAAATAAACCGTACATAAATAGTAGAAAACAGACTGCATCTTGTTGCTATGGCAACGCCCTACTTATATTACATTAAGCTGATTCATGTCTTTTCTCACCTCACTGTTAATAAATTATATTGGCTGATGAGAATTAAGCTGGCTGGAAGAGTTGGCATGGACAAGTTGCATGTTAATTTGTCATCCAATTCTTGGTATCCCCTTGTCTTTTTTTCTTTTTAAGAAAAAAGGTATCCCCTTTTCTTTTCTTCTTAAAAGATTATTTTTACTGTCTTTTTTTCACTAAAAACTATGTAGACAGGAGTTTCAGCAACAGGACATCGATTGCTTCCTGGCTGCTCCCTTAGTCTTAGGACTCTTGAGGAAAGAGAAAAGGCACAGGAGCAATAGAGCTTGGAAAGTTTCCTTGTTTCTTTTCCTGCTCCCTTATTCTCTTCATTCCAATGTGTTTAGGGGCTTTAAACAATCCCTCTACTCTTTTCAGCCGCTTAAATTCATATACATCCCCACCTATGCGTGCGCGCGCGTGCACACACACAAACACACACACACACACACACACACCCCAACAAAGTTAAAAGACAAACAAGAAACTGGGTTAAAAGACAATAGGCGGCCGGGAGCAGTGGCTCATGCCTGTAATCCCAGCACTTTGGGAGGCCGAGGCGGGTGGATCATGAGGTCAAGAGTTCAAGACCAGCCTGGCCAACATGGTGAAACCCCGCCTTTACTAAAAAAAAAAAAAAAATTAGCTGGGCATGGTGGTGCACCCCTGTAATCCCAGCTACTCGGGAGGCTGAGGCAGGAGAATTATTTGAAGCCGGGAGGCGGAGGTTGCAGTTAGCCGAGATTGCGCCACTGCACTCCAGCCTGGGTGACAGAGTGTGACTCCGTCTCAGAAAAAAAAAAAAAAAAAAAAAAAAAAGACAAAGGGCTAGGTGTGGTGGCTCATGCCTGTAATCCTAGCACTTTGGGAGGCTGATGAGGGTGGATCGCTTGAGCCGAGGAGTTTGAGACCATCCTGGGCAACATGGTGAAACCCTGTCTCTACTAAAAATACAAAAATTAGCCAGGCATGGTGATGTGCACCTGTAGTCCCAGCTGTACTCGGGAGGCTGAGACTGGAGGATCACCTGAGCCAGGGAGGTGGAAGTTGCAGTGAGCCAAGACCATGCCACTGCACTCTTAGGAGACAGAGTGAGACCTTGTCTCAAAAAAAAAAAAAAAAAAAAAAAAAAAAAGACAACAAACCAAGAAAAACATTGGCAACAGATATAGCAAGGAATGGGCTAATTTTATTAATGTACTAAAAACCAAAAACCAAAAAACACACAAACTTCTTACAAATCAAACAAAAAACTAAAACATACAAACTAACCAATGGACAACCCATTATAAAGTGGACAGAGGATATGTAATGTCAGCTCATTGCAAAAGTGAGACCAATGGTCATCAAATATCTGAAAATATGCTCAATTTCAACAGCTATTAAAGAAATTAAAAGAGCAAAGAGACGCAAATTTTCCTCATGCTAGATGAAGAAGCATTAAGTAGCTACATGATTTGGAGCTGAATATGTTAGGGAAAAAAACAGACCCTCTCAGACACTGTTTATATTAGTATAGTTTGGCCTAACTTTCATGGAAGTAAATGTGGCTTTACTTATCAAAATGTTAAATGCATATACTTGTTAACGCAGCAGCTCCACTTCAATGAATTTATTTATGAATATACTCACATAAGTGATTAAAGATGGTTTCACAATGACTTTCATTGTAACATTAATTGTAATAGAAAAAAAACCCTCGACAGAATGTAAATGCCCATCAGTAGATGACTGGTTAATAAAACAGATTTATACAATGGACTACTACCCAGCTGTTAAAACAGGAATTTACAACTACAGAAAGATGTTAAGAATATAACAAGAAGGCCGGGTGCAGTGGCTCACGCCTGTAATCCTAGCACTTTGGGAGGCCAAGGCAGGCGGATCACCTGATGTCAGGAGTTCAAAACCATCCTGGTCAACATGGTGAAACCCCATTTCTACTAAAAATACAAAAAATTAGTAGGGCATGATGGCACGTGCCTGTAATCCCAGCTACTTGGGAGGCTGAGGCATGAGAATCTCTTGAACCAGGGAGGCAGAGGTTTCAGTGAGCAGAGATCACACCACCGTACTCCAGCCTGGGTGGTAGAGCAAGACTCTGTCTCAAAACAAAAAAACAAAAAAACAAATAAAATTATCAAGTTTCAGGACTGTATACATAACATAATCTCATTTGTGTTAAAATATATTTTATAATATATATGTTATTATATGCATAGAAAATTTCTTGAAAGACCCACATAAATAATTATTGTTCCTTCTGTGGAGTGGGAACAGACAGTGAGAGGGTAAGGAATGAAAGGAATGGGTTGGGAGACTCAAAATAATTGAGAAAATTTAACTTTCATTTTCCTTTTGCACTGTTTTAACTTTGTTAAACATGAAGATATATTACCTTTATGATCAAGAGCTTTTGAACAGTGTCGCACACGCTGTGTGTATGCATACATACATAGCTGCATGTCATTTATTTGTCACCACGAAGGGTAAGAAGATGTTTTAGATAGTTCTGCCCACAGTCTAACTAGGAAGATGTAAATGTGTGGAAAGTTAACAAAAAAAATTACAATATCTACTGACTATCACTCAGTAGATATTGATCACATCCCAATAATTGGTATCCACAGCGGTATTCTAGGAGGTAAGAAGAGGAAAGTTGCTATGACTGCAAAAATACAGAAGACAAAGGCCTGAACATCTGGCAGCATCTAGGTCCCAGACACCCTCAAGATTTCATAAAGAGGAGTGCTTGTTGTTGATAAGAGTCAAGCTGGGTCAGCCTTGCAGATGACCAGTCACCCTCTGCAAGTTGTCTCTTTGGCTGCAAATGGCTCAAGACCATGCTGAAAGTTATACCTCTTCTGCTTTGGGAAGCTGCTTGCTTGCTGTCCATAAAAAGCACTGATGGCCTGTTTCTGTTAGGAAATGTCCAAGGCCCTGTAGTACAGAGAGAAACTGCTTCATCATTAGTACTGACCTTGTGCATAAGTCAAGAACCTAAACTCCCTGTAAGGTATTAATCCCTACCAACTGTACTGGGTGTCTGAAACTGCATTCTTGGGAAGTTCCTTTGGTTACTTTGCCCTCTTGGAGAAGCTAAGAATTATAGTTAAGAGCATGGAGTCAGATTGACTGGATATAAATTCTGGGTACATCACCTGCTAGCTGTGTTTCCCTAGGAAAATAACCTGATCTCTCTGTGCTGTGGTTTCTACTTCTATAAAGTGGGGATAATTATAGCATCAACAACCTCATGAGCTGTTTGAGGAACAAATAACTGAATAATCTACAAAAAGAGGAGAACAGCTATTGGACGTATAATTCACATAATTATCATTCGCAAAATTACTTATTCTTACCAGAGAAGAAGAGGATCCTAAAAATTTCCAGAGAGAAACAACATTTACACAAAGCATTGAGAATAAGAAAATAATGACAGTGACATATCAACAGTAACATTGGAAGCCAGGAGAAAAAGCAACAATGCCCACAAAATTAACTTCTACTTAGAATGATATGCCCTGGCAAATCATGCGTGAGGACATAATAAACATATTTACGTAAAGTCTCAAAACTTTTTTCTTACCAAGTGTCCTTTCTCAAGAAGCTACTGTTGTATTTGCTCCATCAAAAAGAGGGACTAAGCCAAGAAAGAAAACATGAAACTGGGAAAGAGCGCTTCCAGCACAGAAAAGTAGCCAGGGGATTCCTAGGATGAGAGCTATGCTGCAGGCTAGAAAAGCAAGAGTGGATCTGCAGGAGACATGTAGAAAGGGAAGGCTATTCAACAGGTTTGACTATGTAGGAAATTATCCTGAGGCATTGTACAAAGCTCTTAGGAAATACTGGAAGACTTAGCAATAGGTTCAGTAAAAACTAAACAAATGAAAAAATGAGGCAATGAATAACTACAAGAAAATCAAAGTATCTTAAAGGAAAGAAAATGTAATTATAGTAACCACTCAACTCAGCAGTGTGCAAGATATACTGAACATAAAACAATTAAGAATTTAACACAAAAAATTAACTATTTTGAGAGAATAGGGAGAAGAGTAGAATATATTAGAAAGTTAAAATCCTCAGCTGCCATAATAGGAAAACAACAGGTAATCCAGAAATTGATGACTCAAGACAGGGCAGTACACATTTATCATTTGGAAATATGGTGATAAGTAACAGAAGAAACATTAAGCAGATGCCTTTGAGGGGTGCGGAGGCAGGGGCAGCAAGGGTGGTGATTACTATTTTTTACATATCACTTTTAGCCCTATTTGACTTTATAAGCTATATAAATTTTTAAGTACTTTGCAAATCTAAGGCTTTGACACTTCTGAAATGACAATTCTTTATCCTTAAGCTCAACATCTATGAAGCCCTGAGTAACTGATGTCTTAAAATAGGCTGGTATGTTTAAAGATTCTGTTTTAACAAAGTGAGAACAGAAGAGGAGATATATGCCTTTCATTATCATCACTTTTCATTTAACTCTCTAGATATAGCCTTCGTGAGCTTCGTTAACCCCTCAAAACTTTATCCTTTTATATTTTTATTTTATTTAAAATATGTTTAAGGCCATAGTAAATGGAAGTTTACCTAACTGTGACACTAAAATCAGGAGAGTTGGGGGAAGAAAGGTAGTGGTTCAACATCACATATGATATAGATATAATTACAGCAAGTTAAGTGTAATAGTATGTTAAAAGATGAATATGCTTTGAGCAATTAGCATTATTTCAAGATGGCTAAAATTTAGGAAATGTATTAATATACTCACTACATTAATAAATTATATGAGAAAAAACTATGTGCTTATTCTGATGCATACAAAAATGAGATTTGATAAAATTTAACATCTATTATTGACCAAAACCTCTAAGGTAGGACATGAAATTTTCTTGACTTGAGAAGGAACATCTTTCAAAAACTAATACTAAATATCATGTTTTATGATGAAAAACTAGTGACATTTCTCAATTTCTTGGAAAAGCCCATTAAGATCAAGAACAAAACCAGAAGGATCAGTGGTGTTATTCAGCACTATTCTGAAGGCCCTCACTGAAAGAATAACATAAGAAAAAGAAATAGGGGGTTCAATTACAGGAAAGAAAAATTTAAAATTGTCATTATTTGCAGATGATATGATCATCTATTGAGAAAATACAAAAGAATCAACTGGAAAACCTAGGATTAATAAGAAAGTTTAATAAAAAGTCAGGTTACTAGATAATTATTTCCCCACAACTTTCACATATGTGAAACATGACAAATTAGAAAATTAAAAAAAAAATCTCATTCATGATAGCAACAAATACTAAAAGCTACCTATGAATAAACAGAAATTAAAAACATGATTCCCCATTTAAAAGGTCACAGAAAATGTGGTAAAATGTAAGCAAATGGTGAAACTGGGTAAAGGAATATCTGGTACTATTCTCACGACTTTTCTGTACTTTAAAAATGGACAATGCTGAAAGGATATTAGTGATCGAACATAGAAAGGAGACACTATCTCACATCCCTAAGAAAAATTACCCCAAAAAGGGAAATTAGAAAGGTTGAGACATGGAAGGCATATCCAAAAGTCCTACATGGGAATAATAAAAATTCCAGATGGAAAAAAGAATGATAGAGAAGATGCAATTATAAAAGAAGAAGAAGAAAAAACTTTCCTGAACCAAAAACGTTTTCAGATTAAAAAGGCTCATGAAGTACCAGGCAGATGGCACCTCTGGACCCAAGCAGGGATTGGAGCAACCAGGGACTGGCTGAACTTGCCACCCTGAAGGGAAGGACATAGGCCTGGATGGCTTTGCCACCTGCTGATTGTAGAGTCCCAGGGCCTTGAGCAAACACAGGCTGTGGCCAGGGAGTAGATACAGCAGGTCTTGGGCAAGACCTAGTGCTGTGCTGGCTTCAGGTCTGACCTAGAGCAGTCATAGTGGTGGTGGCCACAGGGGTGTTTGCATCACTCCACCTCCAGCTTCAGGTAGCTTAGAACAGAGAGAGAGAGAGAGAAGGAAAGAGAGGGGGGGTGGAGAGAGGAAGAGAGAGAGAGGGAGAGAGGAAGAGAGAGAGAGAAAGAGAGAGTGAGAGAGACTTTGGGAAAAAGTAAGGGGAAGAGAGCAATTATCGGCCTGGTAATTCTCCCACATCTTGTCCAAGACCATCAAGGTTGTACCTCTAAGAGTCTGCAAGAATCACAGTGTAACTAGGCTTGGTGTACCCCCTAAAGCAGATACAGCTTAGATCACAACACCCAAGTCCTTTCAAACATCTGGAAAGCTTTCCCAAGAAGGACAGGTACAAATAAGCCCAGACTGTGAAGACTAACTCTTCAATGCCCAGACACAGACAAACATCTACAAGTATGAAGACAACCCAGGGAAAACATTACGTTACCAAATGAACTAAATAAGGAAACAGGGACCAATCATGGAGAAACAGAGATATGTGACCTTTCAGACAGATAATTCAAAATAGCTGTTTTGAGGAAACTCAAATTCAAGATAACACAGAGAAGGAATTCAGAATTCTATCAGATAAATTTAACAGATTGAAATAATTAAAAAGAATCAAGGAGAAATTCTGAGGTTGAAAAATGCAATTGGCACACTGAAGAATGCATCAGAGTCCTTTAATAGCAGAATCGATCAAGCAGGAGAAAGAATTAGTGAGCCTATATCATAAGGGCATTAATACCATTCATGAGGGCTCCACCCTCATGACCTCCCCAGAGGAGGAACCAGTCCCTGGTTCCCTAATACTGTCCCTCCTCCTGTCACCTTTGGGGAAAGACAAATATTAGACCATAGCAGGCAGTCATTGAGTGCACATTCTTTCAGTCAAACCAACACCAGTACCCTAGTGTAGCTGTCCACCTGCAGCCTCTGTGGTGCGGTCAGCTCAACACTCACTCTGGAAGCCAGCCATCCTGAGGGTGCACAGAACTTCTCACTCCCTTCCATACCACACAGAAGTTGAGAGAGGCACTGTTTCTAACTCATGCTGTTTCTCTGCCTACCTTCACCATGGAACAATACTTACACTTGTGGCAGTCCAACTCTTCCCTGCATGATGAGGAGGAGGCCAAACTTTGTGACAGATACCTCCAAGAGTTCCAGATGGAGAGACAGATGCAGGATCACTGATTCCAGTTTTCCTGATATCCTGCTACTCCCATACCCTATCAGCAGTACCAGTATCAGCCTCAAAACCACTCTGTCCTAGATTTCAGCCTGAAGAAAAGTTGTTAGAATACACATCTTATCCTCCTTCTAAAACACAAGATGAGACAAGACAGAAAAAAAAAATTCTCCTAGCCAAGACTTCACAATTGAGTTCTATCTACCCACGGCCAACTGCAAAGGCAGCATGAAAATCCCCTGGACCTGGCTTTGGATATGCTATTGAAGCATAAGGAATTCGGAAAATCCTTTTCTCTTTGGTCAAAACCTCATACGTAAAGAATATTGTATTAACTTAGATTCAAAAAAATACCATTTTGGTGATGAAAAGCTGAGCATAAACTATCATTTTTTCTTTTTATCCCTATTTTAACTATCCAAATACCTACCTAAGGCAATGGATTACTCTGGGGAGTGGAAGAAGAGCACACATATGGAAATGTAAAAGAGAAAAGCACGTTCATTTAAAGTATTTACGCCATAAGTGCTATCCCTGTTTACATATGTTTCTAAAAACAAACACACATTTACTTTAAATTGCTTATGGAATATCCATAAAAAATGGCTCAAATAAAATTTTAATAAATTCCAGAACTTAAATGTTTTACAGGCCACATCTCTGCCCCAAGTTCAATTAAGCGAGAAATCAACTGAAGAATATAGAAACATAACATAAACAAAAACACAACCACTTTATTTTAAATTTTTGTTTAAATTTTATTTTATTTCAATAGTTTTTGGAAAACAGGTGGTTTTTGGTTACACGGATAAGTTCTTCAGTGGTGATTTCTGAGATTTGGGTGCACCCATCACTTGAGCAGCGTACACTGTACTCAATGTGTAGTCCTTTTATCTCTCACCTCCCTCCCACTCTTTCTGTCATTTCCCCACAGTCCATTATATCATTCTTACGCGTTTGTGTCCTCATAGCTTAGCTCCCACTTAGAAGTGAGAACACACGATATTTGGTTTTCCATTCCTGAGTTACTTCACTTAGAGTGATGGTCTCCAACTCCATCCAGGTTGCAGTAAATGCCATTATTTTGTTCCTTTTTATGGCCGAGTAGTATTCCATGGTGTATATATATATATATATATATACATATATATATCACATGTTCTTTAGTCTGTTCGTTGGTTGATGGACATTTAGACTGGTTCCATATTTTTGCAACTGTGAATTGTTCTGCTATAAACACGTGTATGCGAGAGTCTTATGACTTCTTTTTCTCTGGGTAGATACCCAGTAGTGGGATTGCTGGATCAAATGGTAGTTCTATTTTTAGTTCCTTAAGAAGTCTCCATACTGTTTTCCATAGTGTTTGTACTAGTTTACATTCCCATAAGCTGTGTAAAAAAGTGTTCCCTTTTTATCACATCCATGCCAACATCCTTTTTATTAATTATTAATTAATTAATTATTAATTAATAAAAATTAATTAATTTATTTATTAATTTATTAAAATGTGGCCATTCTTGCCATAATTTAAAATCATAAATAAGGTGGTAGCTCATTATGGTTTTAATTTGTATTTCCCTGATAATGAGTGATGTTGAACATTTTTTCATGTGTTTATTGGCCATTTGTATATCTTATTTTGAATTATCTTTTCATATCATTTGGCCACTTTTTATGGGATTCTTTGTTTTTCTTGCTGATTTATTTGAGTTCCTTGTAGATTCTGGATATTAGTCCTTTGTCAGATGCATAATTTGTGAATATTTTCTCCCACTCTGAGGGTTGTCTGTTTATTCTACTGATTATTTATTTTGCTGTGCAGAAGCTTTTTAGTTTAATTAGGTCCTATCTATTTATTTTTGCTTTTGTTGCATTTGCTTTTGGGTTATTGGTCATGAACTCCCGGCCTAGGCCAATGTCTAGAAGAGTTTTTCTGATGTGATTTTCTAGACTTTTTATGGCTTCAGATCTTAAAATCTTTGATCATCTTGAGTTTGATTTTTGTATAAGGTGAGAGATGAGGATCCAGTTTCATTCTTCTACATGTTGCTAGCCAATTATCCCAGCACCATTTGTTGAATAGTGTCCTTTCCCCACTTTGTTTTTGTTTGCTTCATTGAAGATCAGTTGGCTATAAATATTTGGCTTTATTTCCGGGTTTACTATTCTGTTCCACTGGTCTACATGCCTATTTTTGTATCAATACCATGCTATTTTGGGAATTACAGCCTGGTAATATAGTTTGAAGTCAAATTGTGTGATGTCTCCAGATTTGTTCTTTTTGCTTAGCCTTGCTTTGGCTATCTGGGCTCTTTTTGGGTATAAATTTTACCACTGTTTTTCCTAGTACTGTGAAGAACGATGATGGCATTTTGATGGGAATTGCATTAAATCTGTAGATTGCTTTTGGTGGTATGGTCATTTTCGCAATATTGATTCTACCCATCCATGAGCATGGGATGTTTTTCCATTTGTTTGTGTCAACTATGATTTCTTTTAGCAGTGTTTTGTAGTTTTCCCTGTAGAGGTCTTTCACCTCCTTGGTTAGGTATATCCCTAAGTGTTTTATGTTTTTGCAGCTATTGTAAAAGGGATTGAGTTATTGATTTGATTCTCAGCTTTGATCTCAGTCATTGTTGGTGTATAGCAGTGCTACTGATTTGTGTATCCTGAAACTTTACTGAATTAATTTATCAGATCTAGGAGCTTTTTGGATGAGTCTTTAGGGTTTTCTAGGTATACAATCATATCATTGGTGAACAACAACTGTTTAACTTCCTCTTTACCAATTTGGATGCCCTTTATTTTTTTCTCATCTGATTGTTGTGGCTAGGACTTCCAGTACTATGTTGAATAGAAGTGGTGAAAGTGGACATCTTTGTCTTGTTCCAGTTAGCAGGGGGAATGCTTTCAACTTTTCCCTGTTCAGTATAATGTTGGCTGTGGATTTGTAATAGATGGCTTTTATTACCTTGAGATATGTCCCTTCTATGCTGGTTTTGCTGAGGGTTTTAATCACAAAGGGATATTGGACTTTGTCAAATGCTTTTTCTGCATCTATTGAGATGATCATATGATTTTTTGTTTTTAATTCTGTTTATATGATGCATCATATTTATTGACTTGTGCATGTTAAACCATTTCTGCATTCCTGGTATGAAACCCACTTGATTGTGGTATATTATCTTTTTGATATGCTGTTGGATTCAGTTAGCTAGTATTTTGTTGAAGATTTTTGCATCTATGTTCATTGGGGGTATTGGTCTGTAGATTCCCTTTTTTGTTATGTCCTTTCCTGGTTTTGGTATTAGGGTGATACTGGCTTTATAGAATGATTAAGGGAGGATTCCCTCTTTCTCTATCTTTTGGAATGGTTTCAGTAAAATTGATATCAATTCTTTGAATTTCTGATAGAATTCAGCTGTGAATCCATCTGGTCCTAGACTTTTTTTTTGGTGGCAATTTTTAAATTCCTGTTTCAATCTTGCTACTTGTTATTGGTCTATTTAGAGTTTCTATTTTTTTCTGATATAATCTAGGAGGGTTATATATTTCCACCAATTTATCCATCTCCTCTAGATTTTCTAGTTTGTGCATGTAAAGGTGTTCATAGTAGGCTTCAATGATCTTTTTTATTTCTGTGATATTGGTTGTAATATCTCCTGTTTCATTTCTAATTGAGTTTATTTGGACCTTCTCCCTTCTTTTCAAAATTTTACAAAATCTGACAATTTTTTTTTTAGGAGGCTAAAAATATGACTCCAATCCCTTCTGGCTTGTAAGGTTACTGCTGAGAAATCTGCTGTTAATCTGATAGATTTTCCTTTATAGGTTACCTGATGCTTTTGTCTCACAGCTGATTCTTTCCTTTGTCTTGACTTAAGATAACCTGATGACTATGTGCCTAGGTGATGATCTTCTTGTGATGAATTTCCCAAGTGTTCTTTGAGCTTCTTTTATTTGCATGTCTAGATCTATAGCAAGGCCAGGGAAGTTTTCCTCAATTATTCCATCAAATAAGTTTTCCAAACTTTTAGATTTCTCTTCTTCCTCAGAAACACCAATTATTCATAGGTTTGGCCATTTAACATAATTCCAGGGCCAAACACAGTGGCTCACACCTGTAATCCCAGCACTTTGGGAGTCCAAGGCAGGAGGATCGCTTGAGGCCAGGAGTTTGAGACCAGCCTGGCCAACATGGTAAAACCCCATCTCTACTATAAATACAAAAATTAGCTGGACGTGGTGGTGCACATCTGTAATCCCAGCTACTTGGAAGGCTCATGCATGAGAATTGCTTGAACCTGAGAGGCCGAGTTGCAGTGAGCCAAAATCATGCCACTGCACTCCAGCCTGGGTGATAAAGCAAGACTCTATCTCAAAAACAAACAACATCAACAACAAAACCACCGGGGGAGGGTGGCTCATGCCTGTAATCCCAGCACTTTGGGAGGCCAAGGCGGGTGGATTACCTGAGGTCAGGAGTTCAAAACCAGCCTGACCAACATGGTGAAACCCCATCTCTACTAAAAATACAAAAGTTATCTGGGTGTCATGGCACCCGCCTGTAATCCCAGCTACTAGGGAGACTAGGCAGAAGAATTGCTTGAACCCAGGAGGTGGAGGTTGCAGTGAGCTGAGATCGCACCATTGCACTCCAGCTTGGGCACCAAGAGCGAAACTCTGTCTCAAAAAAAACAAAAAAACAAAACAAAACAAAAACAAAAAACAAAAAACTGCATAATTCCAAATTTCTCAGAGGCCTTGCTCATTTATTTAAATTACTTTGTCTTTGTCTGATTGAGTTAATTCAAAAGCCCTGTCTTTGAGCTCTGACGTTCTTTCCACTACCTGTCTAATCTATTGTTGAAACTTCCCAGTGCATCTTGTGTTTCTCTACGTGTGCCTTTCATTTCCAGAAGTTGTGATTGTTTTTTCTTTATGATATCTATTTTCCTGGAGAATTTTTCATCCATATCTTGTATTTTTTAAAAATTTCTTTAAGTTGGTTCTCACCTTTCTCTGGTATCTCCTTGAGTAGCTTAATAATCAACCTTGTGAATTCTTTATCTGGCAATTCAGAAATTTCTTCTTGATTTGGATCCATTGCTGGGGTCCAAATCAGCAATGTGATCGTTTGGTGGGTGTTATAGAAACCTTTTGTCATGTTACCTGAATTGCTTTTCTGGTTCCTTTTCATTTGGGTAGACTATATCAGTGGAAAGTTCTGGAACTCAAGGCCTGCTGTTCAGATTCTTTTGTCCCACAGGGTTTTTCCTCCATTGGGTGCTCTCCCCATTCCCCTAGGGGTAGGACTTCCTGAGTAATCCCTGTAGCGATTCTTTTTACTCTTCTGGGTCTAGGCACCCAGCAGGACTACCAGGCTCTGGGCTGGTGCTGGGGAATGTCTGCAAAGAGTCCTGTGATGTGAGCTGTCTTCAGGTCTCCCAGCTGTGGATGCCAGCACCTGCTCTGGTGGAGGTGGCAGGGGAGTGAAGTAGACTCTGTGAGAGTCCTTGGTTGAAGACAGGTTTAGTGTGCTGACTTTCTCAAATGCTGGTGATGCTAGCAGTGAAGTTGTCACGTGCACAGACTCAGGACCTCTGGTTAGCCAGGATGTGGCAGTCAGTGGAATAAGCTGTTGTTTTCTTCTTCCTGAGAGCAGGGTTATTCTGTCATGAGTATTTGTAATGGCCTGAGTTGGTTGGCTTCCAGCCAGGTTTTAGAGAGCACCAGCCACAGTAGTAGTGGGGTGGGGGGGTAGTAGTCTCAGCTTATCCTAAGTTGGCCACGGCAAGTATTCTCTCATAACCACTTTAAAATTAAAGAATGCTTCCCAAAATATCCCCTGAATCAACGAGGAAATAAAACCAGAGGTCACAATTTATTTAGACATTAACAAAAGGAGAGCAATTTATAGCAAAACTTTTGGGAAATGGCTAAAGTTGCATTCAAAGGAAAACTCATAACTTTACACACCTATCTTATTTTATGAAAAAAAGAATGAAAACAAGAGACTAGATTTCTATCTCCAATAGCATGGTTGTCTAGGTATTTACTAGACCCACAAATAGTCCTGAAAACAAAAGAGAAGAAAATAAGTGAAAGACAGAATAAAATACAATTTAAAATTTATTCTAAGAAGTATTCAATGATGCTAAAATAGTGAAGAATTACTAGGCCAAATATGAAAGTGAAAGAAGGGACTCAAAGACTATTAAAATCACATCTCTCCCAAGAACATTTGCCTAACTTGGCAAACTTAAGCTTAAGTTGGTTTTCACAGCTTGCTGAAGTTGGAGACAGAAGATGAAGCGTAAAGGACTCTAAAACTGGTAAATCAATGGGAGAATCAGCCCATTACATTGGGGATTCCTCGCTGTAGGGCTATGGCCTCACTGTAGGGAGAAAAAAATAAACACACCATCCCAACACATATGCAAACACACAGAGAGGACTTTAGGGAATGTTGCATGGCACAGAAGAAGTGGAGAGAAAATATCATCACTGATAATTGATAAACAAAAGCCAGCCCTTTTGGTAATCCCAAAAGCTTTAAACCACGAGTTCTAGACTAGAAGTGACTTGGGAGTTTGGAATTAGCTTCCAAGCTCACTTGTGTGCATAATGGCAGCGTTCCATTTTTGGCAGCCTTAGCACTGTGGGTCTCATTTTGCTCACTGTCCACTGGAAGCTGCCCTCAGTTCCTTGCTACACGGGCCTTTCCACAGGGCAGCTCACAACATGGCTGCTTCCTTCTTCAAAGCCAGCAAGAGAGTCTGTCAAGTCCGCTAGCAAAAGGGAGACAACAACCTTGTGTAATGTAATCACAGAAAGGAATTTCATCAGCTTTGCAGTGTTCTAAAGCGGCAAGCCACAAGTCCCACCCACACTCAATGAGAGTAGATAACATAAAGGGGCCCAATCTTTCTCTTTAGTACCCAGTGAAGGCTCATGGAAAAGAGCCTGTGAGTGAGTGCAAGCTCCTACTATGCCTGGGGCCCCCAGCTATTCCAGACTAACATCCCAGACCCACCTGGCCCTTAGTTGATTTCTCCTTACCTATTACCTGCGCTCCCTCCCATGCTCTGCCACCAGTGAACCAGTACACTTGTCCTTTCTCTCCTTGGAAAGGCCCATTCATTTCTGGAATTCAGACTGACCAGTTTTCTGATGGGTTTAAAAAAGTTATAATTTTGTAGTGTATCTAGCTTTTTCCTTTTTTAAATTTTCCTTTCTTTTTTTTTTTTTTTTTTTTTTGAGACAGGGTCTTGCTCTGTCCCCTAAGCTGGAGTGCAGTGGTACAATAATGGCTTACTGCAGCCTTCAACTCCCAGGCTCAAGCTATCCGCTTGCCTCAGCCTTGCTTCCTGAGTAGCTGGGACCACAGGTGCCAGACACGACGCCCAGCTAATTTTTTGTATGTTTTGTAGACATGGGGTTTCACTATGTTGCCCAACCTGGTCTGAGACTCCTGACCTCAAGCGATCCACCCATCTCGGCCTCCCCAAGTGTTGGGATTACAGGGGTGAGCTACTGCGCTGACTGTATCTGTTTTTTTCTTCTGGTTAGAGTGAAAGTAACACTCTTTACAGCTTTCTACATCCTAGACAGAAGTAGAAATAACTGAGATTAGACAGTATTTTGAACTAAACAATAATGAAAATACTCCAGATCAAAATCTGTGGAGGGAAGCTAAAGACAGATGTTAGAGAGAAATCTACAGCCTTAGAATGCATATATTAAAGAATATTAAAGAAGAAGAAAGGTCAAAAATTAATGACTGAATCTTCTAATTTAAGAAATCCCCAAAAGAGTAGCAGGATAAGCCCAAGTAATGGAAATGGCCGGGCACGGTGGCTCATACCTGTCATCCCAGCACTTTGGGAGGCCGAGGCGAGTGGATCACTTGAGGTCAGGAGTTCAACACCAGCCTGGCCAACATGGTGAAACCCCGTATCCACTGAAAATAAAAAAAAATTAGCCAGGCATGGTGGTGGGCACCTGTAATCCCAGCTACTATGGAGGCTGAGACATGAGAATCACTTGAACCCAGGAAGCAGAGGTTGCAGTGAGCCGAGATTATGCCATTGCACTCCAGCGTGGGCAGCAGAGCAAGACTCCATCCCCCTGCCCCCCCAAAAAAAGAGAAGAAAAGAAAAGGAAATAAGATAGAATTTAAAGTAACAGTAAGTAATATCCTACAGAACTGATAAAGCCATAAATTGCTTCTTAGGAAAAAAATAATCAAATTGACAATGCTTTGGCACAACTGGCCAAGAAGAGGAAGCATTACAAATGAAGAAAGGGATACAGTTCCAGATATAACAGATATTTAAAAGATATTAAAAGAGTTTTAGAATTAACCTTATTTAAATAAATTTGAAAATCTACATTAAGTAAACAAATTTCTAAAATAGAAACATATAAAATTTGTTAAAATTGTTTCAAGAATAATCAGAATATACAAATAGCCCTACAATCATAAGAGTTATTCTATCAGTAGTTAAAAATATTCTCATAAAGAAAACTCTAGGCCCAGGCAGTTCTACTGGCAAGTTCTATCAAATATTTGAAGAACACATTTGTTCAGTGTTACACAAATTATTCTAGAGCTTACCCAAAGAGGGAACATTCCAGAGCTAATTTTGTGAGGCTTGTATAAACTGTATGCCAAAATCTGACAAGGTAAGTATGAGAATAGAAATTACAGATCAATTCCACTAATGGGCTTTGATTCAGAATTCTAAACAAAATTTTAGGAAATTGAATCAAGCAATGTATTAAAAAGACCAAAGAAAAACAAAATCACACAAAGAAAAACAGACTGCTAATTTTTCTTAGTAAGGTTAAATTTCCATTACTAATAGAAAAAAAGCCATTAGAAACTTAAGATCCTATGAATATTTTGGGAAGAATTTAATTTGACCCCAGTGTAAATGGAATTGGATCAATACATGTGATCTTTAAACAGTGTTATTACACCAAAGTAGGTATATTTTAAATCAACATTAATTATAGAATTTGAAAAAAACAAAATTTATACCAAAAATTTAGTATGTTTTTGGGCATACGATTTTAGACACTAAAAAGGGAAGAAACATTTTATTTGTGCAAAATCAACATAAAGTAATAGGTATTTTTCTCTCTTTAAAAGAAAGAAGTGAAAATGAAAGTACAATATTTTATATGGAATTGTATGGATTTTCTTAAGAGTTGTTAAATGAACAAATACAGTTCTTTTAATTTGTTTTTGTTATTCTTTGTGAGCATGTTGTTTTATTATAAGTGCATTTCATAGTTTTAATCATAAATAAATGTCTGTGAAATGATTTCTTAAAAAGGTAATGCATCATGAGCAAGTTGGTTTATCCCAGCAAAGAAAGATTGGCTTAAACAGTGAAAAATCAATTAGTGTAATTCACCATGATAACACATTAAAGGAGAAAAATTATGTGATTATCTAAAAAGATGCAGGAAAATAACTTGATAAAATTAAATATCCATTTATGGATTTTTTAAAAGCCTCTCAAACAAAATAGGAATAGAAAGTCATTTTCTTAATTTGACTCTTCTGTTTATTGCTGTAGAACAAATCAAGCCAAAATGTAGTGGCTTATCACTATAATAATTATTTATTATCTTCTGTACCTTCTATGGCTCAAGAATTTGGGTGTGGTTCAGCTGAGTGGTTCTGGCTCTGGTTATCATGATGTTGCAGTCAGTCGGTGGCTGAGGCTGGGTTCATTGCTAAGTCTTCTTCACTCACATGTTTGGTTCCTGGGCTGGAAAGACTCAGACATCAGGGTGCTGGAACAGCTGGGGCACTTCAGGCATCCCTATCTGTATGAGATCTCTCCATATGGTCTGTTTGTTTTTATTATAACTACTGTTGTGTTAACAAATCACCCAAAAACTTACTGGCTTGAAACAACAATTATTTCTTTTTTCTCATGAATTCTGTAGGTCAAGAAATTCAGAAACACCTCATTTGGGTGGCTGTAGCTTGGGGTTTCATAATGTTGCCATCACAGTGATGGATGGGATCATCTCGAGGCTTCTTATATGTTTGGTGCCTGAGCTGGGAAGGCCTGAACATCTGGAACCTAGAACGACTGGGGTTATTTGGGCACACTCATCTCTATCTGGTTTCTTTACATGGTCTCTCCAGCATTGTGACTTCAAGGTATCTGGGCTTCCCATGGTAGTATAGGGCTTCAGTGGCACATGTCCCAAAAAAGAGAATTAGGAAGTTGTATCAGTTTTTATGATGTAGGCTCAGAAGTAATAGAACTTCACATTTATTGTACACTGTTAGCCAATTCAGGTACAAATGCCCATCCAGGTTTGAAGGGTAGGGTATATAGAATTCACCTCTTCATGGAGAAGTGGCAACATTCTGGAAGAGCCTGTGGGACTGGAAATATTCTTGCAGCCATGTTTGAAAAATATTATCTCCCGCAGTGATAAAGAGTGTCCAAAAGAAATCCCTCCAACAAACATGCTGCTTAACTTTGAGACACTGAAAGCATTCTCTTCAAGATTGATAATTAAATGAAGATGCTCATTAATACTACTTTTACTGAGCATTGTACTGGAAATCCTAGTCAGTGGAGTGAGAAGAATAAGAAATACAAAATATAAAAGTTAAAAGGGAAGAAAAAAACTGAAATCTGCACAGTATTATTGCCTTGTAGAGAATCCAAATGAAATTCTAATAAGTTATTAGAATTAAGAGGATTTAGCAAAGTTACTGAATATATCAATATACAAAAATCAATTACATGTCTATGCATCAGCAATTAGAGTAAAAAATTTTACTTAACCTGGGAAAAGATAAAGGTAAGAGATGGAATAAAAACCCTATCTATTAGCAAAGAAATAGATAGCACCTGGAAAACTATATATAACTAAATATCATTGGTAGATGGGCCAAATACATGAAACTGAATAGAGAAAAAAAATTCAAGCATTCATGGAAATTTAGTGTATGATAAAGATGGCATTCCACATTAAAAAGCAGATGTACTTTTCAATAAGTAATGTTGGTTTGAATGGCTTAATATTGTATACAATGTAAAGTTAAACCAATGACTCATTCTTTACACCAAAAGAAAATCCAGAAGATCTAATACATAAATTAAAAATTAATAAATAAAAGCACTAATAAAAACAAAATTAAAATATATTATTTACAGAAGCATCAAAAGTGTAACACTTAGGAATAAATCTAAGACAAGATATGAAGACCTCTACTCAGGAAACTATAAAACATTACTGAAAAAATTAAAGATGATTGAAATAGCCAAGTTTATGAGCTGGTAGATTCAAGATGTCAATTCTTTCTGAATTGATCTATAGATGTAATGTAAATCAATTCAAGATCCCAACAAGTTTTTGCAGAAATCAATAAATATGTATGGAAGGGCAAAGATCCAAGAATAATCAAGACACTTTTGAACAAAGTAGGTAGACTTGATTTACCAGCTGTCAAGACTTACTATAAAATTATAATAATAAGATAATGTGGTTTTTGAACAGGACAAAAGAAATGGGTGAGAATAGAAAGCACAGAAACAGACACATATATGTGTGAAAACTTAATTTTTGAACAAAGCTTGAATTATGATCTCTGAAGAAAGAATAGACTTCAGGGGTATTATGCAAAAAAATGAAATTAGGGAATTTGTAAATGATATTTTCTTCCTTTCCTTTTAGAGGCTTATACACTCCTACCCATTGCCATATAATTTGCAGTGCCTGTCTGTCGGAGGAGTATATGCTTCTGTTCCACTGAGTCTGGCTTAAACTGGTATGTACCACATGTGAACAGATTATTTAAGAGTCATTGTGTAGTAGGATGTTGCTCTTTCTTTCTGTCACAAGGATGGCATGTCCCAAAAAAGGGCCATTCTTTCAGTCTGGGTCCCAGGATGAGAAGACATGGGGGTCCTGGAATGAGAATACACTTAGGGTGGAGCTGAAGCTGCCAAATTGCAGTTGTTGACACTGATATGAATAAAAAATAACATATGCTGGTGCAAGCTACAAAGATTTGGAAGGCAGAGTTGTTTGTTACTACAGCAAAGCTGACTAATAAAGACATCTACTTCACACTTTATACAAAAATAAATTCCAGGTGAATTAAACATGCAATTATGAGAGCAAAAATAAAAATTTTACAAAGTGGTATAGAGAATGTGTCTTCATGAAACTGGAAGAAATTTTAAAAATAAGATATCTTGATTTTGTTTATTTGTAGTCTTCTTGTTTTCAGGTTTTCAATAATATGTCATTGTTACCATTTTATGCAGTGAATGCTTATTTTTTTACCTGCATATTTATTACTTTCATTGCTTTTCATTCTTCTTGTACCCCACGCTTGCCATATGAGATCACCTTCCTTCTACCTGAAATATATCCTTTAGAACTTCATTTTCTAAGATCCTTCTTATGGTAAATTCTTTCACTGTTTGTTTATCTGAAAATATATGTTTTTCTCCATAATTGTTAAAAGACTTTTTTCCTGAGCATAGAATTCTAGGTTAATTATTTTTCCTATGCATTGAAGATATTTCATTCTCTTCTGACTTTCAGTGTTGCTGATGAAAACTATACTGTCAGCTCCACTATCACTCCTTTGAAGGTAACCTGTCTTTTCTGGATACTTTTATTAATTTATTTTTGCTTCTGGTGTACTTCAGTTTCACTGTGTTGTATCTAGTTATACATTTCTTTGTATTTATTATGCTTGGGATTCATTAATATTGTTGAATCTGTGTGCTGGTTTCTTTGATCAGTTCTGAAAAATTCTTAGGCATTACCTCTTCAGTATTGCTTTTCTGTGTTCTCTGTTCCAGAGAGTGTTTTTATTTCGTCTGCTTGTGTATATTAGTTTGGGTTGTTCAGAGAAACAGAACCAAAATCATATGTAGATATAGATATAGATAGATTTCTTTATACATGTGATTGTAGAGGCTTGGCAAGTTTACAATCTGCAAGGTAGGCTTACAGTTTGGAGACCTAGGAAAGAGTTGCAGTTCATTTCAAAGGCAGTCTTTTGGCAGAATTTCTTCTTGCTTTGGGAGGTTGGTTTTTTTTTTTCCCCCTTATTCATGCCTTCTACTGATTAGATAAGGCCCACCTATATTATGGAGGGAAATCCCTTTTATTCAAAGTGTACTGATTTAAATGTTAATATAATCTAAGAAATACCTTTACAGAAACATCTAGAATAGGCCGGGCATGGTGGCTCACGCCTGTAATCCCAGCACTTTGAGAGGCCGAGGCGGGTGAATCACGAGGTCAGGAGATCGAGACCATCCTGGCTAACATGGTGAAACCCCATCTCTACTAAAAATACAAAAAATTAGCTGGGCATGGTGGCAGGCGCCTGTAGTCCCAGCTACTTGGGAGGCTGAGGCAGGAGAATTGCTTGAAGCCAGGAGGCAGAGGTTGCAATGAGCTGAGATCATACCACTGCACTCCAGCCTGGGTGAAAGAGCAAGACTCTGTCTCAAAAAAAAAAAAAAAAAAAAAGAAACATCTAGAATAATGTTTGACCAAATATATGGATACCATGGCCTAACCAAGTTGTTAAATACAATGTACCATCATTTTGTGAAACTCTGGGTGCAATTTCAACCTCACTTTGTCTTAATCCATGTCCTTTTCTCTTTTTTATAATTTCCATATCTTTGTTTCTTTATGCAAAATTTTAGACAACTTTTATAATTTATTTATGTCAGTAATTCTCTTTGTATCTAATCAGTTGTCAAATCCATCATTGATTTATAGTTTTAGCTGCTAAGTTTTCCTTCTACAGGTTTTACTTGGTTCTTTTTCTTACATAGTCAGTCATTCTTTTTTTTTTTTTTCTTTAACACGGAATCTTGCTCTGTCACCCAGGCTGGAGTGCAATGGCGCCATCTCGGCTCACTGCAACCTCCGCTCCCAGGTTCAAGTGATTCTCCTGCCTCAGCCTCCCGAGTAGCTGGGATTAAAGGCGCGTGCCACCACGCCCAGCTAATTTTTATATTTTTAGTAGAGGCGGGGTTTCACCATGTTGGCCAGGCTGGTCTCAAACTCCTGACCTCAGGTGATCCGCCCACCTCGGCCTCCCAAAGTGCTGGGATTATAAGCGTGAGCCACTGTGCCCGGCCAGTCATTCTTTATACTATTGTTCTTTACTTATTTTTTCTTTCTTTAAGTTCATATTCTGTTTCTGATAATTCCTGTATCTGAAGTCTTTGATGATCTGGTTATGTTAACTCTAGCTTTTGCTGGCTTTTAATCATGGCATCTTGTTTTCTTTCATATTTTGTGATTTTGTTTACATATTATTTTCTATTGAATTTTATCTATGGGAGTTTTTTGAGGCCTGTAATGAAGGTAGATTTCCTTCTGCCAGGTGTCTGAGGGTGCATTTTGTCCAAGAACACTTTAAACTAAATTATTGTTAGCTTGACCATCTAGATAATGTGAATTCAGACTATAAGCCTACTTGTTTTGTTTGAAATTCTCAGCTAAGATTTCGTTTTTCTTTTCTACTCTGTAGTAAGGTTTGAGGTGGATCATTCTCTCTGCAGTTTCCTAATGGAAGAGGAGGAAAGAATAGGTTTATTGCTAGTTCACTCTTACACTAGGTCCCAGTGTCGTTAGGTCGCATAATAGATGACCCCTACCCATTCACCTAGTTTTTGGACTGAGTATTCTCTATTTTCTTGCTAGGTATAGTATTCCATTTTCTTGCTACTTTCTAATGCATTTAAAGAGATGATCTTAAATTTTGCCATGTTTTATTTTCACCTGAGAGTTGGCCAGGTTACTTAGTTTGCCATACTGCTGGAAATGGACACCTTTTCTGTACATACATTAACATTAGTAATTGAACTGCAGCTTTTTTTTTTTTTTTTTACTTTCAGGTAAATCATTATTAGATTTCCAGGTATTTCCTGCTTTTGACTTGGGAGATAGTCTGTCTTTTACATCACTTCTTCAGAATTCCATTCTAATATGTGTTTTGCTTATAGGGTTAACTCTCAAGGAGTGACTTAATTTCCAAGTCCCCTCATGTTCTGACTGAAAGGCTTAGGGCACACAGCGGCAGGAGTTACAGATGACTTATATCAACTCTGCTGTCCTTGGCATCTTTGTAAATCTTTTTGTTACTTGAACAATACAGATTATTTAAACTGAGAAATAATGGCTTTTAAAATATGCAGAATGGAACAAAAAATTATGTGTAGATAGTTAATTGTAAAAGAGAAAACATGGGTCCTTGATATCTGTTAGGATACCTAAAGTCATGAATTGGTTGTGAACAACCAGATTTCTAAAAACCACCACAGGATATCAACCTATTCTACCTTACATAATTACTGAAATAGTATTAACTGTAAACATGATCTGAAACTGCAAAATCCAGTCTATGCTGATAACATACTAATTGCTGTTGCACAACAGTTCTCTGCATAGGGGACCATGACAAGTTCTAGATCGGTGGGGTCCTCCTGGCCTTCTGGGTGATTATCCAGCATCAGACTTGGAAGAAGTATGGGAAGGGGATTGTTTTGGGAGATACAATATTACAGCAGAAAGCAAAAGACCCTCCTCAAAAGGCATTCTTATGTTTTAAGTGCTTCCTTAAAGAACAACATGACTGGCCAGACCCTCACCTCCCACTAGTCCTTGCTTTGTGTCCTAGCTGCCTCCAATACTTTGAATAACTTTGGGGAAGGGGTTAATATTGCTAAGCCACCATTTCATTGACTGTAAACAGAGGATACTGCTGCCCTCATAGGATTAGCATGTGATTAATTAAATGAGGGGCTTTCAAGATGGCTGACTAGAAGCATGCTGCACTCACCACCTTCACAAGGAAGGACCAAACCAATGAGTCGATAATCATACTTCAAATAGAGTGTCTAAGAGAGAATACTGGAATTCATCAGGGAAGTTGCAGGGAACTTCTGAGGCAAGGAAGGAGAGGGAAGAAAAGCAGCCAGCCTAGCCAGGATTGGCTCAGAGCTAGGAGGAATTCTCCAAGGCAGGTAAAAGGAAAGCGAGAAAGCCCCAGTGGGCCACACTCCCACCATGGATTCCTGCAGTCCTAGCTATAGGAGAGCCCATTGGCCCTTGTGGGCCCTGAGACTGGAGTCCACAAGACAGCGCTGTTCCAGAAAGGGAGCTCATGCTGGGTCCCATATACTCCAGAGATGCAAGCAGCTGCAGCATGGTGCCATTTTGAGAGCCCAACCCCCACCAGACTGTATCCTGCCCTGGGGCCTAACAGCCCTGCATCTGTACATCCCTGAAGTCCTGCTGACATCTCCCCACATCTACTCACAGGACTGCAGCATTGCAATGCTGAATGGATCCAGAAGTGTAGCTGGGTCCCCGGCACTCTAGCCCATGCAATGTCTCACACCCTGGGGAATGGATGGTGCAGTGCACCAGGGAGCTGCTCCTGGGACAAAGGGATCCAAAGTGTGCCCACACCAGAACCTGAAAGTCACCTTCCCAGGGCCACTACAACTGAAAAAAACCTGACTCCCTCTAGCAACAGGGATATCATGCACCTGCATGCACCTTCAGGAAGCCTGATGACTGGCGTGCCCATGCACCATCCCAGGGCCTGAGGAAAGGCCCACCCTGTCCACTACCACCATTGCCAGAACTTGAGTGCATTGTGCAGGGGCCTGGGAATCAACACACCCTGCCTGCTGCTGGTGCCTGCACACACCAAGGAGACTGAGGACAGGTCCACCCCTCGCACTGCTGCTCCCACCACCACCAACCATGCATGTCATCCAGGGGCCTGTAAATTGATCCACCATGTCTGCCACTGCTGGCATGCACACACATGGTTCAGGGGCCTGATCCACTTCAACTGCCGCTGCCACCCATGCATGTTGTCTGGGGGTTGGGGATCAGCCTGCCTTGCCCACTGCTACTGACACCCATGCATATCATACAGGGGCCTAAGGATGAGCCCACCCAGCCCACCACCAGCATTCATGTGCTGTACCAGAGGCCCAGTAGCCAGCCTGCCCAACTTGCCATCACTGTCACCAGTACCTACCTGTTTGTGCCACTTGGGGACCTGGGCATCAGCCCACCCAGCCAGTCACTGCCATCACTGGTGCCCATGCATGCTGCTTACGGGATTGAGAGTTGGCTCACCACTGCTACTGCTACCACCAGCACCACAAATGCCACCGAAAGACCCAACAACCCAGCCACTTGCCCTGCTACTGCTGCCACCAACATACACCACTTGGCGCAACCCGAAGGCCCAAGGACCAACCTGCCTGGATCCACCTCCAGTGATGCCAGCATATGCCACTTGAGGACCTGAAGCCTGGTATGCCCAACCCACCACCACCACTGATGCCTAAGGACTGGCTCTCCTGGCATTCCCATCCCCAGAAAAGCCTTACCACAGCCTCTACTAACAACTGGCAGCCTGAGCCATTGAGGAATTCACAGATGCCACTGATGCTGATTACAGCCAAAGAAATCATATGGAAACTACACTACTGCACCCACCCAAAACCAAAGCAAAAGGACCTTGTTTTCTGTAGTAAATGTATCTACAGAAAAAGCACTTCCCTAAGAAAGCCAGCCCATAAAATTGAAAATAGTGACTATTAAACCAGATGAGCAGATATCAATGTAAGAACACAAGAAACATGAAAAGAATGCAAACATGACACATCCAAAGGAACAAACAATTCTCTAGTAACTGATCCCAAGGAAAAGACAATCTTTCACATGCCTGAAAAAGAATTTAAAATGATAATATTGAAGAAACTCAGTGAGTACAGATAAATACTACAAAGAAATTAAAAAAAAACAATTCATGATCTAAATGAGAAATTTAATGAAGAGATAGATGTTATAAAAAAAGAACCAAACAGAAATTGTGGAACTGAAGAATTTAATGAATGATATAAAAATATAATTAAGAGCTTCAACAATAAACTAGATCAAGTTTATTAAGAATTCAGAAATTTAAGTTCAGGAAGAACTTAGAAACAATCCAGTCAAACAAACAACAACAACAACAGAAACAAAGAAAGAAAGGAAGGAAGGAAGAAAAAAAAAAGAATTTTAAAAATGAAGAAAGCCTAATGACATATAAAGCAATACTATAAAGTGACCAAATATTCAAATTTTGGGATTTTCAGAGGAAGAAGAGATGGGCAAAGGCATAGAAAACCTATTTAACAAAATAATAGATGAAAAGTTCCCAAGCCTTGTAAGAGATATAGAGATCCAGAGAGGAAGCTCAGAGATCTCCCAATAGATTCAACCCAAAAAGATTCTCCAAGGCTCCCTATAGTTAAAACGTCAAAGTCAAAGACAAAGAGAGAATTCTATAAACCGTGAGAGAAAATCATCATGTCACATATAAGGAAATCCCCATTACAGTCACAGAGAATTTCTCAGCAGAAACCTTCCAGGCCAGGACAGAATAGAGTGATATATTCAAAGTGCTAAAAAAAAAAAAAAAAAAAAAAAAAAAAAGAAAACAAAAAACCTGTTAGCCAAGAATATTATATCCGGCAAAGCTATTCTTCAAATATGAAGGACAAATAAAGTCTTTCCCAGGCAAGCACAAATGGAGGGAATTCATCACCACTAGACTGGCTCTACAATAAATGCTTAGAGTCATACATCTGGAAGCAAAAGGATGATATCTGCCATCCTAAAAACACACAAAAGTATAAAACTCACTGGCACAACAGACTCACAAAAGAGAAAGAAAAAGGACTCAAACATGATTGCTACAAAAAACCACCAAATTGTAAAGGTAAATAATAAAAGAGGAAAAAAGGAACAAAAAACATACCAAAAAATCAGAAAACAATTAAAATACCAGGAGTAAGTCCTCACCTATCAATAACAGCCTTGACTGTAAATGGTTTAAAATTCCCAATTAAAATATACAGACTACTGAACTGATAACAAAACAAGACCCAACTATAGCTGCCTACAAGTAACTCACTTCATCTGTAAAGACACACATAGATTGATCATGAAGGGATGGAAAAAAAAATTCCATGCAAACAGAAACCAAAAGCATGCAGGAGTAGCTATACTTATGTCAGATAAAATAGACTTAAATCTAAAAACATAAAAAGAGACAAAGAAGGTGATTATATAATGATAAAGATATTAATTCAGCAAGAGGATGCAACAATTCTAAACATATATATAAAGCCAATATTATTAGAGCTAAAGAGCAAGATGGACCCAAATACAATAATAGTTGGGGAGTTCTGTACCCCATTTTCAGCATTAGACAGATCATCTAGACAGAAAATCAACAAAGAAACATTGAATTTAATCTGCACTGTGGACCAAATAGATCTTATAGACATTTATGGAACATTTTATCCAATAGCTATAGAATAAATGTTCCCCTCATCAGCCCATGAAACATTCTTTAGTGTAGACCATTTGTTAGACTACAAGTCTTAACAAATTTTTAAAAATCAAAATTATATAAAGTATCTTCTCAGATCACAATTTCTAAAACTAGAAATCCATAACAAGGAGAACTTTGAAACTGTATAAATACATACAAATTAAGTAACATGCTCCTGAAACACCACTGGGTCAATAAAGAAATTAAGAAGGAAATTTAAACATTCCATGAAAATATAAAAATAGAAACACAACACACCAAAATCTATAAGATACGGCAAAAACAGTGCTGAAAGGGAAGTTTACAGTAACAAATGCCTATATCAAAAAAGTGGAAAGATTTCAAATAAACAACCTAATGATGCACCTTAAGAAACTTGAATAGTAAAAACAGACCAAACACAAAATTAGTAGAAGGAAAGAAATAATAAAGACCAGAGCAAAACTAAATAAAATAGAGCCTAAAAATACAAAGAATCAATGCAATGAAGAGTTAGTTTTTGGAAAAGATAAATAAAATTGGTAAACTGCTAGCGAGACTAACCAAGAAAAAAGAAAGAATATCCAAATAAAAAAAATCAGAAGTGAATAAGAAGAAATCACAATTGATTCCACAGAAATACAAATGATCTTTTAAAAGTAATATGAAAAACTCTGCACTAACAAATTGGAAGACCTAGAGGAAATGGATAAATTCCTGGACACATACAACCTATCAAGAATGAGCGAAGAAGAAATAGAAAACTTGAACAGACCAATAATGAGTAACAAAGTTGAATCAATAATAAGTCTCCCAACAAAGAAAAACCCAGGACCAGATGGCTTTACTGCTGAATTCTACAAAAGTTATAAAGAAGAACTAACACTGATTCTTCTCAAATTACTCCAAAAAATTGAACAGGAGAAAATTCTCCCCAACCCATTTTCTAAGGCTAGCATTATTCCAATATGAAAACCAGACATGGACACAGCAAAAGAAAGAAAACTACAGGCCAGTATCTCTAATGAACACAGATGCAAAAATCACCAACAAAATGCTAGGAAATGAATCCAACAACACATCAAAAAGATAGTGCACCACGATTAAGTGGGATTTATCCCAAGGATGCAAGGATGTTTCAACATATGCAAATCAATAAACATGATACATTACACTAATAAAATGAAGGACAAAAACCATATGGTCATCTCAATAGATGCAGAAAAGCATTTGATTAAATTCAACATCCCTTCATTATAAAAACTCTCAACAAATCATGCATAGAATCAACATACTTCAACATAATAAAGATTATATACGACCAACCCACAGCTACCATCATACTGAATGGGGAAAATCTGAAAGCCTTTCCTCTAAGAACTGAAACTAGGTAAGAATGCCCACGTTTACCACTCCTATTTGACATAGTACTGGAAATTCTAGTCAGAGCAATCAAGCAAGAAAAATAAATAAAAAACATTCAAGTTGGAAAAGAAGAAGTCAAATTGGCCCTCTTTGCAAATGACATAATCTCATATAGAGAAAAACCTAAAGACTCCACCAAAAAACTCTTAGAACTGATAAATGAATTCAGTAAAGTTGCAGGATACAAAATTAACATACAAAATCAGTAGACTTTCTATATACCAATAATGAACTAACTGAAAAAAGAAATCAAGAAAGCAATCCCATTTATAACAGCTAAAAAGATTACCTAGGAATAAATTTAACTAAGGTGGCAAAAAACTTTACAATGAAAATTAAAAAATATTGATGAAAGAAATTGAAGAGAACACAAACAAATTGAAAAACATCCCTTGCTCATGGACTGGAAGAATTAATATTGTTAAAATGACCATACTACCTGAAGCAATCTACAGACTCAATGCAATCCCTATCAAAATACCAATGACATTCTTCACAGAAATAGAAAAAACAATCCTAAAATTCATATGGAGCCACAAAACACCCTGAATAGCAAAAACAATACTAAGCAAAAAGAATAAAGCTGGAGGTATCACACTATCTGACTTCAAAATATACTACAAAGTTGTAACAATCAAAATAGCATGGCATTGGTATGAAAATGAAACAGAGAACCCAAAAATAAATCCACATATTTACAGCCAACTGACTTTTGACAAAGGTGCCAAGAGTATACAATGGGAAAGGACATCCTTTTTAAATGGTGCTAGGAAAACTGGATATTCATATGCAGAAAAATCAAATAGACCTGTATCTCTCACCGTATACAAAAATCAACTCAAAAATGGATTAAAGACTTATTAAATCTTATTAAATCATAAGATTCAAAACTCAACTGCTACTAGAAATAAACATAGGAGAAACGTGTTAGGACATTGGTCTAGGTAAGTCATTTATGGCTAAGACTTCAAAAGCATAGGCAACGGAAACAAAAATAGACAAATGGGACCATGTTAAACTAAAAAACTTCTGCACAGTAAAGGAAACAACCAACAGAGTGAAGAGACAATCTATAGAATGGGAGAAAATATTTATAAACTATTTCTCCAACAAGTGACTAACATTCAGAATATATAAGGAGGTCAAACAACTCAATAGCAAAAACACAAATAATCCCATTAAAAAGTGGGCATGGTGGCTCATGCCTGTGATCTCAACAATTTTGGTGGCCAAGGCAGGAGGACTGCTTGAGGCCAGGAGTTTGAGACCAACCTGGACAATACAGGGAGACCCCATCTCTACAAAAAATTTTTTTAAATTAGCCAGGCATGGTGGTATATGTCTGCTTTCCCTGATACTTGTGAGGCTGAGGCAGGAGGATTATTTGAGCCCAGGAAATTGAGACTGCAGTGAGCTATGATTGCACCACTGCACTCCAGCCTGGGTTACAAAGTGAGACCCTGTCTCTAAAAACAACTAAATAAGTGATCCAATGATTTGAACAGACTTTTCTCAAAACTAGACATACAAATGGCCAACAGGTATATGAAAAAACATGTTCTACATCACGAGTCATCAGTGACATGAAAATCAAAACCACAATGAGATATCATCTCACATCTGTCAGAAAGGCTATCATCAAAAACGAGAAAAAATGAAAAATGCTGGCAAAGATGCAGAAAAAGGGAACTCTTATATCTTGTTTGTGGTAATGTAAGTTAGTACTGCCACTAAAGAAAACAGTATGGTTTCTCAAAAAAGCAAAAATAGAACTACCATATGATCCAGCAATCCCACTACTGGGTATTTATTCAAAGGAAAGAAAATTAGTATATCCAAGGGATACCTGCACCCCCATGTTTACAGCAGCACTATTTACAATATTAGTTATGGTATCAGCCTACATGTCCATCAGTAGATGAATGGATAAAGAAAATGTGGTATATATACACAATGAAATACTATGCAGCCGTAAAAATAACAAAATCCTGTCATCTGCAGCAAGAGAGATGGAACCGGAGGTCATTGTGTTAGGTGAAATAAGCCAGGCACAGAAAGACAAATATTACATGTTCTCACCCATATGTGGCAGCTAAAAATGCTGATTTCATAAAGGTAGAGAGTAGAATGATGGTTACCAGAGTCTGAGAAGAGAAGGAGGTGAAGAAATCTTGATTAATGGGTACAACTGTACAATTAGATGTGTTCTAAGTTAAATAAGAAGTTCTTGTTTTCGACAGCACAGTAGCGTGAATAGACAAAAAGTTATTGTGTATTTCAACATAGCCAGAAGAAAAGATTTAAAATGTTCCCCACACAAAAAAATGATAAATGTCTGAGTGATGGATATTCTAATTACCCTGATTTGATCATAACACATTGTATGCATGTATCAAAATATTGCACTTACTCCCTATATATGTGTAATTGTTAAGTATTAACTAAAAAAAAAAAAAAACAAACAAAACCCATGACTGACAACTGTCTTTTGTCTCCTTTGCAAGTTTATCCATTTCCTAGCATAAAGATAACACTAAATGTATTTCTCAAACAAAGTAATTATCTTTGAATTACTTTGGCAGACTAAAAAGTAGACAGAGTACTTGTGAATTTAACACTTTTTTATATGCTAGGGCATGTTTACTGTATGGATTTCTTCAGCTTGTGATGAAGGTTAACTGAAGCCACCTCTGTCTTACCATTATATTTTGCAGATTATTAAACCAACTTTTACTTTTGGTACTTCAATGCAGCAGTAGAAGTTATATTGCCTATTGCTTCATAGGCATTTTGTACAGCCCTTCTTCTAAGTCCCACTTCTGAGAAAAGAGATTATTTCCAGTTCATTTCCTCAACTACCAGTTAAAGGCTTTTTGTATATTTCTGAAGTTTTATTTCTCACTTGAAAAGTAGTTGTGCCCTAGCCTCCAAAATTACTAAAACAGTTTCATAAATCTCTTTCTTCTTTCTTTTTGTTTCTTCAGAGCATATATGGGAAACTTATTACAACATCAGCCTCAAACAAGGGAGAATTTGACAATGGGCTCTATCCCAGAGTTATTGTCTGGCTAAGAACAATCACTTTCTTAGATTTTTCACCTTTTCTTCAAAAACATTAGGACTGGATGTTGTCTTTCTTTGCAGGACCCTTTGTAAAACAAAAGAGAATTTGTATACCTCTGCATTTGTATACGACAAATGCAACTGATGGAGAATATCAAGATTACATTGAGGTGAGGCTGCAAGGCAGTGGGCTAGGCATACCTTCTGGATTTCTATAGTGACTGGATACCCAAAATTATGACAATTTATTCAAATTTGTGCTCTCACAAAATGATAAGGTTTTACCTTACATGAAACTTCAAGATCACCCAAAGATAGTTGAGGCAGAAAACATTAAGTCTGTAAATGCCAATGATCAGGTATCGCAAAACGTATGAATTTTACTTGAAATTCTATGAGCCTTTGAATAACTGGATTTTAGAGTTAGCATTTTACATAACTCAGTATATTTCCTTTCCATCTGTTAAAGTCTATAGAGAACAGATTTTTTATTTGCTCTAAGAAAGAAATTGGAGGCTTAGTTCATTGAAAGTTATCTGACATCAAATATCAAGACCAACCATGAGAATTGTTTATTTGATGCTCAGACCTTTGCATTCATTGGCTTTTCCTCTCCTCAGAGCATTAATTTTGAGTACAAAAGAATCCATCAAATATCTCTGATGCCAGACTTCATGACTGCTTTTCAAACAAGTTTTCCATATTCTTTCCTTCTTATAAATAGCCCTCTTCATTGATGAAGTCTGTTTCCTTCCAGAGACCAGAGAAAGAGGAGGAGTTTGATATGAATTGTGAAATCACCATATATTGTGACTTCTTTGAGAGAATTTCAGTTATACAGAGTTGTATATGTATTGTGTGTGTACGTGTGTGTGTGTGTGTGTGTGTGTGTATAGTAAATAGACTAGGTCATCCAGGTCTTTTGTTTTTCCTTGTATCTTCTTTGAGACAAATACTTCTAACTACTTCACTACTGGAAATGAGTCAAGGGAAAATAAACAGCAGAATTATTCTACTTTCTATTCATCAGGTTTGCTAAAAGGAAAAGGCCTTGCCCAATAGCATGAATTATAGATTCTAGGATATTACAGTGACTCTGGGATATCAGTGGAGATTCCTGTGTACAAAGGAAAATTCGGTTCCACCTTCAAAACTTTATCCTTGTGTTTTACCCTTCAAACAACACACAAATGAAAATTAATCATGATTCAACATTCCACAAACACCCACGAAATTTACCAAAGGTGCTTCTACTATTTCAAGAAAAACAGAGTCGCCTTTGAAAAAAAGTTACAGATTTTGTTTTTTAAAATATATGTTTTATGGTTATTCTAAGGATAATTTAAAGCTGTGGTATTATTTTAAATGCTACATTCCTGAGAACAAAAGCAGTAATAACACTGTACTAATTTAGGCAATAGCAAATAACCCCCTAATCTTTACCAAAAAAAGTTTATTTTCTGCTTTTACTGCATGTCCACTCCAGGTAGGTGGGAAGGTGGGGGGTTGTGTTTCACATTTTTCTCACTCAGGAACCTAGTCTGATGGAGACCCCACCATCTGGATATTGTTAGTCACTGTGGTGGAGGAAAAGGAGATAAATAATTATGCACCAGCTCTTAAGTGCTTCTGTGCAGAAGAGACATATATAACTTTACTCACATTTTATTAACCAAAGTCACATGGACATTCTTCATGATGAGCTGAGCCTGAAAGTAGAAGAGAACTGGGTATTAGTGAACAGTAGTAATACCTACTATAACTATTTGCATTTTTTGTAGGCTTTTCTACTTTTTGAAGCATTGACACATCCAAAGAAGAAAGCAATTGCCTACCAAAATGTTCATGCTCCATTCTCCACCCATAGGACCAGCTTCAGGGTGTGTGATCTTTGTTCAGAAGGGCCCCACAATTGGGGTTTAATGTTTGCTGTTGCTGTTTTAAAATTCTTAATCATCTTATCTTTGAACTCATGTTCTGTAAATGAAGTCCAATGGTGCATGCGCATGAACAGTGGAGATACACACAATATGCATCTCCTCTGCTGTTCCTTAACATGCCATTTTCATATAGCATTCATATCTCATGATCACAGAATTCTAGTGGACCCTTAATGTGTGGGAGCTCACAGCGAGTACAAGGTAAGTTTTGTCTTCCACTGAGTCTACCACTGAATAAGCAGTGGTGCTGACAGCTCCAAGGGGTTCCAGCACTTGCCTTCAACTTAGAAAGAAGGAAATGGTTGCCAAAGAAACACCAATGACCAAGGAATGTTATCATATCCCTTCTAACTCTTGTTGCTTTCCTGAATTAGCTAACTGCGTATGCTGAAAATGATGACATAGAAAGAAAAGGAAAGATAAGGCAACCAATAGTTCCTTTTTCTTTCAGTCTTTTCTTAATTATCATCAGTAAGTTGAAGGAAGAGAGTGTTGGTGGAATGTGTTCATATCAAGATATGAAGTAAAGACACTTGACTTAGTTTTGTGCAGACTCCACTGTTCTGGTTAAGAATAAAATACATATGCATGTACAAACTATGAAATACGAATTGTGTAACTTTGGTGATTCTGCATATAAGTTAAATGCTCTTATGTTTATTTGCATTTGTAACTGTTATTGTACACTATAAAGATGAATGGTAAATTTTATGTTCATAATTGAAAATTCTACTTTCCCTTTACTTAGATGACATTAAACAGCAAATAAAATACCATGACAAATGGAAAGAAAGGCCACAGAAGAAAGGAAGACATTTTATATTTTAGTTTTTTTGGTTTTTTTTATTTTGAGACACAGTCTCACTCTGTCTCCCAGGGTGGAGTGCAGTGGCACGAGCTCAGCTCACTACAACCTCCACCTCCCAGGTTCAAGTGATTCTCCTGCCTCAGCCTCCTGAGTAGCTGGGATTACAGGTGTGCACACCACATCTGGCTAAATTTTTTTTTTTTTTAGTAGAGATGGGGTTTCACCATGTTGGCCAGGCTGGTCTCAGACTCCTGACCTCGAGTAATCCACCTGCCTCAGCCTCCCAAAGTGCTGGGATTACAGGCATGAGCCACTGCACCTGGCTTATTTTAGTTTTTTTAATGGTACTTTTTTACTGCTTTATGAATGAGAGGTGCTGCATTTTCATTTTGCACTGGGCCTTGCAAATTATGTAGCTGAATCTGCCCATCCACAAGTTCCAGAGATGCAATGTAAAAGAAGATTCATTTGAGGTAGATAGTGTGAGCTCAGAGAAACCTTTGAGATCATCTAATCCAGTGCTTTTCAAAACCCTTTGTAGCAGCAGAATCTGTTCTCCAGGGTACAAGTCCAAATTGTAAAACAGATACATGCAAACTGCTTTGGTTTGGAGGGGAGGGATGGCAGGCCGTCCTCTGACCTCTCTACCCCACATCAAGGCAGCTTTTTGGGTGGGAATGGGAGAGTCTCTATTGAAACCCCTAAGATTCCTCAGAGCACAGAAGAATCTCTGATCCAGAGGGGCTGGATCAAAGGGATTGAATTTAAGGGACATCCTCAAGGTCACAATCTCCTAATTACTAATCTAGCCCTCTTTCTTCTGCTCCCTATTGCCACCCAGAGCAGCAAGCCATCTGAAAGTACGAGGAGACCATTTGGTGACCCTGGCACATCTGCGATGATTTCATCTATAAAATGGGGTTGATAATACCTACCACAGGGAGTTTTTAAGAATTGAATGAGATACCGTACTATCGGGGAACCTGCCCCGATATTCATGCAGGTTCTTTTCTATTTTCCCTAAGCGTTGGCCAGCTTGAGAAATAAAGGGACAGAGTACAAAAGAGAGAAATTTTAAAGCCGGGCATCCAGGGGAGACATCACATGTTGGTAGGTTCCGTGATGCCCCACAAGCCGCAAAAACCAGCAAGTTTTTATTAGGGAGTTTCAAAAGGGGAGTGAGTGTGCGAATAGGTGTGGGTCACAGACATCAAGTACTTTACAAGGTAATAGAATATCACAAGGCAAGTGGAGGCAGGGCGAGATCACAGGACCACAGGACCCAGGTGAAATTAAAATTGCTAATGAAGTTTCGGGCACCATTGTCATCCATAACATCTTATCAGAAGACAGGGTTTTGAGAGCAACCGGTCTGACCAAAATTTATTAGGTAGGAATTTCCTCTTCCTAATAAGCCTAGGAGCACTATGGGAGACTGGGGTCTATTTTACCCCTGCAGAATGCCCAGGGGGGCCAGTTCAGAGACCCACCCCCAGGTGTGCATTCTCTTTCTCAGGGATGTTCCTTGCTGAGAAAAAGAATTCAGCAATATTTCTCTCATTTGCTTTTGAAAGAAGAGAAATATGGCTGTGTTCCACCCAGCTCACCGGTGGTCAGAGTTTAAGGTTATCTCTCTTGTTTCCTAAACATTGCTGTTATCCTATTCTTTTTTTCAAGGTGCCCAGATTTCATATTGCTCGAACACACATACTGTACAATTTGTTCAGTCAATGCAATTATTACAGGGTCCTGAGGCTATACACATCCTCCTCAGCTGACAGGATTAAGAGATTAAAGTAAAGACAGGCATAGGAAATCGCAAGGGTATTGATTGGGGAAGTGATAAGTGTCCATGAAATCTTTACAATTTATGTTTACAGATTGCAGTAAAGACAGGCATAAGAAATTATAAAAGTATTAATTTGGGGAACTAATAAATGTCCATGAAATCTTCACAATCCACGTTCTTCTGCCATGGCTTCAGCTGGTCCCTCCATTTGGGGTCCCTGACTTCCTGCAACACTGTACCTAAGTAAACGCGCAGTAATAGCTAGCTGCAACTTTTTCATAATTATTATTCAAACCTAGAGTCCTAACTTGCATCAAAATTAGTGGGAGCTATGAAACTTTTGTTGTTTTTTTTCTTATTTGTTTTTAAATTTTTTATTTTTACTTGTGGTAAAATACACATAACACAACATTTACCATCGTGACAATTTTTAAGTGTACAATTCAGGAGTGTTAAGCATACTCACATTGTGGGAGACCAAAATACACCACCTCAAAATATGAATAATTGTTGAGCTGAAGACAATCACGAAAAAGCGAGTGCAGGAAAGCTCTCTGCCCTCCCTCTGTCTATCTGAAAGCAGGACTTAGATTTAGAAAGACAAAGGGCATCCTGGCTCCTTCTCTACCAGGGAGAGCAAAGGTTAACACTGAAGACAACTTTATACCCTCATCAGACTGGAGATGATAATACCAGAGGAATTGACATTAGCAAGCTTTCCTAACTTGCCTTTATCTGTGATTTATTTGCCTTCTTCCCAAGTTGCTGCCTATAGAAACTCAAAGTTCTTTTCCTTTCTCTTGTCACTTACCTAAAAACCTACTGTTCTTTGGCTGAGCGTGGTGGCTTACGCCTGTAATCCCAGCACTTTGGGAGGCCAAATCCAGTGGATCACTTGAGGTCAGGGGTTTGAGACCAGCCTGACTGACATGGTGAGACCCTGTCTCTTTCTAAAAACTCAAAATTAGCTGGGTGTGGTGGTGCACACCTGTAATCCAAGCTACTTGGGAGTCTGAGGCAGGAGAATTGCTTGAACCCTAGGAGGTGGAGGTTGTAGTGAGCTGGGATCACACCATTGCACTCCAGCCTGGGTGACAGAGTGAGGCGCTGTCTCAAAAAATAAATAAATAAATAAAATAAAATAAAATAAAAATGTACTGTTCTTTGTTGAAGATGCTATATAAGCTGGAATTCAAAGCCACCTCTTTGAGAACTATTCATTCCCTTGGTGTGCCACATGTATATGTAAAATATACATGTTAATGAATATCTCTTTGTTTTTCTCTTCATCTGTCTTTTCTAGCAGGGGTCCATTCCAACAAAGAACCAATGGGAGTTGTGGAAAAACTCCTACAATATGTTGGGCAATCAATCTTCACAACTTTTTTTATCTTGCAAAACTGGAACTCTATACCCATTAAGCAATTCCCCATTCCCCCTCCTCTCAGACTCAGGCAACCACTATTCTACTTTCTGTCTCTATGAACGTGACTACTCCAGAAACCTCATGTAAATGGAATTATGCAGTATTTGTCCTTTTGTGACTGGTTTATTTCATTTAGCATAATGTCTTCAAGGTTCCTCCAAGTTGTAGCATGTGCCCAAATGTACTTCCTTTTTAAGGCTGAAGAATGTTCTGTTGTATAAAAAGGTTTTTTTTTTTTTGTTTTTTTTTAAGCAAGAAAGTACTTATCATAAAAGTCAGGACTGTAGGAACCTCCATGTGGGGAGAAGGATGTGATTGAGAAATAACACACTGCGGGGCTAGCATTAGGGTAGTCACCCTGTGCCTGGCAGTGCCCTATTACTTAACTTGGGTTATATAAATATTTGCTGCTATGGACTGAATTGAATCCTCCTCTAAATCCACATGCTGAGACCCTAACTCCTCTAAATCCACTTGTTGTGACCATATTTGGAGACAGGGTCTTTAGAAGGTAATTAAAGTTAAATGAGGTCATAAGGACAGGGCCCTAATTTAATACAACTGGCTTTATAAGAGGAAAAAGAGATCTCCCTCTATCTCTTTACCATATGGGACACAGCAAGAGGGTGGCTGTCTGCAAGCCAAGAAGAGAGCCCTCACCAGAAGCCAAGTTGGCCAGCACCTTGATCTTGGACTTCTCAGCCTCCAGAAATTCAAGAAATAAATATCTGTTATTTAAGCTACCTACTCTGTGGTATTTTATATGGCAGCCTGGGCAGACGAATACATTCACTTTATGATTATTCATCATTATATAATTTATATTTTTTGTACCTTTCTGGGTATGTGTAATATTTTACCAAAAACAACTTAAGAAATCACTAGAGTTTTTTGTTTGTTTTTTCGAGACAGTTTTGCTCTTGCTGCCCAGGCTGGAGTACAATGGCGTGATCTTGGCTCACTGCAACCTCTGCCTCCTGGGTTCAAGGGATTCTCCTACCTCAGCCTCCCGAGTAGCTCAGATTACAGGTGCCCACCACCAGGCCCAGGTAATTTTTTGTATTTTTAATAGAGATGGGGTTTCGCTATGTTGGCCAGGCTGGTCTCGAACTCCTGACCTCATGATCCACCCACCTCGGCCTCCCAAAGTGCTGGGATTACAAGCTTGCGCCACTGTGCCCAGCCTACTAGAGATGTTTTTTATTGTTGTAAACAAATAATGCTTGAAGGACTCTTTCCCTGCCCACTTGTATAATGTAGTGGCTAAGAGTCAAAGCTTTGGAATCAGGCTGCCTGATGCAAGCCTGGTTCTTCCCTCCATTTAGTAGCTGGGTGCTTAGGCAAGTGACTGAAACTCTCGGCATTTCAATTGCCTCATTTAAAACAGTATCTGGTTCACAGTGAGTGCTCAATAAACTTTAGCTGTTACTAATATTATATTCAAATCATTTTAAATGCTGACCTAAAACTTTATTAAATAGTGTGTCCCAGGAATCAGCCCTTAAATCCAGGCCAGTCTAATAAAATTTTCACCCATTGGAAACAAAAGGAGGGAACAGAATGAGTTTTTCTATACAGCTATTTCTTTTTCTTTTTTCTTTTTTTTTAGACGAAGTCTCACTCTATTGCCCAGGCTGGAGTGCAACGGTGCGATCTCGGCTCGCTGCAACCTCTGCCTCCCAGGTTCAAGTGATTCTCCTGCCTCAGCCTTCTGAGTAGCTGGAATTACAGGTATGCACCACCATGCCTGGCTCATTTTTGTATTTTTAGTAGAGACGTGGTTTCACCATGTTGGCCAGGCTGGTGTCAAACTCCTGACCTGGGGATCTGCCCGCCTCGGCCCCACAAAGTGCTGGGATTACAGGCGTGAGCCACTGCGCCCGGCCTATACAGCTATTTCTATATCATTTTATTTGAGAATTATTTCCTATCTTTCAGAAAGTAAAATTTGTCCATTCTCTTAGGAAATGATGTTAATTATAGATGCTAATTGCTTTATTACTGTCTTTACTTAGCAAACCTAAAAATTGGCTATCATTTCTCCTCCCAATTTTAAATATTTTTTTGAAATGTTATTGCTCTGTAAAATTTTTTAAATCAGAGAATTACTGCCCTAAAACATTTCTTTGAAGGACTTAAGCTACTCTTTCTTCCCTCACCAGCTGGCCCACACATTCCCCTGCTCCGTCTCCCCTGCCTTTATAGTATAGCCCAAGACAGCTTGGATTAGAACTGTTGCTCTGCCAAGGATTTGTGTGCCTATCCGCAGCTGGGCAGAGAGGTTTCCTTAGAAAATGGCATCTTCAGGCCTATACTGTTTCTCCATGTCATTAGGCATTTCTCTCTGTGCCCTCTCCAGCAGCCACATGGAGCCTTGTCATCCTGGGGTTCCTGCCCTGCCCCATTGTTTCCATTGCCCTTTTTCATTCTTCTCCCTTTCAGAAGGGGGCTCTTCCCAGGTAGAATCTTCTCATTATCCTCTCCCTCCCTTTCTAGACTTGTGTGTGTGCTGTGGCCCTTAACAGGGTAAGGCCAAGGCAAAGGCCAGAGGCAGACATGGTGTATGACCAGGATCACACCCAGGGGCAGAAGCAGCACGAATTCTAAGTTGCCCCTCACAAACAGCCCAAAGAGCCTTTTTACGCTTGGGAACGCACAATAAGAAATGCAAATTAAAACTGCAATCTGATACCATATTTCATTATCAGACTGACAAAAAAGTTGGCAACACACTGTGCTGGCTAATGTGTGGAAAATAGACACTGTCATGTATTACTGCATTCTAGAAAAGTATTCCACTACCCGGCGCAGGGGCTCTCGTCTGTAATCCCAGCACTTTGGGAGGCCAATGTAGGCGGATCACCTGAGGTCAGGAGTTCAAGACCAGCCTGGCCAACATGGTGAAACTTCATCTCTACTAAAAATACAAAAAATTAGGCAGGCGTGGTGGCGGTTGCCTATAATCCCAGCTACTTGGGAGGCTGAGGCAGGAGTATTGCTTGAAACCAGGAGGCAGAGGTTGTAGTGAGCTAAGATTGTGCCACTGCACTCCAGCCTGGGCAACAAGAGTATAACTCCACCTCAAGAAAAAAAAAAAAAGAAAAGTGTTCTACAAATATATACTCACATGTGAAAAGACACATGTACGAGGTATTCTATTGTAGAATTGTTTATTACAGTAAGACTGTCATTAAATTATAACAAAATGTTATTATTATAGCAAAATGGTCTGTTGTTAAAAAGCTGACATTAATATGCCCATGAAAAGGAGTATTATGCCAATACTAATACTAAGTCCAAGATACACTATTAAATAAAAAAATCAGTGGGTGTGTTATAGTTACTCTTCGAAGTTTTACAAATTATATATGCATTTATAAATTTGCATATATAATCTATGTGTGCATTTATAAGTGTATATATATGTATATGTGTGTGTATATAAATATAAATCATAAATGCATTCTTGCATATGTATAGCATGCCCTTGGAAAGTTCCATAAGGAAATAATACTGGTGGTTGCTATGGGCAGAGAAAATGTGTGTGGAAGATGAGGATGGACAGGAAACTTCCCACTGCATGTTTTTTGAGGTTGTTGCACACATTGCCTACACAAAAATCCAAGTACAACAATTCAAAAGCAACTATCTTGTCAGCAGTTATAACTCCTTTTTCAGTGGAGGGGATCTTTTCTTCACAGTTCCCAGGAGAGAAGGGCCTCTCTGCCTGCCTGCTTTGATGACCTACTATTTTTCTCCTCAGTAGCACCAGGAGAAGAAAAGGGAAATAAAGAACAGTATTTCCAATCCTGGGGTGATGGGTCTTTTTATTGCCGCTGTTGTTTGTTTGCCTGTTTGTTTGTGTCTTGGGTAAGTATTAGAACTGAAGCCTTGCGTGTCAGAGCTGGAAACTTGGTTCTTGTGATGAGTTATTGGGGTTTGCTATGTAAACACAGAGGTGGGAATATAAAATGGTTCAGCAGCCATGGAGAACGGTACAGTGGTTTCTCAAAAAATTAAACATGGAATTACCATATGATCTAGCAACTCCACTTCTGGTTATATGACCCCAAAAAGAAAAACAAGTACTCAAGCAGATATGGGTATACCCATGTCTACGGCATTATTAGTCACAATAGCCAGAAGGCAGAAACAACCCAAATGTTCATTAATGCATGAATGACTAAATGAATGAATAAAATGTGGTATATACTTACAATGGAATGTTATTAAGCCTTAAGATGGGATGAAATTCTTCTACATGCTACAACATGGATGAACCTTGAGGACATTACGCTAAGTGAAATAAGTCAGACACAAAAGGACAAATAATGTATAATTCCACTTATATGAGGTACATAGAGTAGTCAAATTCATGGAGACAGAAAGTAGAATGGTGATTTTCAGGGGTTTAGGGCTGAGACCAATGGGGAGTTATTATTTAATGGGTACAGGACTTCATTTTGGAAAGATGAAAAATTTCTGGAGATGGATAGCAGTGATGGTTGCACAACAATGTCAATGTGCTTAATGCCACTGAACTGCACACTTAAACATGGTTAAAATGAGGCCAGGCATGATGTCTCATAACTGTAATCCCAGCACTTTGGGAGGCCGAGGGGGGAGGATTGCTTGAGACTAGGAGTTCGAGACCAGCCTGGGCAACATAGGGAGACCCCATCTCTACAAAAAATCAAAAACTTAGCCAAGTGTGGTAGCATGTGCCTGTAGTCCCAGGTACTCAGGAAGCTGAGGTGGGAGGACTGCTTGTGTTCAGGAGTTTGAAGCTGCAGTGAGCTGTGATTGTACCACTGCACTCCAGCTGGGGTGATAGAGAGAGATTCTATCTCAAAAAAACAAACAAACAAAAAAAAACAGGTTAAAATGATAAATTTTGTTATGTATATTTTACTACAGTGAAAATGAGTATTAATATTAAACAATTATAAATGAGTAGAGCAGAATGGTCAGAAGTCTTGATTCTGGATTAGATCTTTGTTCTAATTGAAGTTTGGGCCATTACTAGTTATATGACCTTGAACAAGTAACAATCTCCCTGAGCTACAGTTTCAATACTGGTAAAATTTAGAAAATAGTAACAACATAGTAGAGTTAGTAGAAATTTTTGTGATAATTGAGATAATGCAAATTCAATGTTTAGCTCAAGGCTAGTGCATAGTAAATGCTCATTAAATGCAAACAAACATAGGAAGGGAGGGAGGGAGGGAGGGAAAGATTTAGACTGCTAGCCTAGAGTTACTCAACATATTTCTGATTTGATATGAATGCTCTAATGGTTCAATACAAAATTCATTCAGAAATCTTCCACTGACTTCTTCAAAATGGAGCTCTGAGCACAGTCTTCTTTCTCCTTACAACAGGAAAACCCATTAAAATGAATTTATCAAAGAAGAAGGAAAATGAAAAGCCGAAAGAGAGGAGGGAAAGGAGGAGGAGGAGGAGGAGGAGGAGACAATTTCACAACAGCAAACAATGACCAAGAGAAGGGGAAGCAGGTCAACAGCAGATGACATTGCTCAGCAAGTTACTGGCACATGGGAAGTGGGTGCAAGGATACTGCCTATTGAAGCCAAGCAGAGGCTACTGCAGTCCTGATGTGGACGAAGGAGATTGCTGCTACAAAGGGTGCTGCTCTGCCTTGTGGAATTTCTGAGATGTTCTGGGATTGGGAGGTAGAATATACAGGGAAAAGTAGAGATTAATTGAAAGTCAGTTTGCCAAGTAGTAGGTTTCCTCTACTCCCTTCCTTATTCACTGCAAGTTCAATAATTTATGGCAGGGATCTATATTCCAGGCAAAAATTATCAGAGGGCTTTTCTTTAAAGAAAGTGAATAAAATATCAAGGAAACTTGAGTGTGTGTTGGTTGTTCAGAGCAACCTCTTCCTCCTTCTGGCATTCAATGTTCTCCGGGTAATGCCTAGATCTCAACCATACCCCAAAGCAAAAGCTACCCCCTTGATAAGCCTTCCCCACTCATAGTTTTGTTATTGCCTTTTCCTTAAATATGAGTGAACAAGAGAATCACAATATAATTGAGGCAAATCTGCAACATGAAAGACATACCCAAACAGGAAAACAGAATCTGGAGAACAACAGACCTTAAAAACATCAACAGCAACAAATACAAAACAAACACAAAATACAAACAAACAAAAACGTGACTGTTTTAAAACATGTCTACAAATTTTTCACATTCTTCCCATCGAGAAGTGGAATCTATGTCTCTTCGTAAATCTGGGCCAACGTTAATGACTCATCTGTAACCAACACAGTGAAGTTGACATTGCATGCCTTCTGAAGCTAGGTCAGAAAAAGGCATATAGCATCTATTTGGTTCTTGTGGGATACTTGCTGTCTTAGTTTGTGTTGCTATAAAGGAATATCTGAGGCTAGGTAATATTTTTTAAGAAAGAGGTTTATTTGGCTCAGAGTTCCACAGGCTGTACAAGAAGCATGGCATCAGCATCTGCTTCTGGTGAGGGTTTCAGGCTGCTTCTACTCATGGTGGATAGGAAAGGGGAGCTGGCATTTGCAAAGATCACATAGTGAGAGAGGAAGCAGGGGGTAGGGACCAGGCTTATTTGTTTATTTTTAAGAGATGGGGTCTTGCTGTGTTGCCCAGGCTGGAGTGAGCATATCTCACTGCAGCCTCCAACTCCTGGGCTCAAGTGATCCTCCTGCCTCAGCCTCCCAAGTAGCTAGAACTACAGGTGTGAGCCACCACTCCTGGCCAAGCTCTTTTAAACAACCAGCTATTGTTGGAAATAACAGAGTGAGAACTCACTCATTTCTCCTCCAGAGAGGGCATTAATCTATCCATGAGGATCTGCCCCCATGACCCAAACATCTCCTACTAGGTCACACTTCCAACACTGATGATCAAATTTCAACATGATGTTTGAAGTGTATCCAAACCATAGCATTCCACTCCTGATTCCCCAAAATTTCATGTCCTTATCACATACAAAATACAATAATTTCATCCCAATATTTCCCCAAAGTCTCAACCTGTTCCAGCGTTAACTCAAAAGTCCAAAGTCTTATATGAGACTCAAGGCAAGCTCCTTCCAGCTATAAGTGTGTGAAGTTGAACAAGTTATTTGCTGCCAAGATACAATGGAGGTACAGGCATTGAGGAAACATTTCCATCCCAAAAGGGAGATATCAGCCAAAAGAAAGGGCTAATAAGCCCCCACACAAATCTGCAATGCATCAGGGCAGATATAAAACCTTAAAGTTCCAGAATAATCTTTGACTCCATATCCTGCATCCTGAGTACACCAGTGTGAGGGATGGGTTCCCAAAGCCTTATGCAGCCATATCCCATGGCTTTGCTGGGCATAGCTCACATGGCTGCCCTCACAGATTGGAGTTGAATGCCTATGGCTTTTTCCAGGATGAAGTGGCATGCTGCCAGTGGCTCTATAATTCTGGGGTCTCCAGGGCAGTGGCTCTGCTGCCACAGCTCCACCAGGCAATGCACTAGTAGAGGCTCTCTGCAGTGGCTCCACCCCTGTGGCAGTCTTCTGCCCTGGCACTCAGGCTTTCCGATACATCTCTAAAATCTAGGTAGAAGCTGCCACACCTTTGCTAGTCTTGCATTCTGCATATTTGCAGACTTAACACCACATAGAAGATGCCAAGCCTTAAGGTTTGCGCTCTCCAGGGCAGTGGCCAGAGCAGTATCTGGGGCCATTTGACCCTGTGCTGCTACAATCAGAGCAGCTGGATGTGAGGAACAGCATCTTCAGGTGGCACCACAGGACAGTATTGTCCCAGGCCTGGCTCCCAAAACCAGTCTGTCCTCTGAGGCCTCTGGGATATGATAGGAGGGGCAGCACTGAAGATTTCTGAAATGTCTTAGGAGCCTTTTCCCCATTGTCTAGATTATTGGCACCTGGTTGCTGGGTGTGGCGGCTCATGCCTGTAATCCCAGCTCTTAGGGAGGTAGCAGTGGGAGGACAGTTTGAGCCCAGGTGTTTGAGACCTGCCCTGGCTCTGTAGTGAGACCTTAGTGTCCACAGAAAGGAAAAAAAAAAAAAAAAAAGGACACACACACACAACACAAAACTAAGTGTATTAGCACATGGCTCCTTTTTAGTCACACTAATCTCTTCATCAAGTGGTTGTTCCACAGCACCCTAAGATTCCTCACCTGAAAACACTCTTCTCTAACACATGGCTAGGCTATGAACTTTCCAGATTTTTATGTTCTGATTCCTTTTTAATTATAAATTCCACATTTAGGTCATTCTTTTGCTATTGTATCTGATCACAAGCTGTTAAAAGCGGTCATGCCACTTCTTGAATGCTTTGCAGCTTAGAAATTTTTTCCACCAGAGGCCGGGCGTGGTGGCTCACGCCTGTAATCCCAGCACTTTGGGAGGCCGAGGTGGGCGGATCACCTGAAGTCAGGAGTTCGAGACCAGCCTCAACATGGAGAAACCCCATCTCTACTAAAAATACAAAATTAGCTGGGCGTGGTGGTGCATGCCTGTAATCCCAGCTACTTGGGAGGCTGAGACAGGATAATTGCTTGAACCTGGAAGGCAGAGGTTGCGGTGAGCCGAGATTGCGCCATTGCATTCCAGCCTGGGCAACAGGAGCGAAACTTCGTCTCAAAAAAAAAAAAAAAAAAAGACATTTTTTCCACCAGATACCCTAGATCATGACTGTTAAGTCTGGCCTTCCACGAAGCCCTAGGACCTGGACACACAATCAAGTTCTTTGCTACAGTGTAACAAGGGTGACAATTGCTCCAGTTTCCAATAAGTTCTTCATTTCCATCTGTGAACTCTTTGGCATGGCCTTTACTGTCTGCATTTCTATCAGCATTTTGGTCACAGCCTCTTCATCAGTCTTTAAGAAGTTTCCAATTTTGCTTTGTCTTTTTGTCTTCTTGCCCTCCAAACTCTTCCAACCTCTGCCCATTACCCAGTTCCAAAACTGCTTCTACATTTTTGGGTATCTTTATAGCAACACCCCACTCCCCACTACCAAGTTGCTTTGTTCATTTGTGGTGCTGTAAAGAAATACCTCAGGCTCGTAATTTATTTAATAAAAAGAGTTTTTTTGGCTCATGGTTCTGCAGGCTTTACAAGAAGAATGGCACCAGTACCTGCATTTGTTGAGGGCCTCAAGTTGCTTTCATTCATTAAGAAAGGGAAAGAGGGGCTGCCATGTGCAGTGGTCAGGAAGGAAGCAGGAAAGAGAGGCTCTTTTAAACAACCAACTCTTATGCAAACTAACAGAATGAGAACTCACACCCTCAGCTCAGGGAGGGCGTTAATATATTCCATGAGGGATCTGCCCCATGGCCCAAACACCTCCCACTAGACCCCACCACCAACAATGGGGACCAAATTTTAACATGAGGTTTGGAGGGTCAAATATTCAAACTATAGAACTTGCCTGTGGAGTCCTGCACCACCATGTATGAGATTTGCTACTCTGGGGCCACAGTGTATTGAGGAAAGCCCAGACCACGTGGAGAGGCCATGTGCTGGTGCTCCTGTTAACAGCTGTGTTAGTTGGTTCAGTTGCTATAGCAAAATACCTTAGGCCAGGTAATTTATAAACAACAGAAATTTATTGTTCATGGTTCTAGGGGAAGGAAAGTCAAAAATCAAGGTACCAGCAGATTGGTGTATGCTGAGGCATCGTTCCTTATAAACGGTGCACTCTACATGTCCTCACATGGTGGAAGGGGCAAACAAGCTCCCTCAGGCCTCTTTTGTAAGGGCACTAATCTGATCTTATTCATGAGGGGGGCATTCTTGTGACCTAATTACCTCCCAAAGGCCCCACCTCTTAATACCAACACAATAGGGATTATGTTTCAGTATATGAATTTTGGGGGGACACTAACATTCGGACAATAGCAATGCTCCAGCTCAGACACCAGATATGTGAGTGAAGAAGCCTCTAGATGATTCTAGGCCCCTGCCATGGAATCGCATTGGGTCTTTGAGTCTTCCCAGCAGATGCCTCACATGTGCCAGAGCAGAGGCAGTCCATCCTCCTCCAAATCCTTGACTCACAGAATCTGTGAGTTGTATAATATGGTTGCTTGGGGATAGCTCGTTATGCAGCAATAGTAACTGGAGCAGTTCCCCCAGAGGGTTTTGAGAAGGTGGAATATATAGAAATCAAGAATGCTATTAAAAATAAACAAAGAACAAGAAGTGTCTTAAAAAATAGAATTAACATTGTTAAAATGAATAATTCAGTAGAAAGTTTGGAAGATAAAGATATGGAATTCTCACAGATGATAGAATTAAAAGGAACAAAAAGAAATATATAAAATATTTAAAATAAGATGTATGTGTAGAGGATCAATCTAGGAGTTTCAACATCTAACAGGAGTTCCAGAAAGAGACAATATTTTTAAAAATGAGGAGTGGAAATCAAAAAAGGAAAAATAAAGTTTATATAATAAGTGAAAAAACTATAAAAATTCAGACTCATAGTTATGAAATTTCATAACACCAAAGATAAAGAGAAAATTCTAAAAGTGTTTAGTGTTGGGGAGAATAGGCTACCTACAAAATGAACAAGACTCACACTGGCATCTAACTTCTCATCAGCAACAATGAAAGACTAGAAGTTTTTAGGGAAAATACTTTGACCCTTGAATTCGAGATGTAGCCAAACTGATAATAAAGTATGAGGGGGCAGGGCGCGGTGGCTTATGCCTGTAATCCCAACACTTCGGGAGGCCAAGGTAGATGGATCACCTGAGGTCAGGAGTTCAAGACTAGCCTGACCAAGATAGTGAAACCCCTTCTCTACTAAAAATACAAAATTAACTGGGCATGGTAGAGGATGCCTGTAATCCCAACTACTTCAGAGGCTGAGGCAGGAGAATCCCTTGAACCCAGGAAGCAGAGGTTGCAGTGAGCTGAGATTGTGCCATTGCACTCTAGCCTGGGGGACAAGAGCGAAACTCCATTTCAAAAAAAATTTTAAAAAGGCCGGGCGCAGTGGCTCATGCCTGTAATCCTAGCACTTTGGGAGGCCGAGGTGGGCAGATCACCTGAGGTCAGGAATTCAAAACCAGCCTGGCCAACATGGCAAAACCCTGTCTCTACTAAAAATACAAAAAAATTACCTGGTATGTTGGTGGGTGCCTGCAATCCCAGCTACTCAGGAGGCTGAGGCAGGAGAATTGCTTGAACCCGGGAAGTGGAGGTTGCAGTGAGCCAAGACTGTACCACTCTACTCCAGATTGGGTGAGAAAGCAAGACTCTGTCTCAAAAAAAAAAAAAAAAAAAAAAAAAAAAATTATTAAAAAAATTTTTTTAAAAGTATGATGGTAGAATGAAGATATTTTCCAGAATATTAAGAATAAGGAAATGTGGCTTTTCTTCATAAATTCCTTGAGAATATTTTCCAATAAAATGAGGGATTAATGCAAAAATGAGGAAGACATGGGCTCCAGGAAGCAGTGGATCCAGCCCCGGAGAGACTCCAGGGAACTCTCAGAATAATGACTGTGAAGCAAACCCAGACAGCAAGCAAACTCGATTGAAGCATTAGGAAGGAGAACACTAGGACAGGGGTCAGCTGGTGTCAGCCTGTGAGCCAAATTCAGCCTGCTGCCTGCTTCTGTATGACCTACCAGCAAAGAACGGTGGTTTTTTTTTTGTTTTTTTTTGTTTTTTTGAGACACGGTCTGCCTGTTACATCTTGGCTCATTGCAGCCTCAACCTCCCTGGCTCAAGCGATCCTCCTGCCTCAGCCCCCTGGGTAGCTGGGACTACAGGCACACACCACCACACCCGACTAAGTTTTGCATTTTTTGTAGAGACAGGGTTTCACCATGTTGGCCAGGCTAGTCTCGAACTCCTGGCCTCAAGTGATACACCCGCCTCAGCCTCCCAAAGTGCTGGGATTACAGGCATGAGCCATTATGGCTGGCCCTGAAGTTTTTAATGGTTGAAAAAAAATTTCAAGAAAAATAAGAGTATTTCATGATACACAAAAATTACATGAAATTCAAATTTCAGTGTCTATAAAGTCTTATTGGAACACAGCCATGCTCACTTGTTTACTGATTGTCTATGGCTAATTTCATGCTCCAGCAGCTGAGTAGCTGCTCAACCCTGTATGGTAAACTAAGCCTAACGTATTTACTATCTGGTTCTTCACAGGAAAAGTTTTTTGACCACTGCTCTAGGATAAAAGGGAACTCCATGTAATAGGTTGCATGATTAAAAACTTGGAAAAATTTGAGGATGTGATAAAAGCAAATAATGCATGAGTGGGAGGGGGAAAGGTAATTTAAAATGCCAAATACACACATATGTACAAATCCAACTGCTGTAGGGGAAAGTCATAGATAAAATATAAAGAAATTGATCCAAATCATGATGGGAAGGCAGCAAGCTTCGAGAAGAATGAAATACATTCTAAGGTATAGATAAAAGGAGGAAGAAGCTAGGAAATGTTTGAAATATGGTGAAGTAGGCATGTGTTTCTTCTTTACATAAAATAAAGGCTATTTAGAAACTCCAGGAGTAAAGCAAAAACTAAAATAAAACAAAAACTGTACCAAAAAGAAAAAACAAAGCTGGTTTAAATATAGAGCAGATGGATGGGTGTGAGTGAAAGACTTTTTACCATATAATATTTGTATTATTTTGGATTTTGAGCCATATAAATGCTTTGCCTATTCAAAAAACAATCTGAACCAACTTAAAGGTGGGATGGTTTTGAGAAAGAAGAAGCCACATGAACTTTTCACTATGAAATTTCCCTTTTGAGTGGTCCAAAGGATAGTGATATTGAAAAAATAGGCTTTCAGGGAAGAGTGATTTCATGGTTAGAATAATGCATTTGCTGTGTATTAGTAGTTGGCTTTTAGAATTAATTTATTAGAATCCATTAGAATCAATCAATCTTTCCCACTGCTCAGGTTACAACACTTATAGTCATTTTGACTCCTCTTTTTCTCATACTCCACATCCAATTGGTCAGGAAATACCATCAGCTTTAACTGCTTTTGTTTGTTTGAAGCAGAGTCTCACTCTCTTGCCCAGGCCGAAGTGCAACAGTGCGAACTCGGCTCACTACAACCTCTACCTCCAGGGTTCAAGTGATTCTCCTGCTTCAGCCTCCTGAGTAGCTGGGACTACAAGTGTGCGCCACCATGCCCAGCTAATTTTTGTATTTTTAGAAGAGATGGGGTCTCACCATGTTTTCCAGGCTGGTCTTGAACTCCTGACCTCAAGTGATCCGCTCGCCTGGGCCTCCCAAACTGCTGGGATTACAGGCATGAGCCACTATGCCTGGCCTTTTTTTTTTTTTTTTTTTTTTTGAGACAGGGTCTCACTCTTTTGCCCAGGCTAGAGTGCAGTGGTGCGATCCCAGCTCACGGCAACCTCCCCTTCTCAAGTTCAAGCAATTCTCCTTCTTCAGCCACCTGAATAACTGGGATTACAAATGCACGCCACCACACCTGGCTAATTTTTGTATTTTCAGTAGAGACAGGGTTTCACCATGTTGGTCAGGCTGCTCTCAAATTCCTGACCCCAAGTGATCCGTCTGCTTTGGCCTCCCAAAGTGCTGAAATTACAGGTGTGAGCCACCACACCCGGCCTCACTTTAACTTCTGAATATATCCAGAATCCATTCATTTCTTTCCACCTCCATGGCTATCCCTGACTTCATGCCATTGTCATATTTCACCGGGATTTTTGTAGTAGCGTTCTCAAAGGTCTCCACCTATGGTCCACAACAGTCTCTTCTCGGCACAGCAACCCAAGTGGCCCTGTTAAAATGCAGTATATCCTGTCACCCAGATGGCCACATGGCTCCACTCAAGCTGCACCCATGTGGTACACACATATACACACCACATTCACATATGTTCTCCAGTACCCCTCCAACTTCACCTCCTGTTACTCTCCCTCAACCTCACTACATTTCCTTTCAGCTTCTTCAACTAACTAGGCCTGCCCCCCGGCTCAGGCCATTATACTTCCTACTCCTTCTGCCCCCAGACACCCAAATGGCTCATTCCCTCACTTCCTTCAGGCCACTGTGACTGGGTGTGTGTACAGCTGTGTTCTCATGTGAGTCCTTTCCCTTTCCCTACTTTGGTTTCTTCCTTAGGATGTATTGTCATCTAACACAATAGAGATTTGACCTACTTTTCTCCAACTAGAGGGAAAAGGCTCCGTGAAGGATGCTTGTCTATTGCATTCACTTCTGTATCCTCAGTGCCTAAAACAGTGCTGGGCACATAGTAGGTGCTCAATAAATACCTATCAAATGAATGAATGAATGAATGAATCAGCAAATCACTGAAGACAATCTAGTTGCAGGACAGAATGAATATGTTACCCAAACTTGAGAATGTTAATCTTACCAATCTTGGCCAAGATAGGGGAATGGAAGAGGTGGAGGTAGAGAAAAGGAGGGAAAAGTTGGGCATAATTAACCTCATGTTAAAACAAGGAGGTCACAAACTACTATCTAAGTGGAACAACAAATGGAAGCCTAAGTGCATTGTTTGAAACTGAAGATGCAGCCAGGGGGGAAACTGAGAATCGTGAGGAGGGGTATGGAACAGTGGGATGAAGGCAGGGCATATAAGAGAGCTGAGTCTTCTGACACGACAAGGAGTCAACAGGCAACACCTGAGGCTCCTGAATGCCAAACAGTAGTATAAGCACAATTAGAGACATAGGCATCACCACTTGAAGAACGAATCTGAGGGGTGGACAATTTCTTAGCCAGATGCAAATACTACTTTTACAAAATCAAATTTCTGGAGTGTTTTCCCTGAGCACCTTATTGCAGGCCATTCCCACCCTGGGTGTGAGGAAAGACATCACTGCTCCTTTTGGGGACCTTTTGGAGCACAGGCTAAACAATGACACCTGAGAAAAAGAACAACTAAGACCACACATCAGTGGCAGCTGCAGTATGGGATGAGTGACCAACTAAGGCATTCATGGGAAGCATGTGTTAACCCAGGCCTCACATTCTGACTGCAAAGCTGTCAAGGAGAACTCCCTGATCTCTCCATCTGCCTCTCAGGAAGGCCAGATGCTGCCCTCTATCCTTTCTGTAGCCCCTTTCCATTCCCACTGAGGCTGCAAAAGTTGATTTGTACTTAGTAGCTTGGTAGAATATATTTGATTTGGACAGGCATGGTGGCTCACACCTGTAATTCCAACACTTTAGGAGGCCAAGGTTAGAGGATCACTTGAGGCCAGGAGTTCGAGACCAGCCTGGACAACATAACAAGACCCCCATCTCTACAAAATAAAATAAAATAATTAGCCAGTCATGGTGGTAGGCACCTTTGGTCCCAGCTACTCGAGAGGCTGAGGTGGGAAGATCCCTTATGCCTAGGAGTTTGGGGCGGCAGTGAGCTGTGATTGTGTCACTGCACTCCAGCCTGCATGACAGAGTGAGACTCTTAAATGTATATATAAATATATATATAGTTAAATATAATATATATATTTAAATAGAATATCAGAATCTCAGAAAGAAAACCATAGGTGTGATCTGTACCCATCAGTGACAGGTGGTGCTTGCAAAGTGAGAAATAGTTCCTGGAAGGCAAGCCAGTCCTAAGATAACAGATGATTATTTATTTTAATTTTAGGTGTCAAAATGTCCCTTTGACCAAAAACCTGTCTCTCCAGTGGTTGTACCAGGATAATCAATATTACTATTATTCAAGGTACTGCTATAACTCCTCCTCTTCCTCTTAATGTAGAGGTTCTGAATTTTAACAAAAGGCTTATGTGTTAAAGCAATGTCTATGCTTTATTTTCTTTTAATACAATAAAACCAGATTCTGGACACAACTCACAGTGGGCAAGCATTAGCACTGGAGACCTCTCTCCTGGCTGGAAACATGGTCCTATGAGCTGCAGTGGCTTCTGCTTCTATGCTAGGTACAGGACCTTTATCAGTATGAGGACCCTGATACCTGGGGCCCAGCCTCCTTTTCGGTACTACCCAGTAACCCCCTCCTCCTTTCCTGCCTTGCTCCTCCTCAAGGTTAGCCAGCAACAGTGCACAAGACCCTTTGTTCTCCCATCGCTGAAACATCTAACCTTTGATAGCTTGACTTCATCTTAATTCTGGAAGAAATTACTCCCCACCCTCCTTGTCTTATTGCCATTAAAGGCACTTTGCAGTCTCTTCAGTTAATTAAGAATGTTACAAAAGACAGGAAGAGCTCTTGTCCTACAACTGCTTCTGCTTTTCATCCTTCTTTCTCTACAAGTTTTCTGTCTCAGCTCTCTTCTCTTCTTTCAGAAATCTCTTGAAAACTCTCTGTGGGCAACCGGCCCCTCCTAGTCTCTTTTTTTCTTTTCTTTTTGTAACAACATGTTTTATTTCAGTGGGGTTTGGGAGGAATTAGAAGCAAACTTGGTACTTATTCCACCATCAAGAATTTTTATTTGTTGAGGCCAGGTGCAGTGGCTCATGCCTGCAATCCCAGCACTTTGGGAGGCCGAGGCAGGCAGATCACTTGAGGTCAGGAGCTCGAGACCAGCCTGGCCAACATGGTGAAAACCCATCTCTACTAAAAAAAGATACAAAAATTAGCCAGGCGTGGTGGCGGGCACCTGTAATCCCCACTACTGGGGAGACTGAGGCATGAGAATCGCTTGAACCTGGGAGGTTGCAGTGAGCCAAGATTGCGCCATTGCACTCCAGCCTGGGGAGACAGAACAATAATGTCTCAAACAAACAAACAAACAAAAAAAAACTTATTCTTTTTGTTGAAAGGATTTCTTTACAAAAGATTTACAGCCAGGATTCTTTGTAGCAGTCCACTATGTATGCCATATATATGCACAAACAGAAGGTAAATATTAGAAAGTTGAATCATCTTATATGTTATAAGGGAAGGTCTGTTTACGGAAAGCCAGAAAAATGATAAAATGCTTAATTACATCTCTTTCTTCAGATACAGTCTCCAAATTATTTCCAGCTTTCATGCATGTTCTTTAATTTTGTTCTTCCCATTCAAATACAAAATATACTGGCTTAAGTTCAATGAACATTAGACTGAAACCAAAAATATATTGCTTTTAGCATTTCTAATACTTTCCATCTTTTCTCCATTATGCTGATTTTAAAATCTTTGTTTCTTGTCATTTTTCCCCCTTTTAGTACTCATTTTTATAAAATAAGAGCAAAATGCAAAAAAAGGTATTTAAATAATTGCAAAACAATGCTGGACAAGCAAAGACAGAGACGCAGCCAGACTTGAGACATTGATAGGCTAGCAGTGCATGCAGAAATGTAAATGCTTATTCACCAGCTAACAAGGGAAGGTTTGAATTTAATGTACCATACAGGTGGTGTAGGAGTATCAGTGTAAAAGGTATCAAAGGGTAGATTGTACAAAAGTTGACTGTCCCAAACTCAAGGCCAGCTTAAATATTCTGAATCATAGAAATATTTAAGTAATTACTTGACATATATGATAGAGTTTTAAGGAGATATGCGCAAAATGAATTAATTGAAAATATTAAGATATACCTTCTATTGAAAATGCCTTTTCAAAAGTGTGACAGTTAGAGAAATCTTACATGGCTAAATCCATCTTGTCTCTAGCCTCACAAGTTGGCTGTCTTTCCTCATTCGTGAGCATGGGTCAAGCTAACTTTGAGAGAAGTTTAGTTTATAGTTTAAATCATAATAGCCTTTTCCCAAAACTAAACTGTTTTTGTAAAATTAATGAAAGTCCACCAAGTTAGGAGGGTGAGAGGGGCTTGAATCCTAAATAACTACCAGCTATTATTCCGGAGGTCTTAAAATTTGCAACTTCCCCAATTACTCTTGCAGATAACATCATCCTTGTAAAATCTGAGATTGGTCTTTTGAGATGTCTTTTCAGGTTTTTGCATTTCTGACAATCTGATGCCCCCTTCCCCATCCCAACCCACCAATCAGTCCTGTGGTCCCCACCCAGGAACTGATTCAGCACAAGAGAACAGCTTCAATTTTCTATGATTTCATCTCTGACCCAACCAATCAGCATGCCCCCATCCTAGCACCCTGCCCACCAAACTATCTTTGAAAAACCCCTAACCTCCAAGACTTCAGAAAGATTGGTTTGAGTGATAACTTTGTCTCCCTTGTGGAGTGGCCAGCCTTGTGTCAATTAAACACTTTCTTTACGGTAATGCCATAGTCTCAGTGAGTTGAATTTGTTTGTGCAGCGGGCAGGAAGTTACACCATTAAACATTTATTGAGAATGAGGAAAATACCACTCTAAAATTATAATATAGTTTGTTAAGCACATGACCTTGCACCCAGTAGGTGCTCAATAAATATTTGCTGTAACTGATTTACTCCAAAGAGGTTATTTAGTGTACCCAGAACTTTTGAGAAACCTGCCACAATGTCCAGTCCATTGGCAAAGTGCCTCATTACACCCTCCTCCCTTTTGGAATTACTGATAGAACAGACTCTTTAAGTCTGATAAGAAAGCCTGCTACCTGGAGGCTTCATCTGCATGATAAAAGCTTGGTCTCCACAATCCCTTATTGTAACCCAGACATTCCTTTCTATTGATAATAACTCAACCAATTGCCAATGAGAAAATCTTTGAATTGGCCTGTGACTTGGAAGCCCCCGCTTCCAGTTGTTCTGCCTTTCTGGACTGAACCAATGTACATCTTACCTGTATTAATTGATGCCTTATGTCTCTCTAAAATGTACAAAACCAAGTTGTGGCCCAACTACCTTGGGCATGTGTTCTCAGGATCTCCTGAGGGCCGTGGCATAGGCCACTGGTCGCTCATATTTGGCTCAGAATAAATATCTTCAAACATTTTACAGAGTTTGACTCTTTTCATTGATAGGCTCTTCTTTGTGAGGAGAGAGCAGTTTCTGCCACATAGACAAAATGGCACCCAGGCCAGGACTGGCAGCCACCACTGGAAGCTTCCCGCTGGCAATGGCACCAACTGGTTATTAGTATAGAGACTGCCTCTATAAATGTGGGGCTTCGGTACCCTTGAGGATGGCTTTCGAACATGAAAAGCTCACACAAAAATTACTTTATTTTTAAAAATTCATATTCAAGTTATTAAAGTTACAAAATAAAAAACCTAGTTATTAAATTTTCACATTCAGATTATGGATTATAATATTCAGTGTAAGACTCGGGCAAATTTTAATAATCACTCTGAAAACGTCTTTGATTGCAATGTTTTATATTATTTACAAACTTGGTAAATTAAACTCCTTTAAATATTTCAAATGCATTTATACATTAATGTATTTTCTTTTAAAAGCTGTAATTCTTTCACTAAAAAATAGACCTTCCCAAGACTTAAGTCTTACAAATTTTATAACAAATTAAACTTACGGTGAATCTTATCTTTTTTTGACTGTTACAATAACAGTCAGTTAACAGTCAAATGACAGTCAATTAACAAACACTAAAATTTCAACCTAAAATTACACATCTAAATTATTCCTTAGTTGTATATTTTTATTAGACCCATAAGGTTAATCTGTGAAATACTCTGAAGTCCCTAATTCTCTTAAACATGATTAGTACTTAAAATACCAAATGTACATATTATTTCTAATATTTTAATTAGCTATATATCTATACATAATTATAAATCTCTATTTCTAATCTACTAAAGAAACAAATATCCTAAACAATTTTGGGCTTCCCTTCCCTGTAAATTTTAGGAGAGTTTTTCATGGACTAGAGATAGTGGCTAAGGTTTGAGAGCTAGAGCTACAGGCTCCAGGATGATTTTTCTCATGGCCCCAACTGACATTCAGAGCCTCTTTGCCTAGTCCTATATCTAAACCTTCAAGAAGGTTACATATTACCTAATTCTCCAATCTACCCGGAAAGTCTGTTGCATTTTGCATTTTTTTCAGTTCTTCAGATATTTAGATGTCTTGCTGGCAAGTCTAAAGACCTTTGGACTTCATTGACTTATTTTCCTGTGTTTCCAATCTGACGGAGTCACATTTTATACAATTTATTAAAATAATATCTGATTGAATTCTGGCTCTATCTCAAGGTTTGGTCTGACTGTGTGGTTATAATTTCCAATGACATTCTACAGACCACCTCCAGGAAAAGAAAACAAAGAGTCAGAGAATAGTACTACAAAGACACCAGTAGGAAAAAGAGGAGTCCAAAGGCTGTATGTAATCATGCAGGATCTGAAATTTTTGTTTAATTTTCACCAAACATGAAAATTAGATCTAATGTATATCTTGGATTGGATCTTAGATGGGAGCAGAGAGCGGGGGGGTAAAGTGATGGAGGTTGAGAGATATTGGCATAAAGAACATGAGGACACTAGCAAATTCTTAATACAGATTGTATGTTAGATAGTAGTATTATAATGATGTTAAATTGTTTTAATTAGATACTTTTATTGTGCTTAATAGGAAAATGTTCTTGTTCTTAGGAAATGCACACTGAAGCATTTGGGGGTAAAACTGTAGTTGCCCTTTCAGTTCTTCCTGCCCACTGCACAGACAAAACCAACACACTGAGACCATGATATTGTGGTAAAGAAAGAGTTTAAACCTAGGTTAGCTGCATGGAAGACAGAGTTTATTACTCAAATCAGTCTCCTCAAGAACTCAGATGCTAGGTTTTTTATGGATAATTTAGTGGGCAGGGGGCTAGAGAGTAGGTGCTGCTGATTCGTTGGGGATGAAATCATAGAGGTGTGGAAAACGGCCCATGTGCACTGAGTCTGCCTCTGGGTGAGGGCCACAGCACCAGTGGAGTCATGAGTCACGGGTCTGGGTGGGGTCAGTGGGTTGCCAGAATGCAAAAATCTAAAATACATATCAAAAGGTCAATCTTAGGTTCTACAATAGTGAAGTTATCTATAGAGGCAATTGAGGAAGTCACAAATCTTGTGACCTCTGGCCACATGACTTCTGGGAAGTAAGGGTTTATAGAAATTATGCCTACATTTTAGCAGAATTTGGGCCCCTCTCATAATCCTAATCCTGCGGCTTTTCATTAGTTTTACAAAGGTGGGTTTCGGTCCCTGAACAAGGAGTGGGTTAGTTTTAGGGAGAGACTATTATCATCTTTGCTTCAAAGTTAAATTATAAATAAAATTCTTCCTATGGTTAGCTTGGCCTATGCCCAGAAATGGGTGAGGACAGCCAGCCTGAGAGGCTAGAAGCAGGATGGAGTCAGCCATGCTAGACTTCTCTCACTGTCATCATCTTTGCAAAGGTGGTTTCAAAAGAGCATTATGCACAACTCTCAAGTGGTTCAGGAAAAATGATGCATACATATGGAAATAGTGGTGAAGCAAATGTGGCAAAACATTAATAGTTGCTCAGTTTATACAATTTATAGAACTGACCGAGAGGATAAGAGCTAATTTTTATTTCTCCACTATTGTGTTAAAGATAACTCTCTAGCAGGGTAAGTCAAACAAATATTTGAATGAAGCATTAATGATTCTATCACCTGAATACCAGACATCAGCTAGAATCCCCATCTAGAGGTTTTCAACTTTTTTTTTTGTAACCCCTAATGTACAATATTAGGACTCAGCACAAATTTACACAGAGAGAAGTGGCAGAAAGCTCATAATTCCCAGGCCTTCATCTATCCACAGAGAGGCTTGCAATGGTGGCACAGCTGGACCACATACCCTGGGTCAGTTTCCAGCAGAGAATCTTCTCCCTTTCCCCAGCCCCTCCAAGCTCAATCCTCTATCTGTTTATAGGGACAAGGGTCAGGGAACATTTCTGTGAGTATGTAACAATGGAAGTTCCCTGGTAGAGAAGTGGCCGTGTGAGAAAAGAGCTCTAGGCCAGCTGCGGTGGCTCATGCCTGTAATCCCAGCACTTTGGGAGGCTGATGCAGGTGGATCACTTGAGGTCAGGAGTTCAAGACCAGCTTGGCCAACATGGTGAAACCCCGTCTCTACTAAAAATACAAAAATTAGCCAGGCATGGTGGCATGCACATGTAATCCTAGCTACTTGGGAGGGAGATAGGAGAATCACTTAAACCCAGGAGGTGGAGGTTGCAGTGGGCTGAGATGGCGCCACCGCACTCCAGTCTGGGCAACAGAGTGAGACTCCATCTCAAAAAAAAAAAAAAAAAAAAAAAAAGAGAGAGAGAGAGAGAAAGAGAGAAAGGAGTTCTAGAGCTTAGCACTTAATCGCAGTCTGCTTTTCCACCAAGTTAATTCAGACCTGCTGAGCCTATTGTCTCCTCAGTTACCAAAATTGGAAAGAAGTCAGTCTCCAGGGCTGTCTGGATTTCTCTTTGCTCACATAATGCACAGCTAAAGGCTGTGTTTTCTGATACCATTTGTATCTTGGTGTAGCCATACAACTGAGCTGAAGTGATTGATTTTGAGCAGAAGTGACATTTACCCCCTGATGTCTTTCAAAGGAAGCTGCTTGCCCCCATCTTGGTTTCTATTCCTATGCATACAATGGAATAGAGATGCGGTGACCATGAGCTAGCTTCAACTAAGCGGATGAGGACAATACCCAGAAGAAAGAGGAGCAAGCAGATAGAAAGGACCTGGGTGTCTGCATGGCTGCATGAAACAGAGATGCTTACAAGCTCAGACTCGCATGGAAGTGAAATTAATCTATCATTATCTAAGTCTCCACTATTGGGTCTCTGTTAAAGCATTAAATCAATATCCTAACTGATATGATACATGTACACATTACTGAAAGAAAAGTTTCATAAAAAATTATCTATTCTCGTAATTTGAAATGCCTCTGACATTTTCTATTCTAGTCTATCTCTTTTTTAAAAAATACTGATCTCAGCTGGGTGCAGTGGTTCACACCAGTAACCCCAGCACTTTGGGAGGCTGAGGCGGGCAGATCACTTGAGGACAGAAGTTGGAGACCAGGCTGGCCAACATAGCAAAATGTCATCTCTATTAAAAATACAAAAATTAGCTGGGTGTCATAGCACATGCCTGTAATCCCAGCTATTCTGGAGACTGAGGCACGAGAATCACTTAAACCCAGTAGGCAGAGGTTACAGCGAGCCGAGATCACATCACTGCACTCCAGCCTGAGTGACAGAGCAAGACTTTGTCACAAAAAATAAAAAATGCTGATCTCAATTTATTTTATTTTATTTTGTTATTATTTTTTTGAGACGGAGTCTTGCTCTGTCGCCCAGGCTGGAGTGCAATGGCGTGATCTTGGCTCATTGCAACCTCTGCCTCCCAGGTGCAAGTGATTCTTCTGCCTCAGCCTCCCGAGTAGTTAAGATTACAGGTGCATGCCACCACGCCCGGCTAATTTTTGTATTTTCAGTAGAGGCGGGGTTTCACCATGTTGGCCAGGCTGGTCTCAAAATCCTGACCTCAGGTGATCCACCTGCCTTAGCCTCCCAAAGTGCTGGGATTACAGGCTTGAGCCACCTTGCCCGGCCCTCAATTTATTAAATTGATTTCATTACCCACTAATGAGTGTAAAGACCATGAAGTTGAGTGACATAAAATTGCTGGTTTTATATTTTAGAAATACTCAAATATTGACAATTTCACACAGTTGAATCAAATCAATGTCTATGAATCAGACAAATAGCTCTTGCATTCTACAAGTTTATAGTCTCAACTGGACAATAACAACAAGTTAATGAATGTGTCCACATAAGTGATTCAACAATTCCTAGGCAGTGGACCTATATGTGTCATGTATACTTACACATACAGACTGGTGTGCACACACAGGGGAAGAAGTTTGTTGGTATAAGAGTGTTCATTATCCAGAGGTTGCTTGGTAAAGCAAAAGTAATCAAAACCTGGAAATAGTCACTAATACAGTGACCACTTATAAAATTAGTTCCTATTCCAAACAGCCTTCCTTTTGTACTAATAATGCCTAACCTTTCTTGGTCAGTATCTCACATGTTGTTAGATACAGATTTGACAATACATTGCAAATATGATGGAAATCAATGGCAAAGTGAAGTGGCAATCTTATAGATGATACAAAACTCCATCAACTGAAATAAAATGAAAAACAACTACCTGAAACACAAGCAAAGCCACTGTTAAAGCAAGTAGCAATTGATACAATCCACAAAGATAGTAACAAAATAAGCCTTTTAAAATATAACAGAAATCCTTGGAATACTACTGAGGAATAAAAAGAAATGAGCTACAAAAGCTCAACAACATAGATATATCTCACATACATTATGCTCAGTGAATGAAGCCTAACACAAGAAAGCTATATTTTGCATGAATCCATTTATTTGCAATTTGCAATTCAAGAATAGGAAAAATTAACCTATGGTGATAGGAATCAGATCAATGATTGCTTGGTGCTGACTGAGAAGGTGCAACAAGAAGCTTCCTGGAATGATGGAAGTGTTCTGTCTCAATATGAATTCCTGAAAACCGATTGAATGGTATATTTAAGATCTGAGCATTTCACTGTATATAAATTATATCTCAATTAAAATTTTGTTTATTTTTAGCATATACCAAGAGAGAAAGAGAAGTACTTAGAAAAATTGATAAAACTTCAAATATTTTTGCAAAAGATAACCCTTTTTCATGGTTATACTGTGAAAGTCGAACAGAAATTGGTCTAAGTTATATCACACCATCAAACAATTTTCTGACAAAAATTTTGTCAGGAACACACTCTTCCAAATAAGAAACACTTGGTTCATTCTTTGCTCTAATAATTACAATAATTATAATTATAAATGACATTTTATGAAATGTATATTAAGATACACTTAAAATTTTTCTCTTTTTAAAGATAAATTCTCAATCAAATTTTGATGCTTATCTTAAGTAGATTCAACTTAGATTCGGGTATTCAACAAATATTTATTGAGAGCTTACAATGTACCAGGCATTGTTCTAAATGCTTGCGATGTATCAGTGAACAAAACAGACAAGGAGCCCTGCCAGTGTGGAGCATACATTCTCACAGGGGAACAAACAACATACATTCTCACAGGAGAAACAAACAACATAAAATAGTTGTGTAAAATAAGAAAACAGAGGGGAATGAGAGGGATGGGAGTGTGATGTGGGCAGGCACTGAGATTTCAGGAATGGCTTGAGTGAAATGAGGTTAGGAAAGTGACTGTCTGGGGGAGGCATATTCTAGGCAGGGGGAACAGCTAGAGCCAAAGCCCTGAGATGAGAGTGTGCTTGGCATGTTCAAGAAATAGAAAGGAGGCCAGCATGGCTGGAGCAGGGAGAGCTTCCAGGGCAAACAGGAGAAGGGTCCGAGAGGGACCAGAGGCCACATTATGTGAGGATTTTTTGGCCTTTTCCAGGTATGAGTTCCTCAAACTTCCTATCCAATTAGCCTTGGGAGATGGGTGTGTGTGTGCGTGTGTGGGCGCACGTGTGCATGTGTGCAAATCCCTTTCCCTTCTCGTTAGATACATTACCTTGATGTCCTGCAGTCACCTCAAAGCAATGTGTGTGAAACAGAATTCTCCAACATTAAGGACTGTCCTTCCTTCTCTACTTTCCCTCTCTGTTAAGAGCATAAACTTCTACCTAACTAAACAAGCTAGAATCTTTCTTCTCTCTCACTCCCCAGAGTCCTGCCAATTCTTCCTGCACCTGACTCCTGAACTCACCTGCTCTTCCCCATCCCCACTGCCTCTGCCACTGTCATCTCCTGCCTGGTCTCCTGCCACAACGTTTTACAGCCATCTGCCCCCAGTTTCTCCCATCTCAGCTGTCAGACTAACCTCTCCCAAACCTCAGTTTGATTCCATAACTCCTCTGCTTAAAATCCTTTGTGGCTCCTCATGGCCATGAGACAAAGCCCTCACTCATTAGGGTGGCTCCCAGGCCCTTCTCCATCTGACTCCTGACCACCTTTGTGGTCTCATCTCCATCATCCCAGACACCAGCCACCCTAGACAATCACCATCTCGGGGAAACACTTTGCATTTTTATGCCTTCGTGGATGCTATTTCTAAATCTTGAAAACCCCCCTAACCCCTGTGATCATTTGTGCATCCTTCAAGATCAGGCTCAAGGGAGTGACACTGTGACTCCATCCCCTCCCCTGACCTTCCTAGCCAGTTAGTCCACGCCACCAGCACACTTGCACATGCCTCTGTTCTTGCCCTTACTATTGTGAGTGTAACCACATTTCACCACTGTATGCCCTCCCCTGCTAATACAGGCCTCAAGCCTTTGCTGCCTCCCTGCGTGTTCCTATTACACCACACCCATATTTCTAGCACTCCCCAGGAGCTCAAACCAAGCTCAAGTCCAGCTGATGCCACTGAGGGTCTGAGGTTTGTTTTATTCCACTTTTCCTGCTGCAATGAGTACAATCCTTCCATGAGCACAATCATGTACGTGTGGGGTGGCAGAATTGGGACTTGAACAAATTCCCACGTCTTGAGTTCTACTCTCAAGATGCAGATGTAGATCTATATTTATGTATGCATTTATGTATATTCAAAGTTAAAAAAACTCTTGATACATATGCTGCATAGATATGTATAAATATATATTAATGTATTCTAGAGGGATTCTATAGCTTACATGTGTGTATACCCACATATATAAAAGGAAAGTTCCATCCTTAGAAGGTTGTTTATATATGATAACACTTCTGCCAATAGATATTTACATTGTTATCACTGCATTAATATGTAACTACATATTTATTGCCATATGAATATACCATAATTTTGGGATCTCAGTCACTACTACTAATCAGTGACTACTAATATATCTAGATACATAAGTATAATTTTAGAGTTCCAGTAATAACTAGTAATCTAAAAATTGCCAATCATTCTATCTCTAGACACCCAGTATCCAAAGGAAAATTTGCTTTTCAAACAAATGGTGTTTCTGTCTCCCCAGTGGAACAGAAATTTCTCTCATTGTCTCAGCAGACTCAGATCCCCTGTTCAGCTCCTTTCTTTGAAGGGATGACAGCCGTGCTCACTAGTGGGGAGATCTTTTGCTTATTTCCCCTGGGGTCCTAAGAGATAAGAGGTCATGCCAGTGCTGGGCCAGTTTCCTGCAAGGCTCCACAGTATCCAGGAGGGGCCTCCGGGAGGAGGGCAGCGGCCTGAGGCACCTCCTCACACCTCCACTTCTGCTGTTGTCAGAGAGCTTCCTGGCTTCCTTTTGTGATCAGCTGGTCCTGGAAAGGCTGCAGCAGATGGCTGATTACCATAATGCGCAGAGCTTTAGAGGGTCCTGGGTGCAAACCCAGGCGTGACCAAGCCAAGAGCAGCTGCATCTAATGTGGCATGTGGAGCCAACATTAGGCTTTACCCACACACCCATTCCGACCTTTCCAATGAGAAGCCGATGGCGCAGTTCAGAACAGATGGCCAAGAGAAACACTAGGGAAAAGCCCTCCCAACCAGCTGTAGTGTCCCTTTTCCAGCCTCCTAACCTAACAGCTTCAGAGCTGACATGAAGCTCATTATCTCCATTGTGTCTTTCTCCATGGCGTTTATTCTCAGGGCAAGCACAAGCCCTGATAGTTCCATTCTTAGCAGTCCTAGCTATTGGGAAACTTGGTTTCTAAACCAAACAATGCTTGCAGCGGGCAAAAGTCTGCCACACCCTACCTGGCACCTGACCTTGGCAATCATCTCTCTCCACAGGTAAACTCCAGGACCCCCACCAGCTGAATTGGCCCTCCTGGTTGTCACTAAAATGACTTTGAACTTGGAGGGATGAAAGAAGCTCTTGCCCATACTCAGGATTTAACATCAAATCATATTAGCTGCTCAGCTGGTGTTTAGAGCTGAAAAAGAAATATATTATTGTAGCAGAGTAAATAATTGTTTTTAGAAAATCAGGATTCCTTTTAAAGACGAAACCAAATTTTTGCTTAGGATAACCCCTTGATATTTGTCAGTGGGTGGTCTGGATAAAATTACAAAGAAGGCCCACATACTATAGTTATAAGTATTTAAATGTATAAATAAGTTAACAAACGGTTAAAATTCTTAACAACCTCAAAGGCCAGGTTTGAATTTCAACTGCATGAACTCCTCAGAGTTCTGAGTCAGAACATGGTGTCCTGCGGGGAGCTCCTGGCCCTGGAATCCCCGCCTCCCTGCTTTCTTCCCCAATTCCAACCCACACAGAGGGAGCCTCTTGCACACATGTGAGGACACCCCGTCCTTCACAGCCAAGCTCTGAACACACTTCTGCCCACTGCAGCCACTTGGCTTAGGAGGCTGCACACAGGCACCAAGGATTGGGAAAGAGGGTAGACCAGGCCCTGGCAGTAGGCCCAGACCATTCTAGCAGGAAAGTGTGGGGTCCTAGGTACCTGGAATGTGGTCTAGAACAGGGATCAGAAACTACAGTCCCTGGGCCAAATCTGGCCCATTGCCTATTCTTATCAGTAAAGTTGTATTGGAAGATAGCCATGCCCATTTATTTTTATATTGTCTAGGGCTGTTTTCATAGTATAATGGGATAATTAAATAATTGCAATAGAGACCGTAGGGCCACAAAGCTTAAAATATTACTCTCTGGTCTAGAAGGTGGGGAGGAAGGTAAGCTCTGGGCAGGCAAACTCAAAGCATCCTTGGCCAGCTGGACACCTCAGCATATAGGCATGGGCACAGCTGGAGGACAGTCAGAGCAGCCTCCTCTAGAGCACAGTGCCCAGAGCTAGGTAGGGCCCCTCTTCTCTGGGTCTAAGGGTAGTACTGCTTCTGGATGAGCCTCTTGTGGTGGAAAAGTGCCTCAAACCTGGAAGGCATGAGAAATTAATAGCAATTTTGTTGTTAGCAGAGAAGGGAGGGGATTGAGCATCATGCCAGAGTAGTAAAGAACTTTTAAAAACAAGAATAACATATTCTTACCATGAGTTACATGCACTGCTGCAATGTAATCCCTTTGTCACCCCAAGTCTTCAGTAAGGTCTGCTATAAACACAATAGCTTTGTACCGGCCAGGCGAGGTGGCTCATGCCTGTAATCCCAGCACTCTGAGTGGCTGAGGTGGGCAGATCACCTAAGGTCAGGAGTTCAAGACCAGCCTGGCCAATATGGCAAAACTCCATCTCTACTAAAAATACAAATATTAGCCAGGCATGGTGGTGCATGCCTGTAATCCCCACTACTCGGGAGACTGAGGCAAGAGAATGGCTTGAACCTGAGAGGCAGAGGTTACAGTGAGCCGAGATTGCACCACTGCACTTCAGCCTGGATGACAGAAGAAGACTCCGTCTCAAAAAAAAAAAAAAAATAGCTTTGTACAACTCAGTGGTGGTAGGTAGGTGATAGGAACCAAGGATGGGGGCTGGTTGCAAGTCTTACAGTAACAGAGGCAGTATGTCTGGAGTGGCAAAATAATGCCCAACAATTAATTCTGCAGAGGCAGAAAATGGGAACTAAAATTGACTATGAATTTGCCCTTGGGATTTTACCAGAAAAATTGAGGAAGACACTGAACTTTAAGCAAATTGAGGAATGAGTCAATCTTGTGCAGCTGTAAAGGGCAGGGTGACTGCAGTAACATTATAGCATACATTTTAATACCTAGATATTAAAAAATACACCTTTCTAAAACATGTCTAAAATATGTCTATTTGACATATTAAAAGTACAAATCCTTTTAAAAATATGTAATCTGTATCTAACAACTGGACCTCCAGTTTATTCTCCCAGAGTTTGATCCTTGCTTTGGGGACCCATCCAAAACTCTGATCCTCTCCATCCAAGGACCTTCCTGGCTCTTTCCAGACCAAGATCCTGCTACAAGATGGTAATTTCAGAGGTGACACAGCTACCTGCTCCCTGGCTCCTGACCATCATCGGTCCCTGGATTGCCCTGGCTGTATTTGACTAGGATCCATGTCTCATACCATCATTTCTCCAGTAGCTCACACAGTCCCTAGCAGATAATGCACTTAATAAGCGTTAAATGAACTGACTTGAACAGAATTCACTCCTCCCCGCTTATAATAATACAACACAATTCCAGTCTGGTCTAGCTGTGTCTGCTTTCTTAGAGGCCTTCTTCTGGCCCCCAGCCTGCCTCACTTTGCATATCTCCTGCTGTCAACACTTCCTGCTTAAAGGGCTCCATCCAAAGAGTTAACTGGACCCTATTATTCACCCAGAATAAAGCCTGCATTTATCATGTCCCTCCGGACTCCACCCCTTTAGGCTGTGCACCTGTCTCAGGGCCAGGGGTTTCCTGGAGCACCGCAGCCCATTCCCTGTTTTCTACCACTCTGTCACAGTGAGCTATTCTTTGCGGTGGACTTCTTTCCCACCGGGCAGTGGTCGGCTCCCTGGCATTTACTTCCCCTGATGCTGGTGCTCATCCAGTTTTAGTTTTAGGCTGGCTCCAGGCTATGGGTCCTGCTCCTCAGTCCTAGGACTAATAATTTCCATTTCTTCCTCCGCTGTTCTCAGTGAGTATGATTTAAAAAGTTCCACTGGGGGCTGGGTGCGGTGGCTTACGCCTCTAATCCCAGCACTTTGGGAGGCTGAGACAGGTGGATTACTTGAGGTCAGGAGTTCAAGACCAGCCTGGCCGACATGGTGAAACCCCGTCTCCACTAAAATATGAAAATTACCTGGGTGTGGTGGTATGTGCCTGTAATCCCAGCTACTCGGGAGACTGAGGCAGGAGAATCGCTTGAACTCAGGAGGCGGAGGTTGCAGTGAGCTGAGATCACGCCACTGCACTCCAGCCTGGGTGACAGAGTACAATTCTGTCTCAAAAAAAAAAAAAAAAAAAGAAAGTTCCACTGGGTAAATGCAATTGTTTTAGGACCTCGTTCTTTTAAAAAAAAAAATAGTTATTTTTTGATATAAAAGAAAATAATCTAAGTGACTTTATATTTTGTGCATAATCTTGGTTTCATATGTGACAAAACAATCACTCATGATTACTTACATAGTTGTATGCTAAGATCCTTCCCAATCAAATTTATTATTTCTTAAAAATCTAACATCCATTTTATCACAAGAATCTAAAAGTATTGGTGTTCTTCATTGCACAAAATGAATTTCATCTGGTCTCTACTTCTAGACCTTCCAACTTCTTGAAAAGTCTCATGGAATGCCATCAACTTGTTCATATTTTTAGGGGTCTAAACTGGACACTGACCAAATTGTCAAACCTAAATGCTATGTGTGGAGTGAAAAAAAAAAAAATTGTTTCACACCAAAAGTGTGTTTAATTGCTTTACCTTAGGGTGATTGGAATTTCAGTACATAAGCATAACTTTTATGCAATCTTGGTTGCATATTTAAATGTTTGTGAAGGTTTTTTAAAAATACAAATTCTGAGGCCCCATCCTAGGAAAATTGAATAAGAACCTCTAAGAGTAGGGCCTGGGCATTTGATTTTTAAAAGCTCCACAGTAGATCTCGATGGGCAGGTAAAATACAAATAGGCGAAAAGAAAAACATATGGATACACAACTTTAGTCATGGCATTCAGCTTTACTTACCTTAAAAATTAAGTCATGCTTTCCCCCTCAGCTTCTTAGTGAGTCACACCAAAATCAGTCAGTTGTTCTCTTTTTGTTCCTGGTTTTTGACCAAAGCAAGGTCCTTTCTGGCTTATCTCAGGTAAAACCTCTGAGTTAAAATGGAAACTGCTCACTTCCTACATCACATTGTTGTGTAGCTGTGAAATGATTTTAAACATTTACATAGTTTTCTATGTGAGTGACATATGTTTTACCGTGATAAAAACATGGAGTATAATCCCCACCCCTTTAAGAATGTTATATCATACCTTATCAGACCACATATGTGAGCTATTGGCTTCAACAACTAGACTCCAAAACACATATAAACCCAAGATTTTGACAGACACATTGAGAGCTTAGGCTGTGTCAGGGCTACTCTCTGCCAGTCTTGAGCTTGTCACCGAAGCCTGGCCTGCCAAACCTGGCACCACTCTCTAGTGTCCAGGAACCCTGTGATTAGTCATGGATCTCTGCTGTGTTGGTCGAGCTGTGTGTCTCTTCCAAGAACCTCTCATAGAAACCTCCTCAAACTTCCATCAGACTTGACATCCACAGAGGCTTGCTTCCATCTTAATTGAGCAACTAGACTTTAATAATGAATGACGCACTCACTATGTGGTCAATGTACCTCATCCATTGGTACAAATTCCTGTGAGATTTGTTCTCATTATCCTCCCCCTCTTCAAGCATTGTGAAAATAAATTTAAAATATCTTTGTATAGCAATAAACTGTGTGATTTATGAAATCATACATTCTTTATCTCCTTACTTTATTTATTTATTTATTTAGACACAAGGTCTTGCTCTGTTGCCCAGGCTGGAGTACAGTGGCACAACCATGGCTCACTGCAGCCTCAAACTCCTGGGCTTAATTGATTCTCCCACCTCAGCCTCCCAAATAGCTGGGACTATTAGGTGTGCGCCACCACACTTAGCTAATTTTTAAATTTTTGGTAGGGATGGGATCTTGCTATGTTGCCCAGGCTGGTCTCAAACTCCTGGGCTCAAGTGATCCTCCCATTTTGGCCTCCCAAAGTGCTGGGATTACGGACATGAGCCACCACACCCAGCTATCTCCTTATTTTAATCATATCAAACAAAATGCAAACTGAGCTTTTTCTCCTCCCTAATCCTATTCCCTTTATCCTCATTGGGTAAAAGACAAGGTCTTTTAATTGCTTTACCTTAGGGTGATTGGAATTTCAGTACAAAAACATAACTTTTATGCAATCTTGGCTGCATATTTAAATGTTTGTGGAGGTTTTTTACAAATACAAATTCTGAGGCCCCATCCTAGGTCAATTGAATGCCAAAAATGCCAATCAGTCTAAAGTCATGCTTCCTCATGCATTCTGTTAGCACCCTGTTAATTAAACTGCCCTTTCTGTTCTTAGCTAAAAGTCTTTGATTTGACTTCCTGGCTATAATTTTTTTTCTTTCCTAAATGCTTCCCTCAGCACCTGTTATCTCTAGTTTTATTTCGTACCTTGATCCATTTTTGCCCCAAGGTGCCTGTCCCACAATTTTAATAGACCCAACTCCGTGACTTATATTTTGTTCTAGCATTGTAGAGGAGGGGAAGCTTTCCCTCTACCCTCTGAGGGTTCAACAATTGAGTGCATGAAATAAACTGACAGTAGGCAGATTAACAGGAGAAAAGGTATACAAATTTATTACATGCACTGGGGCATCACATGAAAGAAAAGTCAATATTCAAAAACTCCATGAGATCTAGAAGCCTATATACCCTCTTCAAAGCGGTCAGGGGAGGGGAGATATAGGCAACTTAGGGGAAAGTAAATTAATTGGAGAAAGATTAGTGGGTCCTGAGAAGAATAGGTGACAGCTAGTGACAAAGTCTCTCTGGGTGTGGTGTCACCTCTGGTCTCCCATGATATCACCCAATCTTCCATAGTTGAGGAGATCTTGGGGATTCAGGACAATTTTTGAGTGGCATTTGCTGAATTCCTTCAACACCTACTTTTAACTTTTCCATTGTTTTTTCCAAGTATTTTAGTGCTCGGGGAAAAAAATCAACCATTAAAATAAATATATGAAAACTAGCATAAGGTGCCTATTTTTCTCTTTGCCTTAGTCTCCAATATGAGTTGGCCCAGCATCGTTGGATTCTATCTTTATTTAAAATTTTGATATTTTGGGCTGGGCACAGTGTCTCACACCTATAATCCCAGCACTTTGGAGGCCGAAGCGGGAGGATTGCTTGAGTCCAGGAGTTGGAGACCAGCCTGGGCAACATAATGAGACCTCATCTCTACAAAAAATTAAAAAATAAAAAACATTAGCCAGGTGTAGTGGTGCATGCCTGTAGTCCCAGCTACTTAGGACTGAGATGGGAGGATCACTTGAGCCCAGGAGATCAAGGCTGCAGTGAGCCATGATTGCACCACTGCACTTTAGCCTGGGTGATACAGCAAGATCATGTCTCACAAAAAAGAAAAGAAAAAATCGATGCTTTATTTATCAGGCATTTTTGCATTAACTTTTATTTTCAAAAGTATTGCGTTAAATATTATTTATCTTAATGACTGAGTTTTTTGGAGCTTCCTGAAATTTTGCACCAGAAACAAGTGCCTTATTCCCCTCACGCTAGCCCCAGCCTTGAATCACAAAAGTCCCAGATCTGCTTGGGTAAAAATGAATACTTCAGAGCTGAATTGGAGAATATCAGCAGGAAAAAACATCCTTTTAATCAGGCTAAGAGTAGGGAGGGAAGAAAGTCTGGAAACATTTGCACATTAGTAATTTCTTACTCTGTTACATGTTTACTAGGATTCCAGGTAAGAGTTCAAAAGTTAAAGTTTGAAAACCTCTGATTCCAGCTCTGCTCTTCTTATTAATAGTTTCAAAAGTTAGAAACATGGGTTACATAGGAAATTAATGGGAAAGCTGGGTTAAAACCCAGTGTCCTAATTGAGATTAGCAAAAGCTGTGAAAAATAATATTCCTTCACAAGAATAATTATAAGTAACAACTGTCAATCACTTCATCCTCCACCCACCCCTACCAGTAAAAGACAATTAGGATACCTCTGCAAAGACTTTTAAGGTATCAACTTATTAAAAAAATAAATAAAAGCTGACTGTGTGCTGAGCTAAAAAGTCAAAACATGGCCCTTGGCTATGGGTGGTGACTCATGCCTGTAATCCCAGCTCTGAGAGGCCAAAGCAGGAGGATCAGTTGAGGCCAGGAGTTCAAGACTAGCCTGGGCAACATAGCAAGACCCCTGTTATACAAAAAATTTTAAACATTAAAAAATTACCCAGGCATAGTGGCATGCCCCTATAGTCCTAGCTACTCAGAGGGCTAAGGCAGAAGGATCACTTGAGCCAAGGAGTTCAAGGCTGCAATGAGCTATGATTATGCCAGTGCATTCCAGCCTGGCAACACAGAAAGACCCCATCTCTTTTTTTCCTTTTTTTGAGACAGGGTCTTGCTCTGTCGCCCGGGCTGGAGTGCACTGGCACAATCTCAGCCTTCTCATCTCTTAAAAAAACACACACATTAAAAAAACCCCAAAAAGGCCCTTATTCTTTAATTTGTAATTTTGTAGGGGACACAGATACATAACTATACCACCAACAACAATTAAAGCACAGTGCCGTCAGTGCCATGATAGAGGGATGCATATAGAGCCTGGAGAACACAGTGAGAACAAGGTAGTGTTTGAGTGGAATTTTGAAGGGTATTCCATGCATTTTCCTATTGCATACATTTCCCTGATAATCCAGGCTAGCCTTCTACTATTGATTACAGACACATAGCTCCAGTATATTTATGATGCTGATGGGGAGAAAAAGTTGACTATAGGGGAGACAGGTGGGCCGAGGACCTAGAAATATCACTCTCATTGGCTTGGAGCAGTGGAGGAAATCCAGTTGAATGGGTGGCCAGTTTATAGGACAGGCTGAGACCAGCCTCAGGGATGTCCAACATGAGATAAAGGATGGATGGGGAGAACGGAAAACTTGGAAATCCAGGAAACTGGCTGGAAAGCTCATGGTTCATATCAGTGGTGGGAAAGGGAGGTGGGTTAGAGAGAATAGAGGCAGAAATGGTAACATCAAGGCATAAACTTATTCTTAGAAGGCCTGGCATCCTGGGTGGGCCAGGTATCAGAGTTGAAATATGAAGCAGAGACTGGATACTCAAGGAAAGTCACTATCCAGTCACTAAGATGGGGCACTGAGCAAAGCAGGACAGGCAGCAGTGAAGCCCTGCGGGTCCCCCAGGGTCAAACCAGAGTTTCTTTAATCTGTCCAAACTGAAGCCAGTGTTTGGTCCTGGACAGCCTGCAGGGAGAAGCCACCTGGCCCAATTATGGGAATAAGGGAGGGTGTGAGCTGAAGAACCAGGTAGGTTCTGACACCACCATGAGGCTTCATCCCTTCAAGTTCCATGATTTTCAAAGGAAAAATTGAGGTTCGAGAAATAAGTTTATTGACTTCTAATAGCTGATGACCAGCTCTGCCTATGGTGTCTTAGCACCATTCAAGAGTTCAAAGACAGGCTCCACCCAGCTGAGAGCTGTTGAGCATAGCTGTACTGTATATATAATGCGATGTAATGACTGGTTGGGGTTAATCAAATATAATGCCCAACCCAGACCTATTAAATTTCACCACAAAAGAGGCTTTAATCAGTCTTTTATCAGCTTGGTTCTTTGGCCTAAGAAGACTGCTTTTGTTTGCCCATATAAGAGACAATGGGAGAGTCAGGATCAGCCTGCTCGCTGGAGTACAACAAGCGAATTGTCCACAAACAACAGACCATTCAAGGCCATGAGAGAGGAAAGGCAGGAGAGGCTGCATGAATCTACAAAAGTGTCCACTGTTAATGGTTACAGCCCAGTGTTTAAATTCGGGCCACATTCCTGCTGGAGCTTCCAAAATATAGGGTGGACAGAAACAAAAAGACTCCAGTGTGCTTCGTGTAAGTCTATCTGGCTTTGGCCCTCTGCAGGACATTCTTGTTTGCTGCCTGCTGAAAGGGAAAGGAAAACTGACATTTGGTTCTCTCTCGAAGCAAAGCTCAAATCTCTTGGGGGTTAGATATGCTTCACAGGGCCATGGATTAAAGTTATGAGTATAGGTTCTATGCGAAACTGCACCTGTCCTACTGCCCAAGACCTCTTGGGCTACGGAAGGAACAGGAGGAGAAGGGAGACAAAAGGCAGTGAAGAAGAGAGAGAAAAGAGGGGGACCTTCCCTGACCCCAAAGAGGGAATGACATTTAAGTCACCCAATTTAATTCTGTTCAACGAATATTTGAATACTTTTTAGGAGGCAGGCTAGGATGTACCCAGATACAGAAACAAACACATGAATTTAAAAATCCACTATTTCTGCTTAGAATCAGAGAAAGTTAATACTGGAAAGGTCTTAAGTCATCCTGCTTTATATTATGGTCTTCTAATCAGAATAATAATTTTTTAACCCATAAGGGCATAGGTTAAAAAAAAGGAAAGAAAGAAACAGGAAATGAAAAGAACAAAAACTAGAAACACTGTCTCATTCCAAAAGAGTAATCTCAAATTCTGATATGATCATGGGACTGTTATGGGAATGTGTCATGATGTGTCACTGAGGGAAGACTCCTTGAGAATTACTGATCTAGTCTTGCAGAAGGACGAGCTGCTGACAAAAGTCCTCAAACACCAAGTTAAAGAAGGAAGGGGTTTATTTGGCTGGGGGCATCGGCAAGACTCCTGTCTCAAGAGCCGAGCTCCCCGAGTGAGCAATTCCTGTCCTTTTAAGGGCTCACAACTCTAAGGGGGTGCGGGTGAGAGGGTCGTGATCGACTGAGCAAGCAGGGGGTACGTGACTGGGGGCTGCATGCGCCGGTAATTAGATTGGAACAAAACAGGATAGGGATTTTCACAGTGCCTTTCTATACAATGTCTGTAATCTATAGATAACATAACCGATTAGGTCAGGGGTCGATCTTTAACTACCAGGCCCAGGGTGTGGCGCTAGGCTGTCTGCTTGTGGATTTCATTTCTGCCTTTTAGTTTTTACTTTTTCTTTCTTTGGAGGCAGAAATTGGGCATAAGACAATATGAGGGGTGGTCTCCTCACTTAGTCTCACCTAGGAACATAGAATAGAAGTTTAGGGAACAAAGTGGCAGGGCCAAGACCACTATGGCACTTAGCAGCAGAGAGAAGATTACAGCCCATGTCTTCTAATGCCCAACCCAGGACTCAGCCACTTGCACCACAGTGTTGCACCACTAAAGTTAACTGGGAAGATGCAAACCCCGAAAATCCTTAAATACATAATTGAGTATCTTAGATCTAGCTATCCTCACTGATATGTCGCCCATTCACTGCCAAGCTTTGGGCCCAACACTTACAGTCATCAGAGTTTGGATTTTGTTTGTAAACCAAAATTTCCCCTTCAGCTCTAAATGGAATTTTGCCTGGACCTGGGAGTCTTCAAAGGAATAGGAGGAAAAATTGTGGATAGAGTTAGATTGACAGCAAAGGGAAAAGAGGAAATCTTTCCTCTTAAGACCAAATCTGTGGTGCCTCAGCTTCTGTTCAGCGTGGAGGCAGGAGTGGCAGCTACCTAACTTGGTCTTTCGCATTCAAATATGCTACATTTAAATATGTTTGGGGGCTGACAGTGATAGGAAGACATTCCTATGGCCAAGTAGGACAGAGATCTGGGAGTGCTTCTATTTATGGAAGGTTTACTGGATGCATGTATCTGAAGGTAAAATGAACAATGCCTAGTCTGGATGGTCATTTGGGGTGAGATGGAAGGGAGATAAGAAAGGGATCAGGGAAAAATGAAAGTCATTCTGTGCATTGTGAGAGGTGCTAGCGGTCAGAAGTACTTTGCCATTCTCATTTGTCATCCAGTGCTGCTGACCCGCGCTTTGAAATGGCTTGGCTTCCCTAGAGATATTCTGAGCTGTAATTGCAGATTTCCATTTTAGTTTCTTGTTTTCTCACACTCTGCTCTAGACAATCAACTCAAAATCCTTCCTCAGGCAATGTGCAAAATGCCTTTGCAGAGTTGATGAAGGTTCTGTGGTGTGGCCCATGTGAATGTATCGATTTTTTTTTCTGCATGTAAATAGGAGTGGTTATGGCAAAGTGGTTATTAGCTACATTAGATCAATGATTTGGGCTGCTGGAGCTTGTTGACAAACCTTCTTTGATGATAACTTTTTTATAAATTATGTTAATTATGACTTTGCCTTGGACTGCAGGAATGGGACTGGAAGCTTTCTATTTTTTTCAGGCTTCAGTAGTAATTCTGCCTTCGTTTTTTTTTTTTTTTTTTTTTTTAACTTATGTTCCTGGCAATTAAGTGCTATCCCAAAACATAAAAACAATTTCCTCTTTTAAAAAATCATTATGCAAGAAGTGTCATGTAAAAGCTGCTGTTACTTAAAATACGATCTTGTAAAATAACTATAGCAAGTTCTCCTATTTATGAGACCAGCAAGGAGTTATTAAAAGTCGTAATAGAGAAAACTATCCTTATGGATTCTGTTTTCTTTTCTTTTTTTTCCCCTCATCATTCTGAAAAAAAAAAAGAAAAGAAAAGAAAAGAAAAGAAAAAAAGTGGAATCCTTCCCTGTGGGTTTTGGTTGTGTTTTTTTGAGACAGAGTCTCACCCTGTTGGCCAGGCTGGAGTGCAATGGCACAATACCTGCTCACTGCAAACTCTGCCTCCCGGGTTCAAGCGATTCTCCTGCCTCAGCCTCCTGAGTAGCTGGAATTACAGGCGCCCACCACCATGCCCGGCAAATTTTTGTATTTTTAGTAGAGACGGGGTTTTGTCATGTTGGCCAGGCTGGTCTCGAACCCCTGACCTTAGGTGATCCACCTGCCTCGGCCTCCCAAAGTGCTGGGATTACAGGCATGAGTCACCGCGCCTGGCCTGGATTATTTTTAACTGAAGAGGAGAAAAACAAACAAAAAGAAACAAATGTTTTGATAAGTTTGACTATGGTTGTTAAAATATGACCTATAGAAAAAATAGAAATAAAAGAATTATCACATGTTCTCCCCACACAATGAACAGTGAGCTTTCAGGGTTTACCTGCTTGAAGCTCCAGCTGTGGCTCTCAGCACATCTGCACCCTCAGCTAAGTGTCCTGATGCATCACCCTGCAGGTGTGCCCTGCTACCCATCCAGACTTCACCCTCCCAGGCTCTTGCCATCACTTTACTTCAGCTAGTCAGGATTAACTCTTCCTCCCTATGGGAAACAATACTGACCTTGGAGTCAGACTGACCTGGTTTAAATCTATTAGGTAGAACTAAATAAAATTGCTGTTTTTAATACACCAATGATGGTTAAATATTGGCAATTTCATGCCACTCAACCTAACACCACCTTCTCATTATCATGTTCTCTAAGATAAGATATTTTAAATGCTTTACTTATTCCATGACACAAGTTAGTCACCATTTGCTGTAGACATGCTATGAATTATAAGAGGCTGCAGTGGCATTTCATTCCAGGTTAGTTTAACAAAAAAAATTTTTTGACTCCTCCTTTTTACCACAGGCACTGCTTTTGTGCTGAATACCTGGGTGAGGGGAGGTCCCAGTTCAGTAGGGGCAGATATATAAACAGAGATCTGTGATGTAAGCAGGAATTGGGCAGTATACTCACAGTACAGGGTAGCATGGAGGAGGAGATTGTGAGCTTTTGGGGAACATGGGAGGATGAGGAAATCCTTTCCCCCAGGAGAAATGCCTGGGTGCTGAACAACACAGTGTCATGGGCAACTTTCCAGAGAACCTTGGGCTGGTGGGAGTGTGAGAGAGAGAACATTATCATAAGATGAGACTGGAGAGAAGCTTTGACAACTTGGGGACCCTCTTTACAAAACTAAATACAAAATGCCCACATAAACACATCACCAGGTTTCCTTCCAGTCCCTGAATTTGAAGAGCCCAGACATTTCAGCTTCATTATCTAAAACATCTGCCTTGGCAGGGCCACACTGTAAGGACTGTAAGGGGCCTTGCTAAAGAGCAGGGGCATCCTGGCAGACAATAGGAGCTGCTGAAGGATCTCAGACAGGAAAGTGACATCATCAGATTTGCTTTTTAGAAAAAGCACTCTGAGGGCTGTCTGGAAGACAGATCAGAGAAGTTTGTGTTAGGTGACAGAAAAGCCAATTAGAAAGCTATTTTAATAATCCAGAAGAGAGCCAAGAGCCTGAACATGGCAGAGTTCATGAAGGAGTAGATGAAGCCTCATGTAGCTAAAGCATCTGGGGGGATAGGTGCCCCAGGAGGTCTGGTCTTTCTTCCTCAAAGCCCATCTTGAGCAGGTGGTAAATGCTTTCAAAATCAGGTTCTCCACCTGGGAAGGTCTTTTTTTTTTTTTTTTTTTTTTTTGAGACAGAGTCTCGCTCTGTCACTGCAACCTCCACCTCCTGGGTTTAAGTGATTCTCCTGCCTCAGCTTCCCGAGTAGCTGGGATTACAGGTATGCGCCATCACACCCAGCTAATTTTTGTATTTTTAGTAGAGATGGAGTTTCACTATGTTGGCCAGGCTGGTCTTGAACTCCCGACCTCAGGTGATCCACCCACCTTGGCCTCCCAAAGGGCTGGGATTACAGGCATGAGCCACCGCACCCTGCCTGTGAAGATCTTAAATGAGCTGCACACCAGAGGCTTGTCACCCCATGCACTAATGCTAAACCATGGCACCTTCATGGCCACTCAGGCCTTGTTATTCTTCATTCCTCTCCACTCTGTCATATGCCTGGGTTCTGCCACAGTTTCCTCTTTAATAAATCAGTTATCTGCTCATCTTGAGGTCTGGTCCTGAATACTGGACTGCTTGGCCAGGGCTCTGTAACCTGCTTAATTCCTGCTATACTCTCCCTCTTTCCCCCAAACCTTGGGCTGAGCCATGCCCTCCATGTTCTCCATTCTCCTGAGAAAAGCTCCATTCATCTCCTTCATCTTCCAAGATGCTCTACAGGAGTCTGTTCCTCAGCCATCTTTCTCTGGCTACTTCCCTCTGTCCCCCCCAAAACTCAATGACTTCCTCATCTCTGTGTCTTATGCATGCCTTTATTATTACATGTATTATGCTTTATCATATTTCTTTGCTTATGTGTTTGTTTTTCCACCCCCTTTAGATTCTTGAGATTAGGATCCATGCCTCATATTGTCATTTCCCCCAGTAACTCACAGTCCCTAGCATATAGTAGGGACTTAATAAGTGTTGGATGAACTGACTTGAACTGAATTCACTCCTGTCTGTTTATAATAATACAACACAATACCAACCTGGTCAGAGTCTAACTGTTCTTGTCTTCTTAGGACAGCAGTGCCCCAGCCTGCCTCACTTTGCATATCTCCTGCAATTCCTGCTTTAAGGCCTCCATTCACAGGATTGATTGGCCCCTGTTATTCACACAGAATCAAGCTTGAGTTTATCATGCCCCTGGTGCTGCATATCCTTCTTGGGTATCCTCCTACAGCTGGGCCAGACTCCCCTGGTCTGTCCTTGCTTGGTTCCCACTTCCTCCCAGCCTGCTTCTAAGGCTAAGGGTCCAAGATGCTTTGTGACCTCTCTGGCCATGGTGTTTAGATAAGAAGGAGGTACTTATTCCAAAGGCAGCCAATTCATGGGCTAGACCTTACCTATGGGGCAGCCCAGTGGGAAAAGTGTTGACCAAAAGGATTATATGGGCCAATCAGATTGACAGATTATATAGTGGAGAACATCACTTTCAGACGTCTTCCCTCAGCAGGAGAACTGTAGATGGGGTAGTTTCTCTTTGGAGGGGACTGGGTAGGCCTCATGATTGAGCTCTTTGGTACAATGCTCCAATCTCTTATGTGTCTACATTTTTCTATTCTCATTATTGTCCACCCTTGACAAGAGTCATCTGAGAACCCAAACCCTGTCTAGTTGTACCTTTTATCCCAGCTCCTCACCTAGCCATTAAGAACTGTAGTGGGGTCTAAGGTTTTACCATACAAGCTAAAAAATTATTCTGACATGGTTTCCTTGATGCTGGCAAAAGACATGAGATTCCTGGGTCAGCGACCCTCGGCACAGCAAGTAGCATGAACGTTAGCTTATTTGCATCAGTTGCCCTTGCTCCCTAGTCCCATGCGGACAATGCCAGTGAGCTCAAATGCCTGCAGAAGCTACGGGTTGTGTTACAGTAGAGGAGCTCTGAGCTTAGGGAAGCTAAATCTTTTATAAGGGGCAGTAAACATGCCTGCTCTTTGCTCTGGAAGGAGATACTCTCTTTATTATATTAGACAGTACGCATGGCTGGCTTTTTCTCTAGATGGGGGTATTATCTCCATCTTCCGAGGCTATTTGTATCACAAACATCCTTGAAAAGGTAGTCTTGAATGAAGGACAGTCAGTACCTCACTCATGAGATGTGCAGAGACGTAAGTTATCTATGGGGAGCCGTCTCAATGCTAAGCAGCAGTCTCTGTTCACCCATGTTCTGGCACTGGCATGTTTATTCCACAGGTGACAGGCAACTTTGCTTTTCCAATCCAAATCCCTCTTCCTAGCTATCATCACAAATTTCCTGCTCCATTTGGACATTTCAACCAGATATCTTCAATCGTTAAGTTTAAAATGTCTAACACTATATGCATCTTCCTCCCCTAACTTTTCAGGTTTTTTGCCACCATTTTCCTTGTCTCATCAGTTCAGATCCTAGGAGTCATCTTTAAATCCCATCTTCTTCCTCATCACTTATAACCTAGTCAATCCCAAAGTTCTATCAGCTCTTCCTTTGGAATATCTCATCCTCATTTCTTCCTAGCTTAGAAAGAACTTTATACTGTCATTTGCTTAGTTCAGAATCTTATTTCATTCCTAGACTGCTCAAGGAATGTCCTGACTACTTTTCTAAATGCCTACCTTCTTTCCTTCACACTTCTTAATTCTCTTAAGGCACAGTTTAGATTAAGTCACACTCACTTAAAAATGTTCAGTTTCCCCTGGACTGTTTGATAGAAGAGTCTAACCTTTTCTCCCAAATACTCAAGGCCTGCCCAAATCTGACTAGGCCTTATGTCCTGCCACTATGTTCTGGCTGTGCAGGCATGGTCTCCCTTCTCTATCTGCTGAGTTCACATGTGACAGGTCTAGCTCCCTCCCCATCCCCACCACTCAGAGGTCTGAATACTGTACCTTTGCAAACCCGTTTTGTTCTTTGGTACCTAGTTCTTTTACTGGTGCAGCCTACACTTGTTTCCTTTGCCCAATTATATTTACCTTAATATTTAACCTCAGGCTGCCCCATCAGTCTCCTTAATTGCTTTATGTCTTATGTGTCCAGCTAAGTGTTAAGTTCCTGAAGGTGTAAAAGTATCATTTGTATATTTTTTATACCACTCAGTGATTACTTAGCACATATGTGGGCAAACCATAGAAACACGACTCTCCCATTTCCTGGCCATGTGACTGGACAGTAAATATATGTGCCTTAGTCTCCTCATGTGAAAAATGAGATAGAAATAGTAGCTACATTACAGAGGTGTTGGGATAATTAAATTAGATAATATGGGAAAATCTTAGTACCTTTCCTGCCATATAGGAAGAATTCAATGTTGACTATCAATCTTATAGTGATACACAAATAAATGAATGAACAAATAAACCAATGATGAAATACATAGTTCTCTTTCTTGGAGGACTCCAATTTAGTGAAAGATGATCAGATAATCTTAAAAAAATACTTATGATAGCATTAAAGTGACCATGGTAGAGGCTGGATGGAAGAGGGGGAGTAGCACCTTGCAAAGGGCCTAACTTAATCCTTGAAAAGATGTGTTCTTAGGAATAAGAGAGAACCTGATAAAGTGCGTTATCAACTTATGATATTTTCAACTTACGATGAGTTTATACAAATGTGGCCCCATTATAAGTTGAAGAGCCTCATGAATGCATATCACTTTTGCATCATGGTAAAGTTCAAAACCATAGGTCAAACCATCATAAGCTGCACCAGCATAGTTGGGGGCTGTCTCTTGTAGGATCCAAATGAGCCAGGCCTTCGGTTCCTACTCAAGTTTACTTCCAGCTGCATCCCACTAACTATCTTTTACCATTTGTCAACCATTAACACAACTGTGTAAATGAGATTATCAAATGCTTTTCTGCGAGTGGGTTTTCATGGGCTGGAGGGGGAAGACAGATGGAATATTAAGCCGCTTAGGAGCAGTGGGGAAAGAAACCAGCTGTGTGCAGGTGAAAGCAAACTAAATCAACTTCACTGGTTAGCTGCAGACCAGCTTTCTATGTAGCACAAAAAATAAAAATAAAAAAAAATTTTAATCTACTGCCAGATAAAACTTCTGTAACAGCTTTTCATGTCACAGTAGGGAAATATGGGCTCCACCTGGAGCTCCTGACTCTAAATCTGTTACTATACTTTTAAAATAATGTTAATAGATACAATAAAATGGAATCCTAACTAGTCATTTTGCCATCTGTATGAAAATATTGGCTCTGGAAAAGGGATAGCCTAGTAAGAAACCGAAGACATAGAGATACGTTTTGAGAATCATGTTCCTGGCTTAAAACAGATCACCCATTAGGGAAGGTTGGCTAAGGCCAAGTTTCTCAAGGGCAGAGAAGGGAGAAAAGCTGAGTAGTTTCTTTTTCTGCAGTCACAGTGGAACAGGGCAGCAGAGGGAGGTATATTTTAGTTTCTACTACCTCTTCCAAGGGAAAAAGCAGACCGGGTTCGTGTCTTCTCCACAGAAAAGTGGTAGTATGCCTTAGTCACAATAGGCCCTCCTTGAAACATGAAGTTTCCCGTTGCCACTATCCCAGATCTGTAACCACCCAATGGTTCACCTTGCCCGCTGCCTAGATAGAGCTGATTTCTCAAGACAAGGGAATCGCAATAGAGAAAGAGTAATTCATGCAGAGCCAGCTGTGCTGGAGACCAGAGTTTTATTACTCAAATCACTCTCCCTGAGCATTCAGGAAGCAGACTTTTTAAGGACAACTTGGTGGGTGGGGGGGTTGGGGGGAAGCCAATGAGTGGGGAGTGCTGATTGGTCAGGAATGAAATCACAGGGAGTTAAAACTGCTTTCTTGCACTGAGTCAGTTCCTGGGTGGGGGCCACAAGATCAGATGAGCCAGTTAATTGATCTGGGTGGGGCCAGCTGATCCATCAAGTGCAGGGTCTGCAAAATATCTCAAGCAATGACTGTGGAGCAGTTTAGGGAGGGTCAGAATCTTGTAGCCTCCAGTTGCATGACTCCGAAACCATAATTTCTAATCTTGTGGCTAATGTTAGTCCTACAGAGGCAATCTAGTCCCCAGGCAAGAAGGAGGTTTGCTTTAGGAAAGGGCTGTTACCACCTTTGTTTTAAACTATAAACTATAAACTAAGTTTCTCCCAAAGTTAGTTCAGCTTACACCCAGGAATGAACAAGGACAGCTTGGAGGTTAGAAGCAAGATGGAGTTGGTTAAGTTAGATCTCGTTCACTGTCTCAGTCACAATTTTCCAAAGACAGTTTCAGATCCCCTTCCAGCAGGCGTCTTTCTCTCCTGGGGGCCCCAAACTTTTCTACTACTCCTGAAAACCCAAGCCACCAACTCATGTAATGCAGTTTCTGTGCACAGTGCTACTATAATCTGGGTCAGTGGTGGGTCCAATAAATTTGATGACTCTACCATCTCTTATTCCAATTGTCTCCATTCCCATTTGACTCAATTAAATACTTATTTAGCCAACTGTTTTAAAATTACATTTTAAAATGAACTTGCTAAGAACACAGCTAATGCATTCTGATTAACATATTTTTTCAGCCTCATATTTTGATAAGTGCTGTTGTAGGTTGCATCATGTCCCCCAAAAGGATATGTTGAAGTCCTAACCCCTAATAACTGTAAACGTGACGTTATTTGGAGACAAGGTCTTTGCAGATGTAATTAATTTAAGATGAGGTGTTACTAGATTAGTGTGTGCCCTCAGTCCAATGACTGGTGTCCTTGAAAGAAGGCTGGGAAGAGAAACAGCCATACGAAGATGGAGGCAGAGAATGGGACAACGCAGCTATAAGCCGAGGAAAGCCAAAGATTGCAGACAACCACTAGAAACTAGACAGAGGCAAAGAAGGCTTCTCCCCTGGATCCTTCAGAGGGAGCATGGCCCTTCTGACAACTTGATTTTGGACTTCTAGCTTCCAGAACTGTAAGAGAATATATTTCTATTTTTTAAAGCCAATTAGTTTGTGGTGCTTTGTTATGGCTATCTTAGGAAACTAATACAAGTACTTTCATGTGCATTAATCATTTATTCCTGGTATTGCTACCTACTGCATTCCCAGCACTTATCAGAGTTCTTGGAAGCATAATAAGAGCTCAATTAACACATGTTGAATAAACAAGTAAATTGATTATGTGTACAATCTGTTTCAGTAGAAGTATATGAGTATTTTTTAAATCTATTTCAGTTGTTTACTATTTCAAAGGGTCCATGAACCTATTAATCTGTGCATGTGGACTTAATACATAATTTCTACCACATACATGTACTTCTTATATTAACTGGAGTTATACAAATAAACAAAGCTAACAACTGATGAAAATTGCTCCCAAAAATGTCTGAATAGGTTTATACTTGTTAATAGAAAAATATGAAGATTTACAAAAGCAAGCATCTGTCGTCTTCTCTATATTCTCTCTGAAACTGTCAAAATTTGGTCAGTCATGCCAGAGGTGCTTTATAGCCACTACCACAGCCAAATACTCAACTGTAGATTCTGGTCTGTATAAATAGTCAACACAATTGACTTGGAAAGTAGGGCCAAGGAGGATATAATCCATTATCCTTACATATCTCTTGCTGCTGTCAAGATGTAGGAGTTGCCTCAGATTTGTGAAACAGATGGATCCTTTTGAATCATGACATCTTCATTTTTTCCAAATACTGTTCACTATATTAATGCTATTCTGCACAGGACTGATACTGTACTAGTTCCTAAAACAGTGTTTCTCAAAGTATGCTCCATGGATCACTGGCACCAGAACTGCCTTTTAAAGCTACTATAATTAAAACAGTCTGGGCACGGTGGCTCAGGCCTGTAATCCCAGCACTTCGGGAGGCCGAGGAGGGTGGATCACGAGATCGAGACCCTCCTGGCTAACATGGTGAAACCCCATCTCTACTAAAAATACAAAAAATTAGCCAGGTGTGATGATGGGCACCTGTAGCCCCAGCTACTCGGGAGGCTGAGGAAGAAGAATGGCGTGAAGCCAGGAGGTGGAGCTTGCAGTGAGCAGAGATTGGGCCAGTGCACTCCAGCCTGGGTGACAGAGTGAGACTCCATCTCAAAAAACAAAAAACAAAAAACAAAAAAAAAACAGTGTGGTATTGGTACATGAAAAGATAGACATAGTAGTCAGAGAGAAAGTTCAGAATTAAACCCCAATCCTCATAGAAATCTAGAATATGATTAAAGGGGCAATTCAAATCATGGGCAAAATAATGTGGTATGAAATAGATTATTCAATAAATGCTATTGGGGAAACTGGGTAGCCATCTGCCAAAAAAATAAGTTGGAAACAAATTCTATATCTAGAATGAATTCTGTATGAAGTTTTAAATATTTTTTAAAAATCTGTAAAGGCATTAGAAGAATCTGTAGGATAACTTTTTGTGATCTCAGAGTGGGGAAGCCCTTTCTAAGTATTACATAAAACCCAGAAGTCATTCAATAAAATATTAATGAATTCAATAATAAACTTTTTATAAAAAACTGCCCTGCAGAAGTCATCAAAAGGTAAGTGAAAACATAAATGGCAAGCTAGGAAAAATATCTCATATCACAGCCAAAGGCTTAATTTTCCTAATATATAAAGAGCTCCTACAAGCCAATAAAATACTATCAAAATATTCAGTAAAATAGATGTGAGGGTGATCTGGCTGTGACATCCGTCACCCCATTGATCTCCAGGGTTGATTTGGCTGATCTGGCTGGCTAGGCAGGTGTCCCCTTCCTCCCTCACCGCTCCATGTGCATCTCTCCCAAAGCTACGCGCTCGGTCAAAAAGAATGACCATCACCAATAGAGGAGGAACAGTCTTCGGTCAAGGGTGTATGAGCAGCTGTACTCCCCTGCTAGAACTTCCAAACAAGCTCTCAAGAGATTCAGTAAAATATGGCTGGGCGCAGTGGCTCACACCTGTAATCCCAGCACTTTGGGAGGCCAAGGTGGGTGGATCACCTGAGGTCAGGAGTTTGAGACCAGCCTGACCAACATGGTGAAACCCTATCTCTACTAAAAATACAAAATTAGTCGGGTATGGTGGCACGCACCTGTAATCCCAGCTACTCGGGGGGCTGAGGCAGGAGAATAGATGGAACCCAGGAGGCAGAGGTTGCAGTGACCCAAGATCGTGCCACTGCACTCCAGCCTGGGCAACAAGAGCAAAAAAAAAAAAAAGAAAGATTCAGTAAAATAATGGTAAAAGAAAATGGAACAGATTTCACAAAAAGAAAATATTAATTACTCTTAAACATATCAAAGAATGCTCATTCTCCTTTCTCATAACAAAAGAAATGTAAATTTAAACAGCACTGAAATACTATTTTTGACCATATTGGCAAAGATAAAAAGTTTGATAACGCACTTTGTTGGCTTTGTTGGCTTAAGCTTGTGGGAAAGCGGCACTCATGCCTGTAGGAGTGTAAACTGATGTAACTTCTGTGAAGGGCAATTTGGCAATATCTATCAAAGTTACAGAATCACTTGTCATTTAGCCCAGCAATTCCACTTCTAATAATTTATCCAGATATAATCACTAGTTTGTGAAATTACATATATACATGGTTACTCATTGTTACATTGTTTACAGTTGGAAGAGATTAGAAAGAACCTACATGCTCACCAGCAGTGGATTGTTAAATGAATTATGTATACTCCTACAATAGTATACTATATGTTATCAACAAAAGGAGGAAAATTTATATACTGGTACAGCTTAATCTCAAAGAAACATTGTTAAGTAGAGGAAAAAAGTAAGGCTGAGAATGGTGTATATGGTATGTTACCATGTGAATGAAAAGAGAAATGCAGTTTTTGCTTAATATGCGTAGAATATTTCTGGAAAGGTATACAAGAAAAATGTAAGATTTCTAGACTGCAATCCCTTCCCCAGACCTACTGAGGCAGAATTTGTGTAAGCACTGGTTCTGAAGCTTACTGAAGTTTAGTAACCTTAGGGAGAAAAAATTTGAGGAACATTTTTGAGATCTGCTGCCCTAGTTCCAACAGATAGAATTTTATCTTGTTTTCAAACCAAGTCTACCAGTCCTAGTACCTTAGTTCTAATAATTAGGTTCCTATCCCTATTACCTCATTTTTGTCTCAGTAAACTACTTAGTTCCATCACATCCAATCTCTTCTTCCAGGTATATAGGGGTCCCAGGTCAAGGTATCTGGAAGCAGGATGGCCCTAAGCATGCACAAAGCTGGCCAACAGCTCCTTCCTTACCTTTGAGCTGGACATCCTGGGAAGGAAAAATAATTCAATGGTCAGTTCCAAGGGGTGAGCTAAATGTAAAACCAGAGCCCTAAGGTTTGTGTTGATAGCAAAGTACAGAGATGATAGAGGAGCAGGTTTGGAGGAGGTAAACTAGTGATGTCCCCAGAGGCAAAAGAATTGAAGAATGTTTTAAAGGAGAGTCAGTAAGCAAGCCACTGGTTGGGGAAATTCCAGATCCCTGGTTCTTCCTTCGCTTTCCAAGCATGATTGCCATCACCAATACCCAGCCCTGAACTGAATCACGTGGCTGGGCCCCTGCTACCCAGTCTCAGACTTCCCTGAGCTGCCTACCACCCTGCCTAAATTTCTGAAGGCCTCCGATTCCCACCAATCATGAAGTACATGCATGTACCTCCAACAACCAGCATTGTGTGGCCATATTTTTGGGATGCCTTTGCAGGACTGGATTCACTGCTAGCAGCTGCAACTTTATCAGCTCTCCAGTGAGTCTTCCCCCCATTGATTTGTTCTGGCCTCTAGATCCCAGCTTCCCAGGTCAATACTGTTAACCAAAGGGAACCACACCCTATGGGGCCTCATAAGCTGGTTGCTATATGAAATTCATATGTCAAGTTAGATAGCAGTTTCTGCCTAGAGTGACTTGTCTGTGAAAACAGCTAACCTGAAACCACATAAAAAGTGGATCACCATATTGTTGCAAATTTAATTCAGAGCAATGAACACCAATGGTACAAATATTTGGACAGTATCAGGCCAATACAAGTACAGGCCCTGTTATCAGATGTCAGAAAAAGAGGGCAGGTAGGTTAATGGATAACAACTGTCAGAGGTTAGGACAGATCAAGGATATGTCAGGTTAAGCAATCAGAGTCCTGTGATATATAAATCTGATTCTGAGGCAAAGTCTGCCCCAGATCACACATTGCCAAGGCAGCATGTGATCCGAATTGAACTATGCTCAAAACTTCTCACTCAACTAAACAATTATAGGTGGCTAAAGAGGGAGCAAGGGAGTGGCAGAAGGTTCTAAACCTAATAGTAGGTACATATGCAGCTTGGTGTAGTGAAGAAAGCACTTGACTAGGTATGTAGACCTGAGTATGGTCCTGAACTCCTCTCTATGTCCCTTATTCCAGAAACCTCCACCCTGATCCCAAACCTTGCCCAGTGGGGTCTTCTTGCTTTCAATTTAGCAAGCAGAAGTTTGTTCTACATCAGTCCTCCACCTGACTTTGATGGCCTAGAGTAGGTATTTGGCCCCTTTAGATCTGCTTGGTAAGGGAGCATTCCCGGGATTATTGACAAGCAATCACCATTAGTGATCTTGGCAACACTTCCATTCCTGAGAGCAAATAGCATGTGTCCTTAGCAGCTGAGGCCCCCATCTGAGGTGTTTAATTTCCAAAGGGAATCTTGGTGCATGTTGGGCCTATAGAAACTTCTAGCTAAGAAAAGAGAACCAGTTCTCTATATATGAAATGTCCTGGTCATATAACTACAATGAGACATTTTAAACCAGTTTCTCTTTTTAAAAAAGAAACAGAAATTTATTTTAAAAGAGGAACGAACAGCACTCTGGCTTTTGAGGACTTTACTTTTCCCCAATTCTGAAGGTCCTGTATTCAATCTGTGTATTGAAAACTGTGTTTTACTTTTCCTGGGGAAGTGGCCCCTGCCCTGGTTGTCCCCAAAATGTCAGCAATGTGGGTAAATGCTAGCAAAGTAGCTGTCTTCTGCTTTAGATAAAATTCTACCTGATCTTTTTTCTCCTTTCTCCCTAACACAAGTCAGCAGTTAGCATAAGAAAAAAGAATCCAGAATTTTCTAAACATTTGACACATTAAAAGTCTCAAAACTCATTTGCTGTTGAAATGTTGAGGTTTTTCTACCACAATTCCTTAACACACCTCCCTCCTGACCAGTCATCTTAAAAAGTAACTTTCAGCTAGGCGCAGTGGCACATGCCTGTAATCCCAGCACTTTGGGAGGCCGAGGCAGGTGGATCGCCTGAGGTCAGAAGTTTGAGACCACCCTGACCAACATGGTGAAACCCCGTCTCTACTGAAAACATACAAAAAAAATTAACTGGGAATGGTGGCAGGTGCCTGTAATCCCAGCTACTTGGGAGGTTGAGTCGGGAGAATCGCTGGAACCTGGGAGGCGGAGGTTGCAGTAGCCAAGATTGCTCCACTGCACTCCAGCCTGGGCGACAAAGAGAGACTCCATCTCAAAAAGAAAAAAAAGAAAAGAATAGATAAAAGTAACTTTCATTATTTAACTTCCTGCCTCAGACGTCTTTACATGTCAGGTGTGGTAGCACATGCTGGTAGTCCCAGCTACTTGGGAGGCTGAGGCAGGAAAAATCACTTGAGCCCAGGAGTTCGAGGCTGTAGTGTGCAATGATCATGCCTGTTAATAGCCACTGCACTCCAGCCTGGACAACTTAGTGACATTCTGTCTCTAAGAAAATAAAAATAAATTAAACCTCATTGCTATTTAAAAAAAAAAAAATCTTTAAGAGTGCTCATGTCTTCAGGGTAAAGTCAGATTCCTTACCCTAGCATTCAAAGCCCTTCACCGTTAGGTCTTATTGCCTACTAGTCTCCTAAAGGAACTCATAGTTCAAGCCAGAGAGATCCGATCACTGCTTTTACAAAATATCTTATATGTTTCCTGATCCTCATCTCTGCTTCTGTCATTTTTCCTTCCTTTCCACTTACCCAACAGTTACAATTCTTTAAACACCTAGCTCAAGTCCTTCCTCCCTCATAATGGAAGATTACAGAGCCAGGGAGCTCTTCCTCCCTGCTATATTTGCATCACCTATTTGCTATCTGCTCCCATCATTTGGCGTGTTGTCTTATGACAGGCTTTGTATGTATTTTTAACTTGTTTTCTATTCTGCTCATGTACATATTTACCTTTTCAACTTTGATGTTTAACTTTAAGGTCAAGGATCATATCTACCATTGTATTAGCACATCATGACTCACAATACTTACTAATTTCAACTAATTGACAGTTTAAAGAGGAGGCAGAGTTCAGTGACTCATGCCTGTAATCCTAAAACCTGGGGAGGCAGAGGCAGGTGGATTGCTTGAGCCCAGGAGTTCGAGACCAGCCTGGACAACATAGCAAAACCCCATCTCTAAAAAAATATAAAAATTAGCTGGTCATAGTGGCACATGCCTATAGTCCCAGCTACTCTGGAGGCTGAGGTAGGAGGACTGCTTGAGCCTGGGAGGTCGAGGTTGTAGTGAGCCGAGATTACCCCAGGGCACTCCAACCTGGGCAACAATGCTAGATCCTCTCTCAAAATTTTTTTTTTTTTTAATTAAAGGGGAAAATTTTTTGCTTTCATCTTTTCTTACAACCTTCCCTACTTGCTTTGTATCATGAACCATTCCAGTTGGAAGAGCCAACATTGTTCTTTCTGGTTGGAACTTGTGTGGAATTCCAGGTTTTTGCACAGAAAGGGAACACTCCAGGAGAGAGAGAGAAGGAAGCTCTTGTAGTACTAGGATGGCTATCTCCATGACTTCCACCTTTCATCTGTAGATGTCCTCTCCCTCCATGAGCATGCTGGTGCCTCTTAAACACTCTGGCTCAAGGTAAACAAACACAAAAGGCCTTCCCTTGGACCACCTTCCCACAAAACAGACAGGCTTTATTGGACACTAAGGGAGGCCAAAAGAGAAACAAATGCAAAGAAAAACAAAATAAAGACAGACTCCTCTAATATAAATTTTGAGTCCTTCTAACATGAACTCAATCCCAAGGTTCTCAGGACTTGTCCTATTTTACAAGGCATCTACAGTGTCTATAGTCTATCCTCAAATAATGACAGCAAAAATTTTAGGCATACTCAGGGTCTTGTTTCCTATTCTCCAAATTGTGTCAGGCTGAAGTGTGACATTTTATGACCCACTATTCCCTTTTTGGCCATATGTCCTACACTCTCTATTTGCCCAATGTGGCACATCTATAAAACGAGGATAGTTATAAAGCTGATGTGAGGATTGAATGAGGTAATCCAGGTATAGCAGTTAGCATTCAGAAAGCATTCAGTAAATACTATTCATTACTATTTCACAAGCAAGACTGACAAAACTGACCTGTGGTTGAGAAAAGAGTGGGTTTGGCCAGCTGTGGTGGCTCACGCCTGTAATCCCAGCACTTTGGGAGGCCGAGGCGGGTGGATCACAAGGTCAAGAGATCAAGACCATTCTGGCCAATGTGGTGAAACCCAATCTCTACCAAAAATACAAAAATTAGCTGGGCATGCTGGTGCATGCCTGTAGTCCCAGCTACTCGGGAGGCTGAGGCAGGAGAATCGCTTGAACCTGGGAGGTGGAGGTTGCAGTGATCACGCCACTGCACTCTAGCCTTGCGACACAGTGAGACTCCATCTCAAAAAAAAAAAAAAATGGGTTAGGGACAGGGAGAGAGAGACAGAGAGACATTTCAATTTTAACCCTACTACCCATACCACTCATCTAGGGCACCTCCACCACCTCTTTCTAGTTTCTTCTTTTAAAAACATGACTCTCATGCACAATGACTAAAGAGCACAGCTCTACTCTTTCAGTCCCAAACAACACTTACATCCTAATGTAGTGCAACAATTGTTACACTCAACATAGTAACAAAAGAGTCCATTTTTCTAATGGTTCATTTCTACCAGTCCAATAGTCTCAATATTTTTTCTCACTGTGATATAATCATGCTAATTGTCCCAACTACAACTGTTCCACTCCTCTGTCCTTAATTCAAGACGGAATATCACAAGCATCTCTTCGCTTTCTTCCTGGAATGCTTGCAGAACTCATAAAATTGTTCAAACAGATCACCTTGTGACTTTGATAAAATCCTTTTCCCTATCTGCGCCTCAGTTTCCTCATTTGTAGGTAAGTGTATCTGACAAGATGATCTCTAAGGTCCCTTCCAACTCTCACCTTCTCTGTTGAGAGCTTTGAATGTTGGATTATGGAGTTTACTTAAACTCATAGTCAATAGGCAGCCACAGAAAGAAGTTGAACAAGAAAAGCATGTGATTGAAATTATTAACGACGATATTTAGAAAGAATAGGAAGCACAGGGGAGAGAATTAATGAAGCTTGAACAGGAGAGATGGGTGATATAATGGGAAAGCAAAAGCTTCTCAGGCTCAGCAATCAATTGGATATAGGCAACAAGGGAGGCTGGGAGTCAAAGGATTGGTGATTGGGGTGTTACAGAAACAGAGAAGTAGAAAGAAGTCATGTTTTGAGGGTAACACAATAAGTTCTGTTTTGGACATATTCTATACTTCAACGATTCCACTCCAAGGCATAAACCCCAAGGAAATTCTCGGACCCGTACAACAAGATATGTATGGAAGAAGGTTTATTGTAACATTATTCACAATAGCAATAACAGGCCAGGCATGGTGGCTCATGCCTGTAATCCCAGCACTTTGGGAGGCTGAGGCAGGAGGATCGCTTGAGCCCAGGAGTTCAAGACCAGCCTGGTCAACATAGTGAAAACCTGTCTCTACCAAAATTACAAAAGTTAGCTGGGCATCATGGTGTGCACCTGTAATCCAAACTACTAAGGAGGCTGAGGCAGGAGAATCGCTTGAACCTAGCAGGTGGAGGTTGCAGTGAGCTGAGATTGCACCACTGCCCTCCAGCCTGGGCAACAGAGCAAGGCTGTCTCAAAAAACAAACAAACAAAAACAATAGCAATAACCAATAATGGGAAATAATTCACACTGCCCATGAACAGGAAAGTAGATAATAAACTATGGTATAATCATGCTATAAAATAGTATACAGCAGCCAAAACAGGTGAACTACCATACAGCAATATGGATATCTGCAATATAACAGAAATTAAAAAGTTTCTTACATACAGAATGGTATCCTTTTTATAAAGTTAGAAATAGCCAACATTAAGAAGATATATATATGTGTGTGTACATATATAATTTTAAGGAATATGTGTTGATATAATATCATAATATTTAAGAAACAAAGGAATGATGAACACAGGAGTTAAGATAATGCTTTTTTTTTTTTAATGTGGAGAGACACTGGGATGCAATGAGGGAGCTGTGCCATTAGATACAGATTACCGTATACAAGATACAAGGACCTAGTTTTCATCTTGGATTTTCAAGTGTTTATTACATTATTTAAAAGTAACTGACCAAATAAACAAACACATAAATGATCAGGGGAATAAAATGTATTAGATATAAATCATTGCTCTAAAAATGGATCCTAAAGAATATTACAGGGATTTTAAAAATACAACATAAGAAGATAAAGCAAATTGGTACAGGAATAAATTAAAGAAAAAATGAAAACATCTTATAAATGAATGCTACATTAGCAACAACCAAAAATAGGAAAGTATGATAGAAAGCAGGTTAAGACATGAGGGAAAGGCTAGACAGACAGAATGAAACAAAAAATATATATAAATGATAGAGAAAGTATACAAAGGAGCTTCAACTCCTTAAAAAAAAACTCCTTAAAAAAGAACCAAGATTTTAACTAGAAAATTGCCATCAGCAAAAAGATCACATATTCCATAACCATGTAATTTTTAACCAATAACATACAAGCAGAAATCTTGTGTGTCACTTCAGAGATGTTTCCTTAATAAAGGGGTAGGCCCATTTATTTTTCCTTTATCCTGCTGCCTGACGGCTGGTACTCAAGCAGCCTTCTGGACTACAAGGACAAGGACCATTCTGTAAGAAATGGTGGAGCGGTGAACTGAAAGGGCTGTAGGTCTGTGATGAATTCATGGAAGCATCAGGCCAGTTCTGGACTTCTTCTATGTGAGGAGTAAATAAACTTCCAACTTGTTAAACTCTGTATGTAAGTGTTGGAAGCCTCCTTATAATCAGCCAAATTAAATACAATAATTATGACAGTGGCTGCCATTTAGATCATATATATATATCATCTAAATATATATATATATATAATATATATATATATATATATTTAAGGGACAGGCCTTCTCAAATTTGGGAGGAAAATTAAATGATGAAACTCAGCCAAAAAAAGTCAAATCAAAATAATATAGAAATAGGGACTATAGAAGCCATTAGGGAAGTATTAATAAAGAAAATTTAATTTACTTAAATATAAAACTAAGATTAAATGAGAATTATGATTACAGACGAAAGGTGATAAAATTGAGAGTATGGTACAATGGTGAATATGCTGATTTTTTCATCTTGCATCACATTGGGTCAATAAATACAGTTAAAAATTGAATTTTAAAAGTTTTTTTAAATGATTCCTAGTTTTTTAAATAATTTTTTTGAAAAATATCTTGGAACTTCCATACTGAAGAAGCATTTTTCTAAAGTTCAGTAATTCTTACAGTTTCACTTCAATTTTCTTTGACTTTCTTAAATGCAAGTATAACTAAAGTTATTATACCTTATTTTGAAATAGCATATAGAGTAAGATTCTCATTTTTGTCTGCCAATCTATCATTCTACCTATATTTACCTACTTACCTCCTCATCTTTCTGTCTATATCTTAGAAGCACGTAGAAGGTTTTGACAGATCTTCAACAAACATCATTTTGTGTGAGTCTGAATGGTGGAATTTATTTTTGTTTGCATGTTTTAATAAGGATCATGTACTATTTTGATAAAATAGATCAACTCTGTAAAGCCAATTTTTTTTAAACAAAGGAATTCTCCCACTTTCTTCTGGAAAAGTTTTATAACTATGCACAAATGAAAATGAATACCTGCTTCCATAACCAGGCACTAACAGAAATTATGTCCCAAGATTTTGATTTTGCTATAATCATGAACAGAGGTAGTAACTGCACAATAGCAACTTTGGAATAAGAAGTCAATATCCCCACCTCTTGTCGTACATCTTCCTGAAGGTAATACTTCACAATTGTACTCTAATTTTATTTTTGTCAAAGGAAATTTTTAACCTCACAAGCAAATGTGTTTAAAAATAAAGTAGGTAGGGCATGTTTTATCCTCATTTCATAGATGGGCAAACGGCATCCAAGGTAACAGACCAAAATAATGGCAGAACAGGGACTAAAACTAAAATATTCTAATTTCCAGACCAGATGTTCCCAGAGAAAGGCAGTTATTGTTATTTTCCCCTTGTTGAATATGACTGGTTTTCATGGCAATAAGATAACCTACACATACCCAAAAGAGCCATTGGTTCATAGAATTTTAGACTTGGAAAGGACCTCAGGGATTGTCTTAGGTAGGAATTCTTCAGGGGGACCTCAGCAGCCTCCTCTCAAGCTGGAGTGAAGTTGACATGCCTCTAGGCTCCCATTGCAATAGCCAGAGATTTTTTTCTTCTTGCCTGATTTACATAGTAATATTCCACATAAGATTTCATTTGAAAAAGTGGCATGACTTCTACAAAGAGGTTTAAAACCGCTGATAGTCTAATCTTACAGAAATAGAGAGGTGATTTAATATAATCATTGCAAAGAGAGGAAGTTTTAGGAAGTACCAACCAATTCACAGGAGAATAAGCAATCTTGAACCAAGCTTTATTTTGAGACCGTGTGATATCATTCCATTTAGGAGCAGCTGCTTTTCTGAATTCACACTTCTCTTTTTTCTAAACCACTAGCTAACTTACCCAAGTGTACAGACTGTACAAATCTTATGTGGTCAAGAAATTGTAGATTTCATGCACGAACAGGAACGGAAGAAAATTTTCAAATGTCTTGCCTTATAATGTTTCATATTCTAACTTTGAAAATTGCCTAACCAGGAGCATCTGTCTACAGTTAAAAATGTGGATTCATTTTTAAGGTAGCAGGAGTGTTTTTTATTAGATATAAATATCACTATGCTTCTGAGATTGATGAAGTCAGTTATATTCAAGTTGTAGGCAATATAATTTACATGTATTAAATGCTTTACAAATTATAATCATTAAAGTAGTATTTGCTCCATTAAGAAGGGCACACACTTTACAATGAGATATGCCCAGTCTTAACACTTAGTAGCTGGGAAACCTCAAGCAAACCTACTTAGCCCACTGATACTCAGTCTTGTAATCTGTGAAATGGAACTATTGTGAAGATTAGGGTGCAATGACAAATACTAAGTGCCTATCTATCTCTCAAATATACCTGTAAATTAGTTTGTACTTCTTAAAAATAGAAGTATTATAATCATAGTAAATATGAAAGGATTTTTTTTTTTTTTTGAGACAAGGTCTTGCTCCTTCACCCAGGCTGCAGTGTAGTGGTGCAGTCACAGCTCACTGCAGCTTCTACCTCCTGGCCTCAAGTGATCCTCCTGCCTCAGCCCGCAAGTAGCTGGGACCACAAGCACATGCCACCACATCCAGCTAATTTTTTTTTTTTTCAGTAGAGACAAGGTCTTACTATGTTGCCCAGGCTAGTCTCAAACTCCTGGCCTCAAGTGATCCTCCCGCCTCAGTCCCCCAAACTGCTGGGATTACAAGTGTGAGCCACCATGCCTGACTCTATAGGAAACCTTAAATGAAAGGATTGAGGGTTCAGTCGGGCACACACAGCATCCATGGAGAAGAATGGAGGGAGAAAAAAAGAATGAGGAAATATGTTTGGCTGTATGTAATGCAGAAATACTAATAATAGTGGCTAAAATAATAAGGGGTTTATTTTTCTCATGAATCAGGAGTCCAAACCCAGTTGCTCCCGGGCTAGTCTGGCACTACAATGCCTCAGGGAAGGCCACCCTCAACCATCTTTACCATACACTTGTGGATTCATTGTTGCAAGAGGGAACGTTTCAGGTAGACAGACGTAAAGAGTAAGGGGTAAAACTTGCCTCCTTTTTTTTCTTCTTCTAAGACAGAGTCTTACCATATCACCCAAGCTGGAGTACAATGGTGTGATCTTGGCTCACCGCAGCCTTGAACTCCTGGGCTCAAACAATCCTCCCAACTCAGCTGCCCAAGTAGCTGGGAATACAGGCATGTGTCACCATGTCTGGCTTATTTTTTAACTTTTTGTAGAGACAGGATCTTGCTATGTTGCCCCAGTTGGTCTTGAACTTGAACTCCTGGGCTCAAAGTAATCCTTCTGCCTTGACCTCCCAAACGTCTGGGATTACAGGTGTGAGCCACCACGCCTGGCCAGTTTGCCTCCTTTTAAACAGTTTTCCCAAAAGCCTCACCCAACAATTTCCACTTACAACTCAATAGCCAGAACTGGACCGTATTTGATGACACGGTTTGGCTCTGTGTCCCCACCCAAATCTCATCTTGCATTGTAATTCCCACATGTCCAGGGAAGGACCTGGTGGGAGGTGATTGGATCATGGGAGCAGTTTCTTCCATGCTGTTCTAGTGAGAATGGGGGAGTTCTCACAAAATCTGGTTTTTTGATAAATGACTGGTCCTCTCTCCCCTCCCCACCGCCGCATAAGACATGCCTTGCTTCCCCTTCACCTCCCCCATGACTGTAAGTTTCCTGAGGCCTCCCCAGCCACGCAGAACTGTAAGTCAATTAAACTTCTTTTGTTTATAAATTACCCAGTCTCAGGTAGTATCTTTATACTGCTGTGTGAGAAAGGACTAATACACATGGCTACCCTAAACAAAATCAAGATCATATCAGTAAGGAGGGGAGTAAGGATGAGTACTGGCTAATGACCCAGTATCTACCACAGAGATGGACCAGACTTCACTAAGAAATATGATTCTGAACATCTGCAAGACAAATATTTACCAGGGATAATTATTAGTAGAAGAAATCTTTGGCATAAAACTTCTTACACATAGTGTTTGGCACACAAGTGATCTCCAATTATCTTCTCCAAGCTCTATGGCTATGTTTGCTTAAGTTCCACTTTTTATTATTTACTAAAGTCCACCTGTAATATCAACCCCAGGGCTTAGTGGGATTAAATATGGAAGCATCCATTTATTTAAAATAATTTTCTGTTTTATTCATTCCACATAAGATGTAAGAATACTTATAAACAAATAACACTAAATGATAAAATAAATAGCTAAAGAGGTCATGTTGGAAGAGAAGAGCAAGAAAATAAAATCCAAGGGGAGTGACAGTCATACAAGGACACACAAGGCCCTGGGATTATGGGAGGGTTCCACAGGTATGGAGATCCCTTACCATGTGAACTCTAGCAATCTAAATATTTATATAAAGTCTGGTTTAAATGTTTATGAAAATTCACTATCCAAATAAAAAATTGGCCAGGCACAGTGGCTCATGTCTGTAATCCCGGCACTTTGGGAGGCCAAGGTGGGAAGATCACTTTGAGCCCAGGAGTTCAAGACCAACCTGGGCAACATGGTAAGACCCCATCTCTACAAAAATTAAAATAATTAGCTGAGCATATTAATTATTTGTGGGTGGCAAGCGCATACAGTCTCAGCTATTCAGGAGGCTGAGGTGGGAAGATTGTTTGAGCCTGCGAGGTTGAGACTCGTCTGGGCAACATAGCAAGACCCCGTCTCTACAAAAACAAAAAAACAAACCCTAAAAAATTATCTGGGCATTGTGGCATGCACGTGTGGTCCCAGCTACTCGGGAGGCTGAGGTGGGATGATCACTTAAGTCCAGGAGGTTGAGGCTGCAGTGAGCCATTATCATGCCACTGCACTCCAGCCTGGGTAACAGAGCAAGACACTGTCTCATTAAGAAAAAAAAAAAAAAAAAAAAAAAAGTTTATAATGAACACACAAATGTGTGCACCAAGTAAAGTTTTATGGTCAGTTGAGTGCTAAGGGTTCTTGTGGGCATCCCTCACATTGGTGTTTAGAGGTACCCCGGAGCAGAAAGTAAGAGGTACAGGTACACAGGCTCAGTGCAAGGTCACCATGCACAGAGTTGTGGAAGCTGTGGAACTGGACTCTGTGGCAGTGGCTGGAGGAGGTAAAGATGTAAAGTGGTGCTCAAGAGGCCATCAATTCACCACCCAACCCTTCCGAATCAGACTTTCTCGGGTTGAAGGCTGGGGATATACATTGTTAACAGGTTTCCAGGTAATTCTTATGAACACTGACATTTCCAAAACCACAGCTCTTAACTGGGGTTTCTCAAATGCTGGTTCACAGACCTGCCACATCACAGTCCCTTTGGGTGTTTTAAAAAATAAGGGACTGGGTGTGGTGGCTCATGTCCGTAATCCCAACACTTTGGGAGGCTGAGGTGGGAGGATCACTTGAGGCGAGGAGTTCAAGACTAGCCTGGGCAACATGGTGAAACCCTGTCTCTATAAAAATACCAAAATTCGGCCGGGCATGGTGGCTCATGCCTGTAATCCCAGCACTTTGGGAGGCCGAGGCGGGCGGATCATGAGGTCAGGAGATTGAGACCATGGTGAAACCCCGTCTCTACTAAAAATACAAAAAATTAGCCAGGCGTGGTGGCAGGCGCCTGTAGTCCCAGCTACTCAGGAGGCTGAGGCAGGAGAACGGCGTGAACCCAGGAGGCGGAGCTTGCAGTGAGCCGAGATCGTGCCACTGTGCTCCAGCCTGGGCGACAGAGCAAGACTCCGTCTCAAAAAAAAAAAAAAAAAAAAAAAAAAAAAAACACCAACACCAAAATTCACCAGGGATGGTGGTGTGTGCCTGTAGTTCCAGCTGCTTGGGTGGGACTGAGGCAGAAGGAAGGCTTGAGCCCAGGAGGTCGAGGCTGCAGTTAGCCAAGACTGTGTCACTGCACTCTAGCTTGGACAACAGAACAAGACCGTGTCTCAAAAAAATGAAAATAAGGAGTGGGGCCGGGCACAGTGGCTCGCATCTGTCATCCTAGCACTTTGAGAGGCCGAAGTGGGCAGATTACTTGAGGTCAGGAGTTTGAGATCCTCCTGATCAACATGGTGAAACCCATTTCTACTAAAAATGCAAAAATTAGCTGAGTGTGGTGGTACGCACCTGTAGTCCCAGCTAATGGGGAGGCTGAGTCAGGAGAATCACTTGAAACCTGGGAGATGGAGGTTGCAGTGAGCCAAGATCATGCCACTACACTCCAGCCTGTGTGACAGTGGGAGACTCTGACTCAAAATAATAACAATAATAATAATAATAATGAGTGGACCGCACATAATTCAAAATCATGTTTTCTGTTAAAAACTTAGAGAGAAGATATTTGCCACAGACCCTCAGGGGCAGGTCCAAATACTTTAAGAATGAAACAGGTGAACCTAGTGACTTGGTTCTAACAAAAAGAATACAGCAAAGATGATGGGATGTTACTTATGAGATTAGGTTACAAAAAGACTGGCTCTGTCTCGCTCACCCTTGCTTGCTCATTCTTGTTTGCTGACTCTGGGGGAAGCATGCTGCCATGTTTGTGCCGCCTACGGAGAGCCCCACATGGCAAGGAACTGAAGGAGGCCTCTGGCCAACAGCCATTGCAAACTGAGGCCCGCAGGCCAACAACTCACAAGGAACCAAATCCTGCCACTAATGCTTGCGTGTTTGGAAGCAAATGAGTCAACAGCACCAAATGACACCTTGATTGAGGCCTTGTAAGAGACTCAGTTAAGTTGCAACTAAATTCCTGCTCTACAGAAACTATAAGATAATAAACGTTGTTTTAGGTTGCTAATTTTGGGGGTTAAATTTGTTACCTAGCAAAGGATAATACAAAAAGGCTTTGTGAAAAAAATTTTACTAGTTTTTAACATGTTGGCACATCAAAGAATGTCTTGGTCATAGGAGATTTTCATTCATGTAGAACAACTTATTCCTTGATATTGTCAGTAAATAAAGTTAGTGTGCAATACAAAGTTTGACAAGTTCAAACCTAGCCAGAGAGCAAATGTACATCCCCAACACATAATAGGTGCTTACTAACTACAAGCAGAACTGAGTTGATAGACCAGAGGGAACAAAGAACCCAGAAAGATAGAAAAAGAGATTCCAGTGGATCCAATAGGCCAGAGGTTCTCAACCTCAGCATGAATCAGAATCACCCACAGGGAAGGGCTTGGTTTAACCACTCATTACTGGGGCCCATCTTCAGAGTTTCTGATTCAGTAGGTCTGAGGTGACGACAAAGAACCTGCATTTCTGAGGTTTCCAGGTGATGTCAAAGCTGCTGGTCCAAAGACCACACTTTGAAAACCACTACACTAAGCAACAGTTTTCTGCTGGGGGATGACATGAGAATAGTGTATACAGACCATTCTTGATGTATCAGAGGATAGCAAGGCTGAATGAAGGGAGACAGACTTGGGGCAGTTTTGAAGCTCTTGCTCAGGTAGCCAGGTGGTGGTACTGGGGAGCAAAGAACTTCACAGCCAAGGAAAATTAAACAAGAAATATTGAAGGGGCTTGCTGAGTTCACCAGTTCTCCAAATATTGCAGTTTAGGCCAGGCGCAATGGCTCATGCCTATAATCCCAGCACTTTGGGAGGCCGGGGCAGGCAGATCTCTTGAGCTCAAGAGTTCGAGACCAGCCTGGGCAATATAGCAAAACCCTGTTTATACAAAAAAATACAAAAATTAGCCAGGCGTGGTGGCACATTCTCATAGTCCCAGCTACTTGGGAGGCTGAGGTGGGGGGATTGCTTGAGCCTGGGAGGCGGATGTTGCAGTGAGCTGAGATCATGCCACCACACTCCAGCCTGGGTGACAGAGTGAGACCCTGTCTCAAAGAAAATTTTTTTTTCAATTCCTCAAGGATCTAGAACTAGAAATACCATTTGACCCAGCCATCCCATTACTGGATATATACCCAAAGGATTATAAATCATGCTGCTATAAAGACACATGCACATGTATGTTTATTGCGGCACTGTTCACAATAGTAAAGACTTGGAACCAACCCAAATGTCCATCGATGATAGACTGGATTAAAAAAATGTGGCACATATACACCATGGAATACTATGCAGCCATGAAAAAGGATGAGTTCATGTCCTTTGTAGGGACATGGATGAAGATGGAAACCATCATTCTCAGCAAACTATCGCAAGGACAAAAAACCAAACACCGCATGTTCTCACTCATAGGTGGGAATTGAACAGTGAGAACACTTGGACACAGGAAGGGGAACATCACACACCGGGGCCTGTTGTGGGGTGAGGGGAGGGGGGAGGGATAGCATTAGGAGATATACCTAATGTAAATGACGAGTTAATGGGTGCAGCACACCAACATGGCACATGTATACATATGTAACAAACCTGCACGTTGTGCACATGTACCCTAGAACTTAAAGTATAATAAAAAAAAAAAAAAAGAAAAAGAAAAAAAATTAACCAGGAAAAAAAAAGTTTTTAATTGCAGTTTAAACAATCTCCAGCTACAGAGGGAGAAAATAAAATTACTGTCATTCCTAATGAAACAGCCACACAGCCAGGTTTGCCAGACATCAGTTAGAGAGATGAAGTACCATTCAGCATAGCTTCTACAAGTCAGGTGCTCTGAGCTCTATTTACTGCTATAATTAACTATACCAGTTCTGTTTGCCTGATAGGATTGTCTTTGGGCTTTCAGATGGTCCTGGCTTCCTCTAGGATCATCAGCTGGAGCACCTGAAAGCCATTCAAGCTCTTTAGATTTGTGCCTGATCTGATTTACAGATCAGAACACAGTGCAATTTTCTCTACTGACATCCATCGATTCTGTGTCCAAGTTGAAAATCATTCAAGTAGTCAAAAGAGTACATGATTGTATTTATTCATGGGCTGTTTTTGAAATGCATTTTTTCTGTGATGTTCCAGAGACAGTAGTGTTAATAGAGTGCTTTCCAAAACACACAGCCCATGGGGGTAACCATTTCCAGGTTTATGGCATCTATCAGCAGATGTCCTAAGCTATGGGTGGTGGGGCAGTCAGCAGAGAAGGCCTTCTTTTCATCTGCACCTTGGCATGCTTCCCTGAAGACTTGATTACTTTTGCACTTTTCTTATAATTTCTTGCAAGTTGTTCAAGCATTCTAATGTGACTAGGGTAATGCCTAAGTAACAACTTGAGAAACCAGCTTATTTTTGCTATTTGGGACTATGGCTGCCTTCCAGCAATTTCTAATACCAAGACAATGCCTTTACAACCGGCAGCATTAAAGCACTGTCCAAATATACTCATGGTTGATTTATAGGGAAGAGAGGGGGCAGAGCATCTCCAGGGTTACAAGGATGAAAATTTATACCCAAAGAACTTCCAGTCTAGCTTGGAGGCGGGAGATTGGAGGGGGTGCGGAAGCTCGGTGGACATTTGTGAACAACCGAACAAGCAGGCTGGTATAAAATTTCAGGGCCAAAATAAAGCATCCCAAGTGGAAAATCACACATTTTAAATCTTTTTAAAAATGTAATTAGCATAATTGAGCTAATTTCCAGGATTATCAATGGTTGTTTCCGTAACAGAAATGAATAGAGTCTCCTGGATCTGAAAAGTGAACAAAAACAGAGGGAATCTTTTTCTGCCTCCTATTTACTTGGTTATTAAAATTATTTCTTGAGTAAACATTTTAACAAGCAAGTGCCCTGGTTTCCCCATCTCTTCTTTGTGGGCCTCCTTGGCACGGAGCTAAACATCTACATGCTCATGGACTATTAGCAAAGCGTTTATGGATAAATACAGAAATTACAATATTTTGTTTTGTTTTGACTTCATCTTTTAAAACAAAAATTCTACTTAAAGGTGCTAACAGATATATTTTCAACCTGAACTAAAGCAAATATGTGGTTTTTTTGTTTATTTATGTTTTGTTTTTTGAGACAAGGTCTCACTCTGTCACCCAGGCTGGAGTGCAGTGGCTCAATCTTGGCTCACTACAACCTCCGCCTCCTGGGTTCAAGGGATTCTTGTGCCTCAGCCTCCTATTTACTGCTATAATTAACTATACCAGTTCTGTTTACCTGATAGCTGGGATTACAGGCACATACCACCATGCCCAGCTAAATTTTTTTTGTATTTTTAGTAGAGATGGGGTTTCACCATGTTGGCCAGGCTGGTCTCGAACTCCTGACCTCAAGTAATTCACCCGCCTTGGCCTCCCAAAGTGCTAGGATTACAGGCATGAGCCACCGTGCCCGGCAAATATGTGTTTTTTAATTGAAGTATAAAATGCTTTTAGACCAAGATAACAGGGGTACTTACTGGCAGAACTGCCATATAGTAAAACAGGTTTCCCACCCCATTATGAGGCCAGGCTAACGTTAATGTGTCTCCATTCTATCTGCAAGTTTCAGGGTAAACCTGCTCCAGATATCTGTATTTAGTTTCTCTGGGGCCAACCTCCTCTGCAAGATTTAAAGCTTACAAAATGACCAAAAGCTATCAAAAGCGTGAATATCACCAGGTCTTTTAAGTACTTGTGCTGTCCATTTTCTCATACTCATCAGATTTTTGCTTATGGCAACCCAGACCCACAAGTTCATTTACTCTAGTCAGGTTGTTTACATCCACTTTGAAGGTCTTTTCAGTTAACCTTTTTCCTGACCCACCCCACAATTTCCTCTAGTTTGTTATTTGATGACTATACCAATATTTTACCTAAGTCATTTGCTTCCTTCCTATTGAAAGCTTTTTTTACTGCGACCACCGCCCTCTTTCAGAGAGCTCACGTCTCTCTTCCTGAGCAAGGATCCAAGGTTTTCTTCAAGCTGGACTCTGCACTACTCAGTCTCAGTTAATAGCTCTTAGTAAAACTCCCCTTTTTGAACTGCTGGTTGGGGGACAGTATGAATTATAAACTCAGTTACAGAGTTTATGTTACACAATTATGTAACATAATTGTGAGCACTTAGAAGAACAGGGTTTAAAGTTAATAAAACATTTCAAGGGACGGGCCTTCTAGGCCTGTTATAATTAACAGGTAAGCATCATTCATTTCATTTAGTGTGTCACTTGTTTCTGCGAAAAGAGTTCATTCTCTAAAATGGTTTTCTGGCCAAGTGCGGTGGCTCATGCCTGTAATCCCAGCACTTTGGGAAGCCTAGGCAGGAGGATCACCTAAAGTCAAGAGTTCAAGACCAGCCTGGCCAACATGGTGAAACCCCATCTCTACTAAAAATACAAAAATTAGCCAGGTGTGGTGGTGGGCACCTGTAATCCCAGCTACTTGGGAGGCTGAAGCAGGAGAATTGCTTGAACCCAGGAGACGGAGGCTGCAGTGAGCTAGGATCGTGCCATTGCACTCTAGCCTGGGCGACAAGAGCAATACTCCATCTCAAAAAAAAGTAATAATAATACAATAAAATGGTTTTCTTATTTTCCTCTGAAAACTTCTCCTTTTAGTCAATTACAGTCATGTGCTACGTAATTTATGTTTGGGTCAATGACAGTATATATGACACTGGTCCTGTAAGATTATAATGGAGCTGAAAAACTCCTATTGCCTACTGACACTGTAGACATCAGGACTTCATAGCACAACTCATTACTTACGTGTGGATGGTGATGCCCCTGCAGACCTTCCAATGGGAGAAGTTGTGGAAGTGGAAGACAGGAATACTGATGATGCTGACTTTGCATAGGCCTAGGCTAATGTGTGTGCATCTTAGTTTTTAACAAAAAAAGTTTAAAAAGTAAAATAAATAAATAAGAACCTTGAAAACAGAAATACAGATTATAAAGAAAAAATATTTTTATACAGCTGTACAATATGTTTGCATTTTAAGCTAAGTGTTATAACAAAAAAGTCAACAAGTTTTTTTTCATTTTATAAGTTTATAAAATAAAAGCTATAGTAAGCTAAGGTAAATTTATTGTTATTAATTTATTTTTCAGATGGGGTGTCCCTCTGCTGCTCAGGTTGGAGTGCAGTGGTACAATCATGGCTCACTGCAGCCTCAGCCTCCCCAGGCTCAGGTGATCCTCCACCTCAGTTTTTGTATTTTTAGTAAGAGACAGGGTTTCGCCATGTTGCCCAGGCTGGTCTCAAACTCCTGGGCTCAAGCAATCCACTCACCTTGGCCTCCTAAAGTGCTAGGATTACAGGTGTGAGCCACCACATCCGGCCAAAATTTATTATTAAAGAAATATATATATATATATATATATATTTTTTTTTTTTTGAGAGACAGAGTCTCACTGTGTCACCCAAGCTGGAGTACAGTGGCATGATCATGGCTCACTGCAGCCTCTAGGCCTCCTGAGTAGCTGGGACTGCAGGTATGTGCCACCATGTCTGGCTTTTTGTATTTTTCATAGAGATGGGGTTTCTCCATGTTGCCCAGGTTGGTGTCAAACTCCTGGGCTCAAGTGATTCACCCGCCTTGGCCTCCCAAAGACTGGGATTACAGATGTGAACCACCATGTCCAGCATGAAAAAATAAATTTTTAAAATAAATTTAATATGGCCTAAGTGTACAGTGTTTATAAAATCTACGCTAGTGTACAGTGGTGTCACAGGCCTTCACATTCACTCACCACTCACTCATTGACTCACCCAGAGCAACTTCCAGTCCTGCAAGTGCTATTCATAGTAAGTGTCCTATACTGGTGTGCCGTTTTTAATCTTACTGTACCTTTTCTATGTTTAGATATACAAATACTTACCATTGTATTACAGTTGCCTACCAGTATTTAGTAGGCACGCTGTATAGGTTTGTAGCCTAGAAGCAATAGACTCTGCCGTGTAACCTAGGTGTGTAGGAGGCTATACCATCTAGGTTTGTATAAGTACATTCTATGATGTTCCCAAATGACAAAATAGCCTAACAACAGAATGTATTCTCATCATTATGCAATGCATGACTGTATTTAATAAATTTTATTCTCATCACTAGTGCAAAGGCAAAGTCAAAAGATCACTAACTCCAAAATAGCAGATTCTGAATCTAAAAGCTGGAGGCATCCTTTGACTGCCCAAGGCAGAGATGAGGTGTGCATTTTAGTTTTTACAAAGAGCACTAAAGGCTTCCCCCTATCCTATCCCTAAAGCGACCTAAAGTAATCACTTTACACTTCACCACTTCTTGTTCTGGGCCTTGGAGTCTAGGGCATTACTCAGTATTTACCCTTTTTTCTCATGGAAAATACCTATTGTTTAACTCTACTTCATACCTAAAATGTACTGGCTTCTCAAGTCAATCTTCCTGAAAATTTTCCCAGTGTGAAGATGGCACCAAGAAGTGTTTTTTTCTTTATTATTATTATTGTTATTTTTAATGTATAGCCACACAGACCCAACAGCAAGAATGGCACCAAGAAGTGTTTTAACAAATGCTGGCAAGGATGTGGCGAAAAGGGAATCAAAAGGATTCCCTTTTCACACTGCTATCACACTGTTGATGGGAATGTAAATTAGTACAACCACTATGGAGAACAGCTTTGAGTCTCCTCAAAAAACTAAAAATAGAGCCACCATGTGATCCAGCAATCCCACTGCTGGGCATATACCCAAAAGGAAGGAAATCAATATATTAAAAAGATATCTGCACTCCCATGTTTATTGCAGCTCTGTTCTCAATAGCCAAGATTTGGAAGCAACCTAAATGTCCATCAACAGATGCATAAAGAAAATGTGGCATTTTTCCACAATGGAGTACTATTCAGCCATAAAAAAGAACGAGATTCAGTCATTTGCAACAACATGGATGGAACTAAAGGTCGTTATGTTAAGTGAAATAAGCCAAGCAAAGAGAGACAAACATTGAATGTTCTCTCTTACATGTGGGATCTAAAAATCAGGATATAGAGAGTAAAAAGATGGTTACCAGAGACTGGGAAGGGTAGTGGGAGAGTGAGGTGGAGGTGAGAATGATTAATGAGTACAGTTAGAATGAATAAGGCCTAGTATTTAATAGCATAACAGGGTGACGATAGTCAATAATAATTTCATTGTACATTTCCAAATAACTAAAAGAATATAATTGGATTGTTTGTAACACAAAGGATAAATGCTTGAGGGGATGGATACCCCATCTTCCATGATGTGATTATTATGCATTGCATACCTGTATCATAACATCTCATGTACCCAATAAATATATATACCTACTATGTACCCACAAAAATTTAAAAAAAAAAGTGGTTAAAATTGCCAGATGAAAGAGACCTGGGAAAATTACCATTAGTTCCCCAAGTCAGTTTTCCTAGTGACCAGGTATAAATTTGGCAGATGATGTAACCTGTGTTGACAGACTAGAGCTCTGTATCATAAACATACAAGCTGACCACTATGCACATATTCTAGGCTTAATAATAGAAATATAAATTAATAAAGCTCACCTTTCAGCTCTATGACAATAGAGTCTGAACATGGGCTGACTGTCAAGAGATGTGAATATAATACTGCCCCATCATTAATTATAATCTATATTACAGAGCAATTCAGTGGAATGGTAGGCTAATGGGACCTTCTGCTCAAAATCAGGTGGAGGTGGGGCAGATTAATTTCACCATCTGTTATTTTATCAGTAAAGTTCTACTCTTTAATTTTGAAACCTTTTCAGTTTCGATGAATCCTCTATTGAAATGCAAATAACTCTTAAAGGGGTTATACCAGTCTTTTATCAGTTGACATTATAAACAGTTTGTATTTGAGCAGAGACAGGTACAAATGCAATACAGGCTGGGGAGAGAAGGAAAAACTGGGGCCGATGAGAGAGGAAGGAGGACACTGAAAAAAAATGTGTTACCCTTACAAAACTGCTTGTTGAGGACCAACTTAATTCTACTTGCAATTACCCCTGCTGACCATCTCTGGATCACGGTTGATGGCTTTCTTGAACAGAAAGTCAGTGTATTAGTTCGTTTTCACACTGCTATAAAGGACTGCCCAAGACTGGGTAATTTATGAAGGAAAGAGGTTTAATTGACTCACAGTTCAGCGTGACTGGGGAGGCCTCAGGAAATTTACAATCACGGAGAAGGGCGAAGGGTAAGCAAGACACCTTCTTCACAAGCCATCAGGAAGAAATGCCGAGTGAAGCGGGAAGAGCCCCTTATAAAACCATCGGATCTCCTGAGAACTCACTCAGTATCACGAGAACAGCATGAGGGAAACGGCCCCATGATTCAATTACCTCCACCTGGTTTCTTCCTTGACACGTGGGGATTATGGGGATTACAACTCAAGATGAGATTTAGGTGGGGACACAAAGCCTAACCATATCAGTCAGGCTTCTTAACTTGGATAACAAACATAGCAACCTTACCACTTGCTGGCCTTGAATCCAAGGCATGTCCATCTTCCTTATATCAGTAAATGAATCCATATTTGCTTAACTTTTTAAAAGTGCTCAGGTGTCTAGCTGTGATTTTCACCTGGGACCCTCATCTTCACAGAAAAGTGCAACACATGACCCTTTTTTGCTTTTCTCTTTTCAGTAATATCAAAACTATCCCTGCAATGCCAGAAGGCTGGAGATCTGCATTTGAAAATAATGAAGGATAGGGAAGACTTATTTGAAATTTTCTTCTTGGCAGTTCAAAATGTCTAGTCCAACCACTAATTGAATTAACAGACAAAATGAACCCCAAACAGCAGTATTGCTGGTACAAAGGAAGGAAGTTATGAATACAAATTGTGGCCTCATGATCAGTTGCAGAAACCACTCAACACACACATAATTATAGATAATAACCAATAATAGAGATACTGAGCATGTTTTCATTTGCACAAAGGATCATGGCATTTTGTTAGGTGAGAGCATGTTTGGATTGCTACTGTTGTTTAGAAATTAAAGTATGGACAGAAGGATATGTAGAGATGTTAACTGGCCAAAGGAGTGGAATATGTTAGTGTTGGTGGGTCATTTTTAGCATTGATTCCAAACTCCTTATAGAGGATCTTCCTGTATTGCAGAAGCTGGAGAGCTTAAAACCACATTTCTGATTTCCTGAATTCTAAGGTAGTAGATTGGATACACATCTTATTTCTCTTCCTCTTGAAATCCTACACAAGGTACAATAAAGAGATTTATTTTCTAAAAAAGATGTAATCCCTCTGGAACTGGGTGAACAAGAGTAGAGACAAGAACAACAATATTTCAGAAGCTGGATAGTGGCAGTGAAGAAAGCAAAGAAACAAATCAATTTACATTGCAAAAGTCTCAAAAGTTTCAACAACTATTTATACCAGGTAACAATGGAATTGTGGTGAAGGGGCATCATGCTGATATAAGGAGGATTGGGTGAAAGATGATTGAGAAGTAGTGAAGCCCTTAAAGCTGCTTCCCCCACTCGATACTGCTGGGGAACTGTCCTCCTGTATCCTAGTATAGCCTGGATGTTTACTCATTTTGAAGGAAAAAGAGAGTATTAGGACAGGGGAATGTCAGGCCCCACTGAGGGCTGGGTTCTGTACCAACAAATGGTTCACCCAGATGGGCCAAAGGTAAATTTCTAGATTGGTAAGGCCCACTCACTTGCTCAGAGCTTCTAGTGTTTTCATTCCTCACTTGTTTTTAGTTTTATTTTTTTTAAATTGGGTGGGTTTTTTAAGGTATAATTTATACAGTAGTGCAATGCACAGATTGTAAGTATACAGTTTAAGCAGTTTTGACAAATGTGTACACCCATGTAACTCACATCCCTACCAGGATATGGAACATTTCCAACACCCGAGAAAATTAGTTCCTCACTTTAAATCATGAACAGAAAACCAAGGATTACCAGACATCTGAGGAAAGACCCTAACATGGAAAATGAACATCACAACAAACAAATAGAAAAAAGACAACTTAGAACAAAGAGCCTTTTAGGAAAAATAAACTATATATTTTTAAAAGTATATTAATATCCTCAGAAAGACAAGAGAAGATCTTGCACATAGAGTGCTGTGAAAAAATTCAAAAAACAACAAAAAAAGAGCTCTTAAACATTGAAAACGTGATAACAGCAATGAAAAAAGTCACTAGAAATGTGGAATATAAATTCGAGAAAATTCTCCAGAAAATAGAGCAAAAAAAAAAAAAAAAAAAAAAGAAAGAAAATAGAAGAGAAATTAGAAGAAAAGTGGAGCCCAGTCAGGAGATCCAACATCGAAATAACAGAGAAGAAGAAAGAAGTAATGAATAATTCGAGAGAATTTACCCGTTTCTAGACTGCAAGGGCCTTCTGGATGCCCGACAGAATAAGTGAAAATTAGACTCATACAAAGGCATATCATTTTGAAATTTCATTGGATACAAAATGAAAATCCTACCAAAAAATCAGTCACATACTAGGAATCAGAATAGCTTGAGATTTCTCAATAGCAGCACTTGAAACTAGACATCATGGAGCAAAGCCTTCAACATTCTAAAGGCAAAACATTCCTGATCTCAAATTCTTTATCTAGTTACTGCACCAATCAAGCAGGAAGGTAGAATAAAGACATTTTCAGACAACCAAGATCTCAGAAAATTTAACTTCTGCATACTCTTTTTCAGAAAACTACTGGAGAATGTCTTCCATCCAGTGAAGTGTATGGCCTGTGTCCGTAGTCACCACTACTCGGAAGGCTGAGGTAGGAGGATCACTTGAGCTCAGGAGTTTGAGACCAGTCTCGGCAACATGGTGAAATCCCACCTCTACAAAAAATACAAAAAATTAGTCAGACATGGTGGCTTACATTTGTGGACCCATCTACTTGGGAGGCTGAGGTGGGAGGATCACTTGAGCCCAGAAGTTGGAGGCGGCAGTGAGCTATGATAGTGCCACTGCACTCCAGCCTGGGAGACAGAGTGAGACCTAGCTTCTAAAATAAATAAATATTAAAAATGAAGGGAGTAAACCAAGAAGGAAGAATATATGGGGCTGCATGAAACAGGAGCTTCACCACAGAAGAGAGACAAAGGGAATCTGTCAAATTATGGAGAAGGTGGATTCCAAGATGACTGCTGTACACAAAGTAGAGATCTTTTTAGAAAATGTGAGGCCAAGGACAGTGGAGGGCCCATGACCATAGCTGTCCTTGCCTCCACAGTAACTCATGGGCATAGTGAAAACCCGTGCATGGACAATAAAGATGAAATGATGAGACAGTAACAAAGGACGTTTCTAACACACAGGATACACTGAAGCCTGGGGTCTCTCTTTGTCTTAGCAAAACTCTCCTGACTCTCAAAGACTATAATAAAGGAAAACATTTAAATCTGCCCAAAGAAGAGAAATTCCCCCACATATTAATATGCATGTGTACATGTTGTGTGTGGGTGTATATGTATACGTGTGTCTATGTGCTTGGATATATATTGAATATCTCTGGATGGATTATGGAAGCAGATATGAAGAAAATTTACTTCCCACTATCTTCTTCTTCTTCTTTTTTTTTTTTTACCATATTCAGTCATTAGCCATTCAAAAGGATGATTTTATGACCCAGCGTGCACGTCTTGGTGGTGCCATGGTGCGATCGGCCATGGTCTCCTCTAGTAAATGGGCTCAGTGGCCTAGTGTCTCTGTCACTGCCATCCGTGATCACCAGCAGAGGTCCGCAAGGCATCGCCACTGCATTTCCACCAGCTCACAAGCAAAAGCAAGGCAGCCAGCCCCTCCAGCGGCTCACTCGTGGCCACCCACGACTACTACTGGAGCCACCTGGGTTCCACTTGCAGTAACATGCGGAAGAAGTGCCGAGTATCCTGGAGAAGCCATAGCCCTGATTAGCCTTATGGTAAAATAAATTACGTCCATTCATACCATAGAATACTTTGTAGTCATTTAAAAAAGAATGTAAAAAACTCCTCATTCAATGATATAGCATAATATCCAATTATTCTATTAAATGAAAAAGGCAAAGTATAGAAGAGAGTTATGATGCAAAAATAGGAGAAAAATATCTCTGACCCTTGCAAACTAAGTTAGATACATTGTCATTGTATTATGTGCTTTGCCTATGTGATGCTCATGATAACAATAATTAATGATTATTGCTGTTTAAAAAAAAGGGAAAGAAAAACTTCTACATCTCATGCTCCCTTGCAGCTGGTTCTGGATATAAAATAGATTGCACCCATCTGATGTATTGTGCAAGATTTGGAAAACAGAGAGACAGGCACCACTTTTTTGTGTTCTTGGCTGTTGCTGCTGCCAGTTATAGTCATGGAATTATCGGGGTTTTCTGCAAAACCTGTGTCCAGAGGTTAGCTACACAGACGTCAAGATGCAGTTGCAGTGGCGCTTCCTGATCCCTGAATCTCAGCCTCTGTGATGTCCTCTTAAACTCAAAAGTTCCAGAGGGGGTGCCAGATTTCCCACCTTTCTGACTCTGGTGCCCCCCTGCCAGGACAGTTCAGTGGTGATATTCTAGTTGTCATTAGGAAGAGCCAAGTCCACCTGACTCTGCTATAGTCTGAATGTTTTTGTTACTCCCAAATTCATATGTTGAAATCCTAGGTATTAAGAGGTAGGGCCTTTGGGGAGTGATTAGGTCTTAAGAGTAGAGCCTTCATGAATGGGATTCGTGTCCTTATAAAAGGGACTCCAGAGAGCTAACTAGCTATGTGAGGATGCAGTGAGATGTCTGTCTATGAAGGAAGTGAGCCCTCACGAGACACCAAGTTGGTTGGCTCCTTGATCTTGGACTTCTCAGCCTCCAGAACTGTGAGAAATGAATTTTTGTTATTTATAAGCTACCCAATCTATGGTATTTTGCTATAGCAGTCTGAACAGGCTAAGACCAAAATTGGTACCAAGGTGCGAGAGTGCTGCTATAACAAATAGGTAAATTCTAGAAGCAGCTTTGGACTGGGTAATAGTAGAGACCGGAAGAATTTGGAGGTTCATCCTAGATTAAAGACTGTATTACCATGAAAGGACTGTTAAGGGGAATTCTGGTGAGGGCTCAGAAGAAGAAGAGGAGAGCTGTAGATAAAGCTTCAATATTCTTAGAGAATCCTTAAGTGGTCATGATCAGAATGTTGGTAAAAATATGGATGGTAAAGGCCATTCTGATGAGATCTCAGATGGAAATGAGGAACACTGGAAACTGAAGGAAAGTCAGTCCTTGTTACAAAGTGTGAAAGAACTTGGCTATTGTGTCCTAGTGTTTTGTGGAAAGTAGAGCTTATGAGTGATAAAATAGGAAAATTAATGAAATAAATTTGTTAGCAAAATGTTGAAGGCACAGCATGGCTTCTTTTAAATGCTCATAATAACATACAGAGAGAAACACAATTTAAAAATATAATTTATTGGGGTGGGCGGGGGGTAAGGGAAGGGAGAGCATTAGGACAAATACCTAATGCATATGGGGCTTAAAACCTAGGTGATGGGTTGATAAGTGCAGCAAACCACCATGGCACATGTACACCTATGTAACAAACCTGCACATTCTGCACATGTATCCCAGAACTTAAAGTAAAATAAATAAAGAAATAAACAAAATTTCTTCTCAAAAGAAAAACATAAAGATTTGGAAAATTATCAGCCTGTCTATATTGTAACAAATAAGAAAGCATGGTTAGAAGAGAACACCAAGGATGTGGCCATCATTTAATAAAGAGGTTAGTATTCATTAGCCAGGTACTATTTATCGAGACAATGGAAAAGTGACCCAGAAGGTATTTCATAGATCATCACTGCTGCCTTTTCCATCACAGGCCCAGAATGAAAAGGCACTGAGGACAGAATGATTTCAAAGGAGGGGTCCAGGGAGCCCTCACCCTGGCATTGCCCCAGTGGTTTTCTTTCTGCAATCTGGTGCAGCCCTCTTCTGATACCCTAGATGTGGTGTGAGCTCGAGGGCACAGATGGTAAACCTTGGTGGCATCCTCACAGTGCCATCTCCCATGGTGCATGGGGTACATGAGTCATGTGGGCATGGCTACCTACACCTAGATTCCCAAAGATGGAGCCCACATAGCCCAGCCAGAGGGCCATGACAAGGGCAGGACCAACAAAGGGAATCCCCCCTAGGACACTGCCTAGTGGAGCTGTGGGGTCAGGGTTCAGTTGCGACCCCAGATGTGTAGAACTATCTGCATGTGCTTCTAGCCTCAGGAATCTCAATTACAACCCTTGAAAGCTGCACCGTGGACTGTGACCAGCAAAGTCATAAGGGTAGGGCCAACCAGAGCTTTAGGGACCCAATTCCTACCTCAGTGTGTCCAGGAGGCAGAACATTGAGTCAAAGAAGATTATTCTTGAGTCTTCAGGCTTAATGTTATCCCTGTTGAATTTCAAACTTACTTGAGACCTGTTACGCCTTTTTTCTTTCCTATTTCTCCCTCTTGGAACAGAGGGAGAAATGTCTATTCCACCACTGTATTTTAGAAGCATATAGCATGTTTGATTTCATAGGTTTGCAGCTGGAAAGCAATTTGCCTCAGGATGAATCATACCTTGAGTCTCATCCATATCTGATTTAGATGATATTTAGCTGAGAATGTGGACTTCAGACTTTTGAGTCGATGCTGGAATTATTTAAGACTTTGGGGACCACTGGGATGGAATGAGTGCATTTTGCATGTGAGAAAGACATAAATTTTGGCGGGTGGGGGGGGGGCGGGCAGGGCCTGAATGCTGTGGTCTGAATATTTGTGTCCCTCGGAATGCATATACTGACATCCTAACCCCCAAGGTCATGGTATTAGCAAGTGGGGCCTTTGGGAGGTGATTAGGTCATAAGGGCACACTTCTCACTATTAAAATTAGTGTCCTTATAACAGAGACCCCAGACAGCTAGCTAGCCCCTTCCACCATGTGAGGAAACAGTGAGAAGATGTCCATATATGAAGGATGGTCTTTCTTGATCTTGGACTTCCCAGCCTCTAGAACTACGAGAAATTAATTTCTGTTGTTTATAAGCTACCAAGTATATGGTATTTTGTTATAGCAGCCTGAACAGACACACTCCTAACAACCTCCCCAGCAATTTTGAAAGCACCCAATTCCCTATTTTAAATGCTCTTCTGCCTATTTTAATAGCAGAGTGGTTTGTTTCCTGAACTGATACAATTGATAATAAAAATTTTCAAACAGAAACTGCAAACCTATTTTAGAATCATTAAAGTAATTCATTTTATTTGTATCTATCCTATACACTGAATGCTACTAAAATGAGTGTTAAGTGGTTTAAAAATGGAGAACTATCTAGGAGATTCTCTTCTGTTTGTACTAACTACTGGCACATTTAAAAAAATTACACATCAGCCTGGGCACGATGGCTCACACCTGTAATCCCAGCACTTTGGGTGGTCGAGGCAAGTGGGTCACTTGAGGACAGGAGTTCAAGACCAACCTGAGCAACATGGTGAAACCCCTGTCTCTACTAAAAATACGAAAATTAGCTGGGTGTGGTGGCATGTGCCTGTAGTCCCAGCTACTCGGAGGCTGAGGTGGGAGAATCACTTGAACCCTGGAGGCGGAATTTGCAGTGAGCCAAGATCATGCCACTGCACTCTAGCCTGGGTGACAGAGTGAGACCTTGTCTCAAATACAAAACAAAACAAACAAACAGAAACAAACAAACAAAAAACACACATCAAGTCATGGGCAGCATGTTTAACTTTATTTTTAAAGTTTATCCAGAATATAGAATGACTGAATGAGTAGCTATTAAGGATTATTTTCTATAAAGTAATATTTTTACTTAAAAAACTGACAAAAATGAACATGACTGGCAGAAGAACAGTGGCTTACTCTACTCTCTAAGAAATGCCTGGTGACATCAGTTAAAAGGTATGCCAGAGACTAACAGCTGGGTCACTCCAAGTTTCACTCTCTTTGACTCAGCATCCTGAAATGACTCTCAACAGGCTGGGAAAGCCATTAAAACAGCTCCTGGCCCATAGCAATAACAGGCTTTTTACCTTTCAATCCTGGTGATCCTCTGGGAGCTGATGACAATTCTGAATTTTGTCTCTTTTTACACTGTTTGCAATGTGAATTTGACAGTGAGTAAATGAATAAAAGGGAGTGAAACGTGGGAAATTTATCCTTTGAGTACCACTGAGCACTTGGTATTATATTTGCTTCTGAGGCAGCTTTTCATATTTACAGTTAATCCAGTGACATTTTTGGCTGTGCTTTTAGAAGAGAAAAATTGATGGCTAAGAGGGCAAATGACTGAGAAGTCACAGCCCTCTCTGCAAATGCAGACACGCAAATTTACAATTTTCTGGCAGACGACAAACAGCAACAAACATTCAAGCCTACATTTTCAGAGGTTTACTCTGTATTAACCAGGTCACCATACAGTGCAGAATAAGATAGAATTGCTTTGACTCTCAGGCCTTTTAAAGACTGGTTGGAGCCTTCTAATGCTTGACCATATGTGAATTATCCACTTGGTGGATTACTTGAAATTCAGCCAGCATAACCCCAAGTGAACTGCTCTGCCTAAGTTATATTTAGAAAACCACTCACTTATTTAAACATTAGACTACTCAAAAATTTATGGGCTGAATATATCCAAGATAAAGTATATAACTATATATATATAAACATTTCTAAAAGTAAAAGGATTTTTTTTTTGGTCCCCCAAAGTTTTGGAATTAAAATTATTTAGAGCTGGCAGGGTCCTTAAGACATTTTGTCCAAGAGTTTCATTTTATAGCTGAGAAAACAGACACGATGAGGTTTACTGACTTGCCAAGCAAAACAGTTCATTGTTAAATTAACATTTTTAAATCACAGCTTCCCTTCCATTATCCTGCACATAAGGAAGTTTTTGGAAATATTTTTAGAATTGTCTGTGATATGGAGGAAATAATCCAAGGCCACACCAAAGCTCCCTAAGAACAGAGTTGGACTCCACGGGTGATGGGCTGATATGCTGGGGTATGCAGTTGCGGGAAGAGCCTGCCAGGTGTTCCTTCACTTGTCCTTGTTAGCCCACACTACAAGAAGTCCTCAGAACCTGTCCTCACTTTCTTTTTATTTTGTTTTATAACTCACTCAGACTGCTTAATTGTCCTTATGCTATCTCTTTTCTGCAAGTAAACCTCAGTTGCCTTCTGTGAACTATGGAATTTTAGGGAGGAGTTGGACCCATGAGTACGGAGAGGCAACCCCACACACTAACAGAAAGTAAGCACCAGGGCTGCTGGAGAAGAGAGGAGAGTACAGTTCACAGTGTATATTTAATGCTGCTGAGCAGCTGGGCATCAGGGATTGTGAGACTTTACACCCCAGAAGTTGCTCAATAGTGGTCTGTGGGGCTCTGCTAGAAACCAGCAAGGGAGCCAGCAGAGAAAAGGGAGTGCAGCCGGTGAACAAATCCCAGAAGCTCATCTCAGGACTGCTGGCTACCTTTCAGGCTAATGACCTATAGCTGAGGGCTTGCATCTATTTGCAGATGTACTTAGATTTTAAAAGGAAGTCTGTACCACCTGATACACATTAGCATGGCTGCTATTTTTTTAAAAAAGAAAAAACAGAAAATAATTATTAGTGAGGACGTGGAGAAATTGTAGCCTTTGTGCACTGTTGTAGGAATGTAAAATAGTGCAGCCACTATAGAAAACAGTATGGCAGTTCCTCAAAAAATTAAAAATTGAACTATCATATAGTCAAGCTATTCTAATTCTTGATATACACCTAAAAGAATTGAAAGCAGGGACTTCAGCCTGGGCAACATGGCAAAACCCTGTCTCTACAAAAAATACAAACTTTAGCCGGGTGTGGTGGCATGCACTTGTAGTCCCAGCTATTTGGGAGGCTGAGGTAGGATGATTGCTTGAGTCCAGGAGGTCGAGGCTGCAGCGAACTGAGATCATGCCACTGCACTTCGTCCTGGGTGACAGAGTGAGACCCTGTCTCAGAAAAAAAAAAAAAAAAGAAAGAAAGAAAAGAAAAGCAGGGACTTGAACATATATTGGCACACTCATGTTCATAGCAATATTATTTACAATAGCCAAAAAGTGAAAACAACTTGTGTGCATTGACAGATAAACGTTTAAGCAAAATATGTACACACAATGAAGTATTATTCAGCCTTAAAAATGGATGAAATTCTGATACATGCTACCAAGTGGATGAACCTTGAAGACATTATGCCAGTCACAAAAAGACACGTATTTTATTATTCCACTGATAAAACGTACCTATAGTCAAAATCATAGATAGAAAGTTAAATCATAGTTTCCAGGGGCTGGGGAAAGGGGGAAATGAAGAGTTATTGCTTAACAGGTACAGAGTTTCAGTTTTGCAAGATGAAAAGTGTTCTGGTGGTGGATGGTTGCACAACAATGTGAATGTACTTAATACCACTGAGCTACACAGTTAAAAATAATTGGGGGGAGGGGGAAGGGATAGCTTTAGGAGATATACCTAATGCTAAATGACGAGTTAATGGGTGCAGCACACCAGCATGGCACATGTATACATATGTAACTAACCTACACATTGTGCATATGTACCCTAAAACTTAAAGTATAATAATAATAAAATAAAATAAAATAAATTAAAACTGTAAATTTTTATGTGCATTTTGCCACAATTTTTTTTGAGAAAAGGAAGTCTGCAGTATTCCTAAAGTGTATGTTAGCTGAAATTTGTTAAGTATTTGATTTTTTTTCATTGAAAGGAAAGCCATAGCCTATCTTTCATCATTCTTCCCTTAGTTCCTTCCTCTTTCCTTTCTTCCTTCATCCTTCCCTTCTTCCTGCCTTCAAACATCTACTTGATGTTTGCCAAACATTGTGGGAGGCCCCTGATAAAACATACCATGGTCGGGTGCTGTGGTTCACACCTGTAATCCCAGCACTTTGGGAAGCCAAGGCAAGAGGATTGCTTGAATCCAGGGGTTTGAGACAAGCCTGGGCAACAAAGTGAGAGCCCATCTCTACAAAAATAAAAATTAAAACATTTGCCAGGCACAGTGGCATGTGCCTGTAGTCCCAACTACTTATGTGGCTGAGGCAGGAGGATCACTTGAGCCCAGGAGTTTGAGGCTGGCTGCAGTGAGCTATGATCACACCACCCCTGTACTCCACTCCAGCCCAGGCAACAGAGCAAGATCCTGTCTCTTAAGAAAAAAAAAAAAAAGATAATATGCCCTGCTGGTAATCCAGGTAAATAGACATTATCATCTGACCGAGGTCTGCTCTGTGATAGAGATGTGCTCAGTTTCCCACGGGAGCTTAGAGAGGGGACACTAATGCAGCCTTGGAGACAAAGGAAAACCTGTAGGATTTTGGGATTCCTAACTGAAGTCTTGGAGGGTGAATAGAAATTAGCTACCTAAAGAAGGAAAAATCTGAACTAACATAACAACATCAGTAATAATATTTTATGGTAATAAAGCTACAATTAATGCATTATTTATACGAATAATGTTTGTTAAACACTAGGTGCCAGGCACAGTTCTAGGTGCTGAAAATATGAAGGTAGACAAGATAAAATTTCTCTCTCATGAAGCTTAGGGGCAGACAGTCAATAAATACATAGATAATATATGGAATTATCAAATTGTGGTAAGTGCTATGGAGAACAACAGAGCAAGGGAAAAGGAAAGGGAGGTTTGGGTTAAGGGAGGGAGAGGACATTACTAATTTTTATAGGGTAGCTAGGGAAGGCCTCACTAATACAGTGGCATCTGAGCAGAGGACAAAAGGTGGGAAGGGAAGGACCCTGGGGGAAGAAGTAGAGACCAGAAGAATACCATAGGCAAAGTTCTTGAGGTGGGAGCATGCCAGGTGTGTTTGGAAGACAGTGTGACCGGAGTTGCAGCAGGGAGGGAAAGAGTATTTGGAGAGGAAGGGGGTGAGAGGAGGGCAGCGTTCCCATCATGTAGGGCATTTGGGACCACAGGAGGACAGGAGCATGTGCTGCCTATGAGATGGAAGCCACTAGAGGGTTTTGAGCAGAGGAATGGCTAAAAACTTGGGTTTTAAAGGGATCATTTTGTTTACTCTGTTAAGAAGATTGGAAGAGGCAAGACTGGATATAACATCACTAATTAGGAGACTATTGCAATAATCCAGGAGAAATTGATAGTGGCTTGAACCAGGATGGCAACAGTTGATACAGTTGATGTTGTCATATTCCAGATATATGTTGAAGGTGGAATCACAAGATTTGCTGACAGACTGGATATCAAGTGTGAACAAAAGCAAATAATCATGAATGACTCCCAAGTTGTTGGCCTAAACAACTAGAAGCACAGACCTGTCATTTACTAAGATGAAAATCCTGTAGGACACGCAGATTTGGGGTGGGAGTAGGCAGGTAATCAGACATTTGGTTTTGGACACATCAAGTTTGAGATGCCTATCAGATATTCATGTGGAGATATCAAGTGCTGTAATATGTAGAAAGTTCCAGAGTTTAGAGGAGAAGTGTAGCTAAAGACATAAATTAGAATCTCCCTGCTTGGATTGCTTCCAAGCCATGACCCTCCCTGGGTGAGATTCCCAAGTGGGGAAGTATAGATAAAGAAGATGTCTAATGATTGGGCCATTGGGTACTTGGGACACTCCACTAGTCAGGGAAATGAGGTGGAACCAGCAAAGAAGACAGAAACAACAGCCACAGAGCTAAAAAGGAGAAGCAAGTGAGTCTCCAAAACTAAGTGAAAAAGATGTGTTTTGAAGAAAAGGGAGTGAGCAACTGTGTTGAGTGCTGAAGACAGGTCAAGTATAAAGAGGGCTGAGATTGGACCACTGGATTTGGCAGCATGGAGGTCAGTAGTGACTGCAAGAGCTACTTCAGTGGGGCGGTAGGAGCGAGTGCTTGGTTGGAGTGCATTTGAGACAAAATAGCTTTTAACTATTTGAATTCTGTATGCCTTGGTTTCCTTATCTATAAAATTTGGAGTAACTCAGTACTATTCTCATAGAGTTTTTGTCATAAAAATTAAAGGAAAAAACACATCTGAAGTGCCTGATTAAGGTGTAGTATGTAGTAAGTCCTTAGTAAACATAAGCTATTGTTATTATTAAAATATTATTTTTATTTCAACCATCCAAAGGAAAAATTGGCATTTACTTTTCTTTACCTTAATCAACTTTTTTATAATGCTCAGATAAGAATTGTCACATTTAATGACCATTTTTCTCTTTTTTACATTTATTTTCTCTAAGTACAGAAATAAAATGAGGGTATATAGACAAATACCATAAAAGGGGAGGAGAGGAAGTAGAAACAGATAGAGATAGGACACCTTTAAGGAGTTTTGATGCAAAGGAGCAGAAGAATCTAGCGGTGCTGGAGGGTATTTTTGTTTTTGCTTTTTAAGTTGAGAAAAATAACAATGTATGGCAGGGAAAATGATCCAGTCAAGAGGGGAAAATTAATAAAAAAAGATGAGAATGTCTTTGAGAGGGAAAGAGGAATGGAATCTGGTATTCAAGTGTACAGGCTGGCCTTAGGAATGTAGTCAGTTCATCTGTTATCGAGGGACAGGCAGCACCTACAGGTGTAAATGCAGGTGGGTGGGCAGATGTAGCAGAATTTCTCATCTAAGGCTTTTTGCTGCTTTCCTAATAAGACATGAAGCAAGATCCTCAGCTGAGAATAAGGAGGGGGAGAGGTGTTGGGGGTTTGAGAAAAGATGTGAAAAGTGAAGCAGTCATCTAAGAGATGAGGAAAATGAATATATTAAGGAAGGGTAGGAGGATTATCTTGCAGCACTGAGGACCTAATTGAGATTGGTGTTGTCTTAGTCCGTTTTTTGTTCCTCTAACAGAATACCTGAGACTGGGTAGTTTATAAAGAAAAGAAATTCAGTTTTTACAGTTCTAGAAGCTGAAAGTCCAAGACTGAGGAGCTGCATCTGATGAGGGCCTTCTTGCTGATGGGAACTCTCCAGAGAGTCCTGAGGTGGTACAGGGCATCACATGGCAACAGGAAAAGAACATGCAAACTGGCTTTTATAACAGACCCGATCTGTTGATAACCTATTAACCCATTCATCTATTAATCCATGAATCACCTCTTAAAGGCCCCTCCTCTTAGTATTGTTACATTGGGAATAACATTTCAATATGAATTTAGAGGGGACAAAATTGAATCCATAGCAGTGGTGATGAATTTAACATGGCACAGTCAGCATATTTTCCAATCATGTTTGTCTATGTGGATACTCATTCAGAGGAATTGGAAAGCTGGCATCATCAGGAGGGATTTCATCAGGTGAGTACAATGAAAGGAGAGAGAGGTAAGAGATTAGGTGGGTATGCAAAGGGTAATTGTAGGAAAGAAACATGCAAACTAAGGTGGAAAAGCAAGGAAGTGAAGCAATGAGGAGGTGAGGTATAATGCAATGGTAGAATCCTGACAAGGTACTAGAGGGATGGCATGGGAAAATTAGGAGGTGGGGTCAGAGAGTAGGTTATTTTAAAATGAGATGGAAAAGAAGTTGCAGCTATTGGTAATGACAAGGCATGACCATGCAGTGGGGGCTAAGGTAGGTTGGAAGACAAGACCATTGGAGGAGAGGAGAGGCAGAGGTCAAAGACTTGAGAGGTCAGTGCATGGAAAGGATTATCTGTATGTCATAGAAATTATTCAGAATTAAGACAAGATTACCTTTGGAGACAATGACAGTGAGACAAGAGCTAAACTCTTCAAGGAATGAAGTGGAGTGGTCCAAGATCTGCAGATGGCTGCAAAAAGAAGGGCTGGCAGTTGTTTAATGCAAAGAGATTCGAATTTTGTGGGGAGGGGTGGTGCAAGTTTAGGAAGAGCAAGAGAAAATGGTCCTAAAGCAGCAATAGGAACACACAGGTTATGCATCCCTCCTCCAGGCCCAGTGGAACATGGGATGTGACAGAAAAGCAGCCACCTCTTGAGAGAACTGCAAAGGAAGCAGTGCCCCCGCAGACAGCTAATTTTCAGTTAGGCCGAGAAGGTGAAGAGAGTATAGGAAATTTTGCTAATGGTGAACTGCACATTCCAGGGAGCACAGTGAAAGTTCTTGTGTTATGGAGGGGAAGGAAATAGGATCAGGTGAAAAAATATACAGAGCATTATGGGCATACAGTCCTACCTTGTGGCAATACAGGGCACACATATAAGGATAAAGGGCAGGACGAGACTTGCAGCAATGGTCTCCCAGGTAGACTGTGGCAGTGAGACCATAACTCTGGTGGGAGAGGAAGGGATGAGGGTTTTACCAGGAGCACGAAGACTCTGGGCTCTGTCTTCTCTCCTGTAGGGAGGAGGCTAGGAGAGGTGTGATGCCACAGAAGCATGGGGCTATTACAGGAGCCCAGGTAAGGGATGATGATGGCTTGGGTTATTGTAATAGTGGAGCTACCAAGGAGTAGCTGAATAAGTAATGTATTTTTGAGATAGAGCTCAGAGGACTAGCTAATGGACTGATTGATGGGGCAGGACTGGAAGCAGGGACTGGGAGAAAGGGAAATCAAGGATGGTTCTAGGTTTTGGTCTGAGAAATGGATGACTGAGAAACAGGTATGGCAATGAGTGACTAAAGAAAGAGCTTTTCAGATAAAGTTTGAGGTGCCTATTTAATGTTTAGATGGAGATAGTGAGTAAGCTGTTGGATGTCTGAAGCTGTAAGTAGAGGAGCTTGGTGACCTTCAGCAAGTTATGTAATTTCCCTAAGCCTATTTCCAACTGGAAAATATAACTATCTATTATTGTTATCTATGTGATGTGAGAATTAAATATGGTAATACTGTAAGTGCTTAAGCTAGAGCCTGGCTCTTGTGCAGAGTGATGCGTAAGAGACAATTAATTATCCCTGAGGGAAAAATAGGGGTTCACTGAACCTAAAGTGACTTTTCCAGAGCTGCTGAATAGTGAGCCCCACAATCAAGGCTTGAATACCAGTCTACGCTCTTTCTACTACACTAGTGGCTCAATTAGAAGTAATATTTATTGACAATCCTCTGCAGCCAGGGGACAATTCTTACCATAGTATCAAAGAATACAAAGAGATATAAACTATTCTTAGAGTGTTTTCATATCAGGCATCTCACTTGTTTCTCCAGAGAGTTATGATATAGGGAAGAGGAAAGTATAGGCTATGAAATCCAAACTGACCTGGTTCAGATCTCAGATTATAATTGTGCTCTTAGATTATTCATCATAACAGCAGATTTGGGGATCTTCGTTTTCTAAAAAGTAAAATTATTAAGTATTTACTCCTTGGCTTTCTGTAGCAACCAAATTCCATTGGTGTAACCTGCTTTTTAAAAATGTTCTTAACTAACTTAAGATCTACATTTCCAGTTAAATAATTACACACACCCCCACCCACAGTAATTACCATTTTCTGAATACTAGTTCTAGACTATTAGCCTTCTTATGTCAACTTTAGAAATCCTAGAGTCTTGTTAATTTTCTCTACGAAAGAGAAGAAAATTGTCCTCCTAATCAGACTCACTACCACTGTTCAATATCCCATCAGAGATAATCTGCCTCATTTTCCTGTGAAATAGAGCTTAGTTCACAGAAGATGATAGAGCTTACTCAGAACAGAAAATGAGCTCTTAGAGGTCTTTGGGAACATTAATTGCAATGGATTAATAATTTACCTTTAACAGTTTTCAACAAATACTTCTTGAGAAAAATCTTATCAAAATACTATAAGCTTTTGCTGCTGGTTAATCCTGTCGATAGCATGATGAACAAATGGACTCAGCTTTCATAACTTCAGGAATACAAAGCTCATTATTCAACTTCCATCCATGGCTTTAGTAAACAAAGATAGAGATTCTGCCCTTAAGGTACACCCTGACTATAGGGGATACAGGCAAGAAAACAAAGAGGTGTATAGTACAGAGCATAACAGATGCTTAAGTTGTAACAGGGTGGAGGCACAGAAGTGGAATAAGGCTTTGTGGGGATGAGGTTGCTGCCAGGGATCATTTCAGAGAATGGTATACCCATGCTGCGAAGGACAGGCCTTGAAAAACCAAACCTGGCACAACTTGCATTTACAAACTGTTTTATTTAATGGAAATGCCTTTTTATAACTTCTATTCATTTATTTAACATTTACTGGGGGCCAGGCAGAGTGGTTCACGCCTGTAATTCCAGCAACTTGGGAGGCCGAGGCAGGCGGATTACCTGAGGTCAGGAGCTTGAGACCAGTCTGGCCAACAAGGTGAAACCCCGTCTCTACTAAAAATACAAAAATTAGCCCGGCGTGGTGGCTTGCGCTGTAATCCCAGCTACTTGGGAGGCTGAGGCAGAAGAATCACTTAAAGCTGGGAGGCGAAGTTTGCAATGAGGCCAGATCGCACCACTGCAATCCAGCCTGGGCAAATGCTTTTTTTTTTTTTTAAGACGGATCTCACTCTGTCACAGAGGCTAGAGTGCAGTGGCGCGATCTTGGTTTGTTGCAACCTCTGCCTTCCAGGTTCAAGCTATTCTCTTGCCTCAGCCTCCCAAGTTGCTAGGATTACAAGCGCCCATCAGCACGCCCAGCTAATTTTTGTATTTTTAGTAGAGATGGGGTTTCACCAGGTAGGCCAGGCTGGTCTCGAAATACTGACATCAAGTGATCCACCTGCCTCAGCCTCCCAAAGTGGTGGGATAACAGGCGTCAGCCATCGTGCCTGGCCACTTCTGCATCTTCACCATTCTGAAAATAAATGATCTGTACAAATGTAGAGTTTAATCAGAACTCTCCCAGATAGCAGTTTTTACTAAGTATTCATTAAAGTCTTGTCTGGCTAAGAAGGATGTGAGACTACAGGTCCTAATATTACTTAATTTCATATTGAGAAATTCCTGTGCTTGCAACCCTAACTCTAGCCAGCTGACTTACAAATGCCCATCATTGGTCATGACAGGAAAATTATTCACTGCATAATTTTTACAGAAGGTAAGTAAGAGGCGCTATCACCAGATGTAAAGGATGGTATATTAACAGACTCCCACTTACCAACTTCTACCTTACAAAAGCAGACAGATATAACCAAAGCCCTGAGCCAGGGTAAAAGCAGGTTAATTCTGCCCACTGACAGATGGCATTAGTAGTAGCTGCAAGCCTTTCAGTACCTGCTACAGCTGCACACTAAATGATTGTGAAATTCATTGAAAATAAAGTCTGCTTTCCAAACCCCAGAAACAAAGAGCATCAGAGCTGAAAGGGATATGAGAGGTCATCTCGTGTAGGCTTTGCCAGTAGATTTTAAAGCTTTATCTAGCAACTTTCCCCACAATGAACCTTTTGCATCTTGTCAACTTCTCTGATTTTCCTGGAACCTCAACCTGTGTTGAGAATCCCACCCCATATTCCTCTCTTACTCCTTCCCACATTCATGGAATGGCTTAAATATCATCACCCTACCCTGTGTTGGGATTTCACAGTTGCAAAGAAATTAAAAAGTGGCAGAATAATGAGAAAACGTTCTGGAGTGATGATAATATCCTATATATTGATAAGAGTGTGGGTCATACAAACATATGTATTTGTCAACACTTTGGAATGGTACACTAAAGATTTGCAAAAAACCCAAAACACTCTTAAAAATATATTGAACTCTAATAAATGAAGACAGGCTGAAGTATTTAGAGATGAAATATGTTGATGTCCACAAATGTATCAAAAATATCAGATGGACTGATGGATGGACAAAAGGATAGATAGACAGGACAAAGGTCCCCATCCAGACCCCAAGAGAGGGCTCCCGGATCTTGTGCAAGAAAGAATTCAGAGCGAGTCTGCAGTGCAAAGTAAAAGCAAGTTTATTAAAAAAGTAAAATGGTGAAAGGACAGCTACTCCATAGACAGAGTAGGATGTTCCCAAAAGTAAGAGGAGGAACGCACCCACCCTAGGTACAATGCTTGCATATACGGGGAGATGTGCTCTGCTACTAGGGTTTGTGATAGAAAATTAATTTTCTTAATTACTATATTTTGCAAGAATCCATATTATTATCTTTAAAGCAAAATTAGGAATGCCTTTATTCTCCAGACTTGGGATATCTGGACACTCCCAAGTCAGGGTCTGTTTTAGTAAACATTATTAATTTGTTCCCTTAAACATACACATCTAGAGGCTAGGAATGCCTAACTTTCTGGGAATGCAACCCAGCAAGTCCCAGCCTCATTTTCCTAGCCTCACTCAAAATGGAGTCGTTCTTGTTTGACTGCCTCTGACAGATAGATAGACCATTATGTGAGAAGGCAAACATGGTAAATGTTCATTGCAGAATCTAGGTGGTTACATGGATGTTTACTGGATAGTTCTTTTAATTTGATTTTTCTGAAAATTTTTCATAAGAAATTTAAATAATTTATAATTTAATGATACATAAAATGCTAGTAAAAATAACTAATTAACAAATACATTGTTTAAGTAGTAACAAATGACATTTAAAATTTTTTACAATAAAATGTTCGGTAGGGGAAAGTGGCAGAATCGTTCTTCTTAGGCCAACTCGTCATTTTACAGATGAGGAAACTAATGCTTAGAGAGCATGTCTGATACTTCTGATCCTATTATTCCACTTTTTAAGATCTCCAAAGGCTCCCTCATTCCCTTTATAATAAAACCCAAGCTCTCTGGCTTGGCACACAAAGCACTTCATAACCTGTCCCTGACTCTTTCTCTGACCACATCCTCCATCCTACATGCAGAAGAGCACAGCCATGAGACACATGAGCAATGTAGCAGGCTAATAATCTGCCATCCTTTTAATATGATAGCTCTTTTAAAACTAATTTTTACTTATCAAAGCAATATATGTACATAGCTTAAAATGTCAAGTAGTTCAAAAGGCTTGTAACAAAAAACAGCCGTATTTTCACGCAGCTCTATCCCACCCCCAACATTCCATTATCCAGAGACAATCACTTTCAGCTGTATTAGCTGTTTCTCTTTGCCTCCAATTCCTGGATTTGTGATTCTCTCTCTATTCATCAAGTTAGATATTATCTATTGATTTCATTTTGTTGGTGGTGAGGCTATTAGCGCTGCTACTCTTCCTCTGCCCCTTCTCCCATTCTCCCATTCTCCCAACGTAATTGTATCACATCTTTTGGTAAAATCCATATTCAGTTCAATTAATATGACTGTAAATATTGTTTTCTGATGAATCAAGAAAAGTGTTGAGATTACATTTTTTCTTGCATATCTTTTAATTTATTTTGAAGTTGGCAATTGCTTACGTTTTTCCATTTGCTTAGATTTCATTGAACCAATTGTAAGTGTTCCCACAATAAACCAACAGCTGTGTAAAATGCTTCTCAACAAAAACTTTCACATGACCAACCTCTTAGATAATCTAATAGTAGTTCCATTTTCTTCCTCCTGGCACCATCCTTCCTGGAGCCCCCAGTCCCACCTAATTCACACAGGTTATTTTCTGGGCTTGCCACCTGGCCTAGTCTTATCTGTTGGTCTTCAGGGACTTCCTTTGGTCATCATTCTGGAGATGCCCTTCACCTGACTCCTGTGTGTAATCCCCTGTTCCTTGGATCTTTCTTGGTTTATTTCATCATTTGGTGGAACAAATCATCCAGTAGTTTCCTGAGAAAGGATATGTGAAAAGAACGTCTTTGTGTGATGTTACTTTTATAAAAATGTGTATATCCTATCCTCACCCATAATCAAAGGTTTGTTTTGGTGGGTGAGTATAGAATTCTAGGTTAAAAATCATTTTTACTAAGATTTTCAATGGCATTATTCCATTAGCTTCCAGCTCTTAATGTTGTTGAGAAGTCCGGTAGTATTCTTTTACTCCAATCCTTTGGAATGATTTTTTTTTTCTCTTTGAAAGCCTTTTGTCTTCCTCTGAATTTTTGTTTTTATTCTGCTGGCTTCCACCTACGTTATTGGGGGATTTAATCACATCTCCCGTGATTTTTGTGTATCTTTTCTATTCATTTTGTGAAATGAAAATAAATCTCAGGACCCCTGAAATCACTAAGCCAAAGGGAAAAGTCAAGCTGGAAACTGTATAAGACAAACCTGCCTCCCATTTTATTACTAAATAAGATAGCTACAAAGAGTTTTTTTTTGTTTGTTTGTTTGTTTTTTAACTACATACCTCCTTCACAATTTGCTCACAAGGAAATTCCTTGTGGATAAAGGATAGACAGAACTCAAAGTCATCCGTCTGTTCACCTGAGACAACTGCCTATCTGACTGCTTACTCTGCCCTATTGTTTCACTAAGGCGGACTGACATAAGTGTCTACTCCTCTACTCTATTCTCACATGTAAATTGTATATTCAGTGAAAGGCTAATCAGAAACTCAAAAGAATGCAAACTTTTGTCTTTTATCTATCTAAGACCTGGAAGCTTCTTCTTCCCCTTTGAGTTGTTCTGCCTTTCTGGATCAAAACAATGTACATCTTACACATATTCATTGATGTCTCATGTCTCTCTAAAATGTATAAAACCAAGCTGTGCCCTGCCCACCTTGGGCACATATCATCTGGACCTCCTAAGGCTGTGTCAGGGGCACATCTTTAACCTTGGGAAAATAAACTTTTGAAATTGATTGAGATCTGTCTCAGATACTTTTGGGTTAACAAATTATATTAAATAAAACAAGGCATTTGAAAGATGTTTGGAAGCTATTTATATGTTGGTGGCCCTGTCTTCTGATGGCCTTTACTAGATTATAAACAGATGGCCAGCAAACTTTTTCATTTGGTATCCCTACAATTAATATAAGTAGGTCTCTTCTCCGGTGGTATTCGATTTCTCCAGAGAAGGATCACCCCGTCTCTATGAGTGGAGGGGAAAGAGGTAGTGCCGCTAAACCTGGCAGAGAAGGGCATGGAGGCTCTTACTTTCCTCTTTTCAGACTCTAGCACCTCACTGCCAGCTCTCCTCTGTGTGGTACCTGATTTCCTAAGACTTTCTAGCTTAGCTTTTCCATAAACCCATCTTCCTATTTTGTAGAGTGGGTGGGAACCTAGACATCTAGGGGCTTCTTACACACTCTTACTCCCTATTTTCACTCCTTCACCTAGCCTCTGTCTTCCAGGTACCTGATGCCACCAATTCCTGAGTTTTTCTGCTGTTCAGTGGAGTGGACTATCGCCTTCAAATTAGCCTGGCCCTGGGCAGGTACGTTAGTTTGACCTTCCTCCTCTTTAGTTCAGTGCTGCCCCTAAATGGACTTCTCCTTGGAGGAGATGGCTAGAAAATATAAAGTTCATTGATTATATCTATAAGCACCTACTGAATACCACTTGGGTACTGGGAATAAAAAGATAAATAAGATCCAGTCCCTGACCTCAAGGAGCTCATAGGCGAATTGTCAAGAGAATCACATAAACAAACAACTGCAGTACAGTGTTAAGAGTGTAGCAGTCCAGATGCTTAGAAGACATAGAGAGAAAAGAGGCTGTAATTTCCTCTGCAGGAGCAGTGTTTCAGAGCGGTGACACAAGCTGAGTTTTGAAAAACATAAATACGAGTTTACCAGCCAAATAGGAAGAGGCAAAATATTCCAAGAAGAGGGACAAAAACATGGGCAAAGGTTCATTTCTTCATCTGTTTAAACATATTTATTAAGAGCTTGCACTAGGTAGTCATTGGGAATACAATTCTTTTGTTGTTGTTGTAGAGACAGGGTCTCACTCTGTTGTCCAGGCTGGAGTACAGTGGTACAATCACAGCTCACTGCAGCCTCTACCTCCTGGGGTTAAGCAATCCTCTCACCTCAGCTTCCTGAGTAGCTGGGACTACAGGTGCACACTACCACACTGGGCTAATTTTTTCTAATTTTTAAATTTTTTTTGTAGAGACAAGGTCTCACTATGTTGCCCAGGCTGGTGTTGAGTTCCTGGTCTCAAGCAATCCACCTGCCTTGAACTCCCAAAGTGTTTGGATTACAGGCATGAGCCACCATGCCTGGCCAGGGATACAATTCTGAACAGAACGAAGTCCCTGTTCTTGAAGTTTGCAGAATGACAAAATCAGACAATCAAATTATCAGACAAATATCTAATTACGAACTGTGATAATTGTCACAGATGGAAAGTAATAAGAATGGTAGGGTTGGGAGGGAGGGGTCCCAGCATGGTGTATTCAGGGAACCATAAGCAATTCTATATGGCTGGATAGGAGCAGAACGCCCAGCTATCTTGGACGGGGCAACAAGTCAATTGTTCCCATTTTACCCTTGGGCTGATCCATACTCGTAAACAGTTCTTCAACCCCTGGACAGATTATTATGAATTCTACAGTTCTTTCCTTCTTTCAGTAAGTTTAGCTTTTCTGAGAATTTCACTTACTTTTAAAAATTATGAAGACTCAAGTGAGACTTAACCTGTCATATGGCTGCTTGCTGCCTCTGTCAACATGTTCGAGTCCATCTGGAGTTTCTCAGAATCTTTCCATGTTTTGTTTTGTTTTTTTTTTAATGTCTCCAAACAATTTAGCATCATCAGCCACATTCTCCAACTTAGAGTTCACCTTTTCTTGCCAAATGCATTAAGCACACTAACAGTTGGAAATTTATTTTTATTTTTATTTTTTGAGATGGAGTCTCGCTCTGTCACCAGGCTGCAGTGCAGTGGCGCCATCTCGGCTCACCGCAACCTCCGATGGCCTGGTTCAAGCGATTCTCCTGCCTCAGCCTCCCGAGTAGCTGGGATTACAGGCACGCACCACCATGCCCAGCTAATTTTTGTATTTTTAGTAGAGACGGGGTTTCACCATGTTGGCCAGTTTGGTCTCAACCTCCTGACCTCATGATCCGCCCACCTTGGCCTCCCAAATTGCAGGGATTAAAGGTGTGAGCCACCGCACCCAGCCAGAGACATTTTTAAAAGCTGACTTTGGATATACTCTCTCTTCTCCTATTAGAAATGACTAGTATGTTTTATTCTCATTTAGCAAACCAAGACTGCTAAGATTTCTGCTTGTGTGATATTATCAAGTTGTGGTGTCACTGGCACTGGCTTCCAGGTTATACCAGGCTGGGTTCCTCATTTGCACACTAACATCTACAGTGTCCAGATCTACATTTATAGAGAATACACACCTAGTGCAGCCTATTAAATGTTTCACCTAGAAATGATGTCCAGGGCACCCCACTCAGACTGACCACCAAAGGCCCTCAGCAAAATGGCCAAGTAGGTATAGTTTGCCTTTGGTGCCTACTCATAGCCCCCATCTTTGCCTCATCCCCATGTCCTTTTTCCCCAGCCACAGTTTTTTTGCGTTCAGCTCTACTGCAAAAAAAAAAAAAAAAAAATTTAGAGGCACAAGGGAGGCATTGAGAGAGATGAAGAGAATTTTTTTTTTTAATGACTCTGACAGTAAATGATTCTTTCTGGGGGCATGCGGATGCTTATGTGTCCACCCCCAAACTGCTCTTACACATCTTCAAAGAGGCCCTCAGAGAAGGAGAAGGGGGTCTGTGGGAACAAGATAAGGGAGAGAAAAGGTTCAGAAAGGAGAAGTTCTGATGACAGCCTTGCCCTTGACAGCAGAAGAGAAGATATCTACATTTCTGGGTAACAGATAAGGATAAAGTTGAACACCATGTCAGGTTTTTTTGGAGACTTTGTACTTCCCCATGTTGTTATTTTTGTTATTACCTTCTGTTTTTCCATGATAATTAGTCCCAAACGAAGCCCTTAAAATGGAAAGGGTCAGTGTATTTATTTTGGTGCACAGCAAGAAGGGAGTATATCCCACCCTACATTCACTCTTGAAGAAAAATGAGAACCAAGAACTTGAAAGTTTAACTGGGAAGTCTGAGAGTTCCCCAACAATCCTTAGAGCAATGCAAACCTCCTCAACTCCAAATGCTCCATGTTTTAACGTGACCTTTCCTTTCTTACCCTTAATCCAAACTTCAATGTGGGTAAAACAGGAAGAGAGAGTACCTGGATCACCATGGCAAAATCGGAGAAGGCGTCACAGAAGAGGAAGATACGTATGCGCTTCTTAATGTGGCATCATCTCTAACAAAATACTTGCATAATGCACATACATCAGCCACAGTGCCTGGGTCAGCCTCCACGGTATCTTCAGGGCAAGCATCACTTTCCATTTCCCAAAAGGAATAGCTACTTTCTATTTTGTTTTTGGAAAAGGAAGGTAGGGCAGAGTGAGCCCTAAGAGAAACATCCAGTGGAAACATGTTTTAGAGTCTGCTAGATTCACTTCAGAGCCCGTGATTCTCTTGCATGTATTCCTGAAAGTGATTATATTAACCAGACACAAATGGGAAACATTTTACATTAATGACTATAGCTGTGTTCCCTTTATCTTGCCAAAGAAAGTGTCTATATGTTTTCCTTTTATTCTGTTAATTATTCAGCATCAATGAAAAGTACCCTTGCAAAATTTTTTTACCAAAACCAGGTTTCCTATGTCACTTTCATACATAATAGGAAATGAAGACCCTGAATCAGCCCATCAGAAGCAGGAGATCCCTTTCGTCGACCTTCTCATTCCATCTCTATGCTGGAGCATTCTTGTGACCTAACCATATTGAAACTGCCTTTGCAAAATATGACTGAGACAGTGAAAGAGGTATAACTTCACCAATTCCATCTTGGTTCTAACCTCCAAGCTCTCCTTGATCATTCCTAGGCATAGGCTGAACTAACTTTGGGAGAAACTTAGTTTATAGTTTACAATTTAAAACAGACATGGTAACAGCCCTTTCCTAAAGCAGGCCTCCTTCTTGCCTGGGAACTAGATTGCCTCCGTAGGACTAACATTAGCCACAAGATTAGAAATTATGGTTTAGGAGTCACGCAACTGGAGGCTATAAGATTCTGACCCTCCCTAAACTGCTCCTAAGATCAGTGCTTGAGATATTTTGCAGACCCTGCACTTGATGGATCAGCTGGCACTACCCAGATCAATAAACTGGCTCATCTGATCCTGGGTGGCCCACCCAGGAACTGACTCAGTTCAGGAAGACAGCTTCAACTCCCTGTGATTTCATCCCTAACCAATCAGTACTCCCGGCTCCCCCCATCCACCAAGTTGTCCTTAAAAACTGCTCCAGAGTCTCGGGGAGACTGATTTGAGTAACAATAAAACACCAGTCTCCCGCACAGCGAGCTCTGTGTCAATTACTCTTTCTCTATTGCAATTCCCCTGTCTTGAGAAATCAGCTCTGTCTAGGCAGTGGGCAAGGTAAACCCCTTGGGTGGTTCCAAATTGTTTACCTTCCAGTCTTCTAGGATGACCTACCATACACATCCTCAAGAGTCTCTTGAGTAGCACCCATTTCCTTCTCTAGCTTCCCTTCCCTTTGCTTCTTGGGTTTGGGGCTGGTGGCTGGAAGGAATTAGGAGGCTATAGCCTGTTTTAGGGTAGAGTGCAGTAGAGTAGTGGTTATGAGGGTGGCCTCTGCAGTCTCACTGCCTGTATTACAATCCTTGTTTCCTCCACTTAACAGCAGTGTTGCCTTGAGCAAATATCTAAATTCCCAAAGCCTATAAAATGAGGATCACAAACCCTTAACATAGCCAGGTTGACAGTGGCACAAACCTGACTTCTGCTAAAATAACAACTAATAATCCCAAATTGGGTACCCCACTTACACTTGTCAGTAAAGACAACTGACAGCCCTAATCCTGAGTGGGCATTCCACCTGAGTGGGAAGACAACACTTCTAAGCAGCCCAGCACTTATATAATATCTAATCAATAAAGCCAGATATTGCCAGCCAATAAGAGACACTCTAAGACTTGGTTTTTTAATATAGAAGAGAGCTAGTTTGTGGTTTTAGCTTTAGAAGATGTGGTAGCCAACCCCAAGGTGGCCCCCCAATGATCTACACCTCCAGGTATTCATGCCCTTGGGTAGTTCTCTCCTACATTGTGTCAGAGTTGGTCTATGTGATGGATAGAATATGGCAGAAATGATGAAATGTCAATTACAAGGTTAAGTTACAAAAGACATTGTGGCTTCTGCCTTGCTTTCTCTTGTACTGCACTTTCTCAGGGACGCCCATTGCCATGGCTTGAGGCCTAGAGAAGAGGCCCATGAGGCAAGGAACTGAAGTCTTCTTCAGTCTTCCTACATCCAGCAAGGAACTCAGGTCTTTTCAATGAGTGCAGTCAGCTACCACTCTTGCCAAGAGCCATGAGTGTCTGTCATCTTAGAAGCCAATCCTCCATCCCAATCAAGCCTTCAGATGACTGCAGGCTTGGCCAACATCTTGTCTACAACTTCACGAGACACTGTAAGCCAGGAACGTTCAGCTAAGCTGCTCCTAGATTTCTTACCCTTGGAAACTGTGAGATAATAAATGTTTGTTGTTTTAAGCTGCTAAACTTGAGGTAACTTTTGGGAGTACCCAGCAATACACAACTAACATAAAACACTTTATCTGTCTTTTTTTTTTTTTTTTTTTTTGAGACGGTGTTTCGCTCTGTCCCCCAGGCTAGAGTGCAGTGGTGTGATCTCAGCTCACTGCAATCTGCACCTCCCAGGTTCAAGTGATTCTCCTGCCTCAGCCTCCCAAGTAGCTGGGATTACAGGCATGCGCCACCATGCCTGGTTAATTTTTGTATTTTTAGTAGAGATGGGGTTTCACCATGTTGGCCAGGCTGGTCTTGAACTCCTGACATCAAGTGATCCACCTGCCTTGGCCTCCCAAAGTGCTGGGATTACAGTCCTGAGCCACCACGCCCAGCCCACTTTCTCTCTTGAACCCCAGCCCCTAGGGCCAAAACTCCACTGTATGCCTGGTCAACAGTAAAATAAATTTCCACTCAGATCTCACACTGTGGCAATAATATGCCTATTTCATCAAGTTGGGAGGATTAAGCAGATAGTGCATGTGAAGTGTTTAGTACGAGCCCAGTACATGGTAAGCACTCAACTAATGCTATTTACCACTATTATACAGAGACATAGGCCTGTGGGTGGTTTCTCTGGCTCTTGGTGTCCAAGAGGCTTAAGGCACAGCATAATTAATGAGGACTTAGAGCTCAGGGGACAGGGAAGGAAATCCGAATGGATCTTCCCCACTCCTAGTAGCTCAGAGGGAGCAAGCCTCCAGCTGCTACAGCCAGGACTCCCTTCTATGCGGGCAGAAGGAACAGGTCAGAGAAGAAACATCCCCTTTTCTTGGTCCCTCAATTGACAAAGCAGTATGTAAAATGATAGAAAAAATGTACCAAGTGAGGAAAGGGAAAGAAACAGGAAGTTAAGGTAGGAAAGTTATCTTCATCTGCTTCTTGATTTTGCCCTGGAACTACCTCGTTTATTTTCAGCTTTCCCTGGGCCAAGCAGAATCTGTGCACAACCATGCATTCTAGAGCTTAGGACAAAGCACAAGTCTACTGTCTAGCATCTGCCTGTGGCCTAGGCCATCTCCGGTATGTATGGGCTGTAAGAAAAGTGGTAGGCTCTGGGGGTGCAAGTCAGGAGGTTTATTACTGGATCATTTATTGTCAGGGGAACCATGCCAGAAGGGAAAGGTAGTTGCTTGGAATACAAAGAACAAAGTGCAGACTCTGATCTGAAAGTCTGTCAATCCATGTGCCAAACTAAAGTAATTAGGCAGGAAATAAACTGAAGAACAATTGAGAGCCAAGAGTGGTCAGAGACAGACTAAAGTAAAATGGGTCACTTGGAGCAATCATGGAATTAATTTGGTGAATGTTGTTTATATGCTGAAGCCATTATTGTTAAATACACTAAATGTAAGCCTCACAATTTTCATCTTTTTGATCACAGTTATATTCCTAGTACCTAGATCAGAGCCTGGCGATAGTAGGTGCTTCATAAATATTTGTTAAGTGAACGAATGAATGAATGAATGAATGAATGCAAATGTGATTCAACACAGCTCGAGAAGTTGGGGTAAATTTAGAAAGACCTATTATTTAAGTATACACACAGATTTATTTTAATTTATACAGTTATGATTCACACTTTTTTTAGGGACAATCTCCCATATAACTCTGTAGCCAATGTGCATTATGCATTCTGCTTGGAGACTTGGTCAGGTTTCAAGTTCTTCCTGACTAAAAACTTTGAGTTCCACTCACCAGTTAGACAAATTAGAGTGTTCTAGCTTTGTGGGCTATGGAAATAGAAGGGAGAAACAAGCTGGCTGTTACAAATATGTCATATGAGGAAATTATAGTTTGAATTCACTGGTCAGTACCAACATATTAACAGAATTAATTGTCCTTCAAGGGTTGTAAGCTGCCATATCTTTAAGGGGTAGAAATACTCAACTAGCTGTCTAACATATGGGCCCCCAAATGATCTACTCTTAGAGAAACTCATTTGATGAGACCAACTGTTTCTCAGCCTAAGACTCTCCAGGATCACTGCATTTCTGTTGTTCCATTTGTATGAATAAACAAGAAACCTAAGAAATGTCTATATTTTCTCTGCTCTTCCCAGGCTGGACTAGAGATGTGAACTCTACTTGTTTGACAAGAATCCTTTACTCTCTACCTTTAGGACTTTCAATCATTTCAGAAATCTCTTGCTCAGTAAACAAATCTCTCTTTACAAGGAGATAATGCAGCACAAAGTTCAGCTCAGAGTCTATGCAGGAAAGACTGCAGTTACCCATCGATTGTCCACAGTCGACTTGGTTTGAGCTTCCGCAGAGCTCAACTTGGGAACAGTACTGTCACCTGGAGCCATTCTGTGCTGAATGACAGCCATCTGCTTTCCATGTGCCCTTTCTATTTGGACAAATAAAAATAATCACCCCACATGACAATCCATAAATTCATAGTTCTTCAAAGACACTTAGCCCCACTTCTGAGTAGTAAGACCTCTGACAGCAATTCTTTGGGTATCAAGAATGGATCACCTAGAGCAAACCTGCGAAATATTGAGAACGTGCATTTCTAACAAGAAAAATGCTCTTGATTCCTGTTTTGGAAACTTTTATTTTCCCATCTGTCTGTAATTGGATTACTCAGATGATGCACAAAGAGTGAGTGAACAATTATTTACATGAACCCTGGCTTAAGACCCTAAATTCTGACCATACTGATACTAGTTTAAAATAATATATGATTTGTTATAATCCTATTATTATTCCTATTCATAACATGTGTCCTTATCTTCAAAGATAATCCACTATTGAAATATTAGGGATTTGGGAGTTGCGGATAAAAGAAGTGAATTAAATTCATTCATTCAACAAGTATTATTGTACCTACTATCTTGGCCTGATACCCCTGCAGTGGGATGCAGGGGTGATTTTATATTTATTGAGGGCCATCCTTGTGACTTTCCCACTTTCATCTTCATTCAGAAGATACCTGTGTCTTTGTAGCTATCTATTAATTGATTTATAACATTATATGCAGCACTATACCAATGTGCACTATAATTACTTTTTTAAAGGTGGAGTTTTATGACTCTTATATTGTGTGCATCATGAAGTTTGGACAGTTAGCCTGGAACAAATATATTCACTTTTTTAGTTCTCCTTTCTGTCAAAGATTATTTTGTCAAAACAAATATAACAAGGAAAACACATATTTTGAGAATCAGTCTTACTGTTATTACAGTGCTGTAAAATTTGCCACTCAACACTACTGATGACCTAAATAACAACAGTTGAGAAGCAGCCAGAGTCCCAGGCTTCCCACATACCACTATTGCTTAGACAAATAAAAAGCACGTGGTGAGAAACTTCCAGCATCAAAAAAGAGAATCAAAAGCAAAGGTTTACAGCTTTGATGCTGTCTTGCCTTTGAGAAATCCCTCCAGAGGACAAACGGCACTGGGGTGACTACTGTTTAAAATAAAAGTCTTCCTAGAACCACTATGAATGCAGTGAAAAGAAACAGACTTTAATATACACACATAGCTGGGCGTGGTGGTGCACGCCTGTAGTCCCAGCTACTCAGGAGGCTAAGGGTGGGAGGATTGCTTGAGCTCAGGAGTCCAAGGCTGCAGTGAGCTATGATGGTGCTACTACACTCCAGCCTGGACAACAGAGCAAGGCCCCAACTCTAAAATAAATAAATAATAAAAATACACACATACATATGTACATCATATACATATATGCACACATATATGCACACACATATACGCACACATATATGCACACACATATGCACACACATATATGCACACATATGTATGCACATATATGCACACCTATGTATACATATATGCACACCCATGTATACACATATATGCACACCTATGTATACACATATGCATACATATATGTATACATATATATGTATACACATATACACACATATATGTATACACATATATACATATATAACTATATTATATAAAGTAGTATATGTCTGAGGGAAAGTAATGGGAAGAAGTAAGGGAACCAAAGGGAAACCGTGTGTGAACTCCTCCCACCTCAGGACTTTGAAAGGTAATACTTGGCTTTTTGAAGTAAGCACCTCTCTGAAGGGGACAGTGATCAGAATGAATTCACACCTGGTGAGCCTGTTTTGTTTTGTTAGCATAGCACTAAGCAGCAGAATATGCTGGAAACTTTCTTTGTACAAAGTGCACCTTAACTTCTGCAACTGCTGTGAAGTTGGTCATTTTAGGATTCATAATTTGGAAAAGAAAATGAAAGTACCCTGGTGTTTTTACTTATTCCAACCACTAAAATGGAAGTTTCATGAGAGCACAGATGTGCTCACAGCTATGACCCTACATCTATAAATTGATGGTCCTTAATAAATATTTGTCAGTTGAAGGCCAGGCACAGTGGCTCACGCCTGTAATCCCAGCACTTTGGGAGGCTGAGGCAGGCAGATCACTTGAGGTCAGGAGTTTGAGACAAGCCTGGCCAACATGGTGAAACCCCATCTCTACTAAAAATAGAAAAATTAGCTGGGTGTGGTGGCACGCGCCTGTAATCCCAGCTACTCAGGAGGCTGAGGCAGGAGAATCACTTGAACCCAGGAGGTGGAGGTTTCAGTGAGCCAAGATCGCACCACTGCATTCCAGCCTGGGTAACAGAGCAAGACTCCGTCTCAAAAAAAAAAAAAATTGTTAGTTGAATAAATGGAGGAAATGAAGGATCAATCAATGAGATCAATGAGTATTGAGTGCTTTCTATATGTAATGGAGAATACAGGAATAGAAGGCCTAATTGCTGCCTACAGGAAACTTTGCAACCAGATAGAGACACAAAGTTAACCACCATAAAGTGATTGGAAAACAATGTTCAATAGTAATAATGACAATAATGAAAGCTGGGTTATGAGCAGTTCCATTTGTAATGCTCTTAAGGTACTTGGAAACAGAGAGATAATGCTGAATTAGGCCTTAAAAATTGATAGGATTTAAATAACACTGCATGCTTAGTAACCCTACTCCTCCAAGTGGCACCGTGGGGATTCTGGGGCATATCCTCAGATAGTCTGGGTCTGGTTCTAATCATTTAAAAATTTTTCAAATGTGTTAAATTAATCTGTCAGATCTACCTGTAAGAGTGGCACTGCCTTCATTAGAGGAAGAAGGAAAGACAAAGAATGATTTTATAATATAGCTATGGTGACCATATATTTAGAGCTCCAACTCCAGTCATACAATAGCACATCATATTTGGAATTGAGACTCTGTAGAAAAATCTATGCTCAATAAATACTTTCAAATTGTCTGATTGATACAGATCCCATGGCCCTCGTCTCACTCATCACAGGTAATGAGTTATTGTGATATAAAGTGGATGCTGTTTCTTTGCCTTAATGATACTTCAGGAAAGTTAGCTTTCAGAGAGAGCTTTGCTGAAGACTTAAAGACTGATAAGGGTAACAAATTGATCTCCGGGTAGCCCCTTAACATCTTAAAGTCAAAAGATCAATAGATGGAATGAATCAAAGCTGTTTTGTTTGCCTAATCTGAATAGAGTTGAGGATGTAGACCTGCACAGACAGTGAGGGATCCTCTAGCTTCTCAGAAAGATTTTGTGATACCACTAAACTAACACTGCCATACCTATACATACACATTCCCAGGAGTTCCACTTAATATTTTTTGCAAGAATATCTTGAATGGCAAGACTTTTTATTTCCTACTTTACTGGCCTCTTTCTTGTTTTCTTCCTACACTGTCCTTAAGTCAGGTTGCAGATAAAATGTGTGTTTGTCTGTTATTCCAGGAACAGTCCTTGTTGAATTTAATGGAGAAATGGGGTCACACTAGGACTTTTGGAAGACATTGACAAGTGTCCTAAAATGAAAGCAATGTACAGCAAAAGTCTCTTCTAAAGCTCTCTGTGTTTTGCATTATTCTTAAGGAAAATAAAAACAAAAAGAAGACAAATCTTTTGATTGAGAAACAAAAGACAGGTACAGAAAAATATACACAAAAAATGTACAGTATAGCTTTATGAGTCATTATGGCAAACACCTTTGTAACCACCAACCAAGCCAAAAAACAGAACTCTGCCAACCCAACCCCAGCGCAGAAGCTTCTCCAAATGCTCATTCAAATTATAACCTCCTCTTTCCCCAAAAGTAACCAGTATCTGGGTACTAAAGCAATTCAATTTCTTTACAGAATTATCACCCAAATGTAATAAAACATCCTATGTGCATCCCTAGACTATTGTTTTGTCTTGTCTGTTAACATTTTTTTTTCTTTTAATTCTATTCCAAGTTATAGGTTCCTTTTCCAGTTCTCTTCTTTATACTCTATCTGTTGAGGAACCCAGACCATCTACTCCCCTACACTCTGAATGTTGCTGATTATGCACTCATGAAGCAGTTCAACCAGTTTCTCTGTCCTCTTTATGTCCCACAGATTGGCAGCTAGATCTGGGGATATGATCATACTCAACTTTGATTCCTTTGGGAAGACTAGGCGATGGTGTTTTGTTTCATATGGAGACATGTCTGCCTGTCTCTTTTTGTACCATCAGCAGCTGTTGGTGCTCAGTGCCTATGTCCATTAAATCATTGGGGGTTAAAAAGTGGTGACACTTTATATCATTTCTTTTTAATTTACTTGTTGAAATAGTTTTATATAAAGATGGTTTCCCTCATTAACTATTTAGTAATATAATGGCACTGTTCATATAAGGTAGGACAAATGCTTAATTCTTTTCCATTATTAATTTTCAAGACAATGATTTAGCTGTCTATCATCTTCTGAAGAAGACCAACTTAAAACAAACAACTATATTTATACATACATATATGTGTATAAATATATAAACTTGAACACATGTATTTAATTATAATTGATGAGTTTTAATAAATTATTATCAACTTTGAAGCTCAAATTGTTATCATCCTGTGTTTAGCCAATGGAAATCTCTTTAGGCTGGCTCCTGGGTCTTTGGACATGACCCTGGTAAGTCCTTGTTCTGTTTTTTTTTTTTTTTTTTTTTTTTTGAGACAGTCTTGCTCTATCTCCCAGGCTGGAGTGCAGTGGCACAATCTTGGCACACTGCAACCTCTGCCTCCCGAGTTCAAGCAATTCTCATGCCTCAGCCTCCCGAGTAGCTGGGATTACAGGCACCTGCCACCATGCCCAGCTAATTTTTGTTTTAGTAGAGATGTGGTTTCACTGTGTTGGCCAGGCTGGCCTTGAACTCCTGACCTCAAGTGATCCACCTGTCTCGGCCTCCCAAAGAGCTGAGATTACAGGCATAAGTCACTGCATCCAGCCAGACCCTGGTAAGTCTTGATAGGTTCCCCACTATCTAGTATGACAAGATAGTTGAGGCTCATCTTGTATATTGACTGCCAGTTATGAGTGTAATTATATTCTCCAAAATTCATATATTAAAATTCGAACCCCAAGTACCTCAAAATATGACTTCACTGAGAGAGAGAATCTTTACAGATGTAATCAAATTGAAGTGAGGTCATTAGAGTGGGCTCTAATCTAGTATGACTGGTATCCTTATGAATAGGGGAAATTGGGTCACAGAAATACATATAGAGGAAAGACAATGTGAAGAAACAGGGAGAAGAGAGCCTGGAGCTGTGAGACAATAAATTTCTGTTGTTTAAGACACTCAGTTTGTGGTACTTTGTTACAACAGCCCTAGCAAACTAATACATTTCCCAAGATTTGAAATTAGCCATTTCTCCAAGAAGCCCTGGTTTCTTTAAATGAGAATGCTATTCAAAAATCACAATCTGGCTTTCATGGGTGCTGATCACTACAGGATTGAACACTGTTTTTAGGCCTCTTCTGTGGACAGAGATATCAAGGTTGAAAAAGAAAATATCCTTAAACAAAACTGTTTTTAAAACAACACATACAGAAAAGCACACATTTTAAATAAAAAATACCTCTGAGTTAATAGTAACATTTCCAATTCAGATTCAGGACCACAGTTTTTTTGTTTGTTTGTTTTTTAATCCTCCTGTATTCACACAAGAAAGCCTGGTTCTCACCAGGCATGGTGGCTCATGCCTGTAATCCCAGCACTTTGGGACGCCAGGGTGGGTGGATCACTTGAGGTCAGGAGTTTGAGGCCAGCCTGGCCAACATGGTGAAATCCTGTCTCTACTAAAAGTACAAAAAATTAGCCAGGTGTGATGGCAGGCACCTGTAATCCCAGCTACTCAGGAGGCTGAGGCAGGAGAATCGCTTGAACCCGGGAGGCGGAGGTTGCAGTGAGCCAAGATCACACCACTGCACTCTACCCTGGGTGACAGAGCAAGACCCCCTCTAAAAAAAACAAACAAAAAAAAAACAAAAAAAACCTAGTTCTCAAGGGCAGAGAATATCTGATAATTGCTGTTTACTTTATCCTGTATTACACATATCACAGGCTCAGAAAAATATACATTTACTGAGAACAGCTAAAATCGTTTCCATATATTCTTTCCCCCTTCTCCCCTCAGTTTTAATAGATGTACTGTATTGACGTTGTCAGATAGCCATTACGTACTATGCTTTCCCTATTACCACTTGTTTAGTCTTAGTCCTACAAGTAACTATTTGCTAATGCTCATGAGCATTCCTTATGTCAATGTCTCTAATCATTTTGGTGTCTAAAGTTCATTTTCTAGCAGATTCCTCAGGGAAAGAAAGTGAAAGCAATATTCCCTGAGTTTTTGCATGTTGATAAATGTTTGTCTTTTATATTTGAAGGTCAGCTTTGATGGATATAAAATCCTTGGCTCACGTTTTCTTTGAGTGTCTCAAATATGGTACTCCCTTTTTATCTGGCATGAAGTATTATTTACAAATTTGCTAATCTGTGTTTGCCTCATAAAATCACATGGGTTTGAGGGTTTTTCTGTTTTTGTTTTTGCCTAAATGTCTAAAGATTTTTTTCCCATTTTTTTTAAGTCCATGAATTTTACTAAATTATGTCTTGGTGTTGGTTATTCTGAATGACTATTCTCAGACTATGGTGTGCTCTTTCAACATGTAACTTAAAATATTTTTTCTTGTTATATCAGGAAAGTTCTTGAATTACGGTTTTGAGTATCTGTTCAGTTCTCTCAGTTTGATTTCTCATATGGGAGACTTCCTATTATCTATATGTTGGATCTTCTTTGTCTTCAATTTTTTTCACATTCTATTGAATTGTTTCTCTTTTAACTTTTTTTATTTTTAAAATCCTTATTCCTTTCACTCTCTTTTCTCTTATGGCATTATCTGTAGTTTATTCTCTTGTATTTTTTCTAGTTAAGACTTTATTTCTTAAGTGATTTTTGTTTCTAATTCTCTGGGTTCTATCATCTCATTTCTGAGTTTTAAAAATCTGATTAATAGATTTTCCCATGTCTTACATTACTTTCTTAATGCTTTTTAGCTTATTTTGAAACTGAAAGTTACACTCTTGATGTGTTCTGTGGACACATGTCTCCAGTGTGCTTTTGTTGACTGAACTCATGTCATTCTGCTTTTTATTTTTGCATAGTAACTGATTTGTTGCTCATTTTATGTGAAAAAGGTTTTTCTGAACTTTTAGGAGACATGGTTGATGGCAGTTTTACTAACTTCGGAAAGTTCCTTGTTTTGTCTTCATAAAGTAATTTTTAAAAGTAACTATTTGCCTCCTGAGATTTTCTAGCTGTGGGTCTTCTTACCTTTGTCTCTGTTGTCTTTATCCTGATCCACTTTGATTCCAGTTTCAGAAGTCTGGGTCATGCTCCATTTTGGAAGGAAGCCCTGTTTGGTCAGTTTTATAAGTTCATTGTGGCCCAACTGTTCTAGCTCATTCCACCCTTAATATGGGCCTCTTGTATTCATCTGCTTTTGGAGTGGGAGAAAATGCCTCCAAATTTCAGCTACTATTCTCAAATAGGTCTGTTGCACTTTGCACTCACAAAATATCTGTTGGCTATTTTTCCTATTCTGTTCTTGGGTTTGTCAGGGGCTCTATTGCTTTCCTCTGCTTTCTCCCACACAAATGGCAGATCTTGCAGATATTAATGATTTGTTCTAATCTGCTTGTATAGTAGTCCCTTTTTATCCACAGAGGGTATGTTCCAAAACCCGCAGTGGGTGGCTGAAGCTGCAAATAGTTCCAAACCTTATATATACTATGTTTTTATGTTCCCATACATACATACCTATGATAAAGTTTAATTTGTAAATTAGGCACAGTAAGAGATTAACAACAATAAAATAGAGCCATTATAAAAATATACTATAATAAAAGTTATGTGAATGTGGTCTCTCTCTCTCTTAAAATATCTTATTGTACTGTGCCATGGGAAATCACAGAAAGCAAAACTGTGGGTAAGCGGGGGACTGCTGGTATTTGGGGTTTTCCAGGGATGCTTTATCACCTGATTTTATTGTAAATGTTTTTGGTTTTGCTATCTAGTGGATCTGTTTGTTGTTATGTTAGGATTTTGAGAGATTAAAAAACTGTCATTGCTGTTGTAGTCCCAGAATCTTCTCAATCCTAATACATTTTTTGGATATATATTTAAAGAACAACAGAATTCTCCCACACACCGCCCAAAACAACATGACCTCCCGACACAGCAGGTTGCATCACAGATCTTGGAGCTGGAAAAAGCCTCAAGAGATCATCCGGTTCAGCTCCCTGTGGTTAGGCAGGAAAAGCACCATCCTAAATTCAGAATAGGTAACAGAAGCACTCAGAAATTAAATAAGAAGTAGAACCTAATATTGTTTAATGGTTTTAAATTTTGGTGTTTTTTTATAGTGTTCATACAATTGAAAATCTAAATGTATAAATATATTCCACAGAATGTTACTCAAATTAAAATAAACACACAATTCCACAGTATAAACATCAAGTTTATGGTACATTTGGGTATGGATGAGTGTTAAAATTTCTGTATTTATTATAGCCATGTATTGGAAATATTAATTTAAAATATATACTTTTCAAAATAAATCTGAAAATCAGCTAAATGCAACATCCAGTTCAACCAGTTTGTGAACAGCTTTGTGAGTGAGCCAGAATATTTTAAGGCAAATTCTTGTGAATTATCTAGGGAATGAAATCTGATGATGGTAAAATACTGAACTCACAAATGATAGCTTTTTTTTTAAAGATGGTCCTCCATAATAATGAAAATAAATAACTGTAATACAAGATGAAAATAACCTAAAAGTAAACAGAACATGTCATTAATAGAGTCCTTCATTATCTAGCGTAGCCTGTAATGGAGGAAACAGCAAGTGTAATTCTCTTATCTTACCATAGGCAGTAAGCACACACTGTAAAATCCATCTCTTCATTTTCTGGTTGAAAAGATCATTGTAGAAAAGGCCTGCCAGGGAGTAGAGGTCATGCTGATTTATTGGCAATTAAACCTGCAGGATTTCTGCACTCCCTTCAAAACAAAGTATCTGAGTCTATTCAGCCAGGATGATTACATAGTGGGCTATCTACTAAAACCCAGGAGTCTTTCCCTTAGTGCACAACAGATACAATTGACTTGGCTGTATTTAGAAAATTACTGCTATTTTCTGTGCAGACTCTTGTTGTATCTTCCTAAAATCGCCTCAGCCCAAAGAATTACCTTGTTAGTCAATTTAATAAAGCAGAATCTTACCAAGTGATATATGATTCAGCTTGGAGGCATAAGAACTTCGGTAAAAATACTAACAGGGACTCACTTGAAGCAAATGAATGTATTGCTGAATCTATGTAATCTGTCTGTGGTGACTCAGACCTAGCTTTCTGAATGTTGACTAGTTTGAGATGATGTTTTAGAGTTTGATACTCAAAATTAATTAGCTTTTATCCATTTCATGTCTAGACACAAACCAAGTTACTTAGGTTAGCTGTTTAAACCACAGACACTACTTACATATGGACATTTTACGCAGACGCATTTTACGTATAGATATTTACATATAGACAAGCAGGCTCAGGTGCTAGGAATGATGGAATCTCAGCAATACAGGTAAGGTAGGAAAGAGGAAGAAGGTAGAAATAGGATGGGTGAGAATGGAAAAAGTGACCAAATCAGCATTTCTGCCTCTGCCCAACCCCATCTACCAGAATGAATATGTTTATACCTGAGTTAGTTCTCCTTAGAAAGAAGAAGATTGCTACTGTACATTGTACCATACAGGACCACCTGCGTCAGGCGCTAGCCTGCCACCACCATTCCTAGCTTCCTCTTCCTTCCTGCCAGCCTGTGTGGCTATGGTCTCATTTATTCATCCATCCATTTATTCAGTAAATATTTTTTGAGATTTTAATATGTGTCAATTACTGTTCTAGGCCCTTGAAATATACCATGCCTCTGTAATGCATTGTTTTTTTCTTTACTTTTTTACTTATAAAATTCTTTTTTCTTTTTTTTTTCTGAGATGGAGTCTCACTCTGTCACCTAGGCTGGAGTGCAGTGGCACAATCACAGCTCACTGCAACCTCCACCTCCCGAGTTCAAGCGATTCTCCTGCCTCAGCCTCCCAAGTAGCTGGGACTACAGGTGCCCGCCCCCATGCCTGGCTAATTTTTATATTTTTAGTAGAGATGGGGTTTTATCATATTGGCCAGGCTGGTCTCGAACTCCTGACCTTGTGATCCACCTGCCTCAGCCTCCCAAAGTGCTGGAATTACAGGCATGAGCCACCGCGCCCGGCCTTTTACTTATAAAATATTAAATAAAAATGATACATTTATTTTAGAAAATAAAAATGAATATAAGGATGATATTTTAATCCACATATAATCCCAACAAATACTGTTAAACATTTCACTGTATATCTTTCTGATCTTTTTACCTCTTCTGATGTTTTTAAGTTGAAATATCCAGGCATACAAAATATTAAAGATCAATAAAACAAACACTCATGTGTCCATTACACAGTTTAAAAATAAAATATTACACTTTTGAAGATCCCCTTCCCAGTTGTATTCAACTGCCTCACTGTCAGGAGCTACCACTATGGTAAAATGTTTTTTTCTATTTTTGACCATATATGTTATGTAGCATATTTTTATTATATACTTGTGATATATAGGACTGTTTTGCATATTTTTAAAACTTTATGTAAATATTATTCTGAATATATTCTCCTGTAATTTGCTTTTTATCTCTCATCATTTTTGAGATTTATTAACATCAATGTATATAGCTCTACTTTATTGATTTTAACTGTTGCATCACAGATATTCCAGGGATGAATACACCATGATTCATTTATTCTTTCTCCTATGGATTGGCATGTAAGTTGTTGCCAATATCTTTCTGTTAAAAACATGGCAATGACTGTTCTATTCCTGTCTCCCTGAGCACATGAGGGAGACTGTCTCTAGGGTATATAGCTAGGAATAAAATTGTTGAGAAAAAGGGTGCAAATTACACGGATATTACCAAATGGCCCTTTGAAGTGGTTGCATTAACTTACACTACTACAAGTAATATTCACATAATGTACTCTTTATGTATAAATAAATATATACATGCCCACATTCACACATATGTCATATGTATATGATGTGAATAAGGTATATGTATCAGAGCTCAGAAGATCCAAGGCCAGATGGTCCTATCAGCATTTCTTTTCTTTTCTTCTTTGTCCTGTTTCATGTCCTCTCACCTTCCTGTCCTTCAAGATCCACCTCCAGTCCCTCAGGAGGCCTTGTTTGTCACCAGGTTCCATACATCTCTCCTTTCCCTGACTTCCCGAGGCTGCCGCTCACATGCACTCACCATCCAGGGGGTGTATTTAGTGTTTTAGGACTTATGCTCCAGCTCTACATCATAAAATCAGCTCTTCAAAGGCAGGAACCATCCTGAGGATCTACTGGCCTCTCCCAGAATCCAGTGCCACATTCATGATGAACCCACCATGTTCTTGATGGGGTTAGTGAATTGTTGATGGAGTGAAGGCAGTTTCATTTTCCTCCCATAGAGAGGTCAGGCCATATTCTTGGAGCAACTTCTTAGGAACAGCTGTCCTCTCCTATATTGGTAATACTTGGAACCACCTAAGATGTTCATCTTCATACCCTTTGTCCCAACAATTTCATTGCTGTTATATACCCTAGAGAAAACCCCTCAGGTGTGTTCCTGCCTTTCTCTCACACTCTCCTCTTGGTGAATTCCCAAGGCAGCAACATGTACTTAGGCTAATCTTCCTGAAGCTACTACAAGTGATAAGACTGTTCTTTCAAAACCACAGGCACAAATACAGACTCAGAGTTCACCTTTGTTCAACTTAGAAGAACTCTATTACTGACAGCCTTCAGTCTGTTCAGTTACCCAAGTATATTCTATTCTTAGTTCTGGGTCCCTGAGAAGTCTGGATTCTCCTGTTTCTATTTCTAGCTATCTTCTAGTCTTCTGCAATATCCTGAGCAATATACCCTTTCTGGCATGTCTAATCCCAAACCTTGTTGCGTTTCCCTCAATAGGATATCAAATATTCAGACGTATTTTCTTATCAGATTTTTCTTTCTTTTGTTTTGACAGCAACATGGTGTAGTGAAAAGAAAGCAGGCTTTGGAATGGATAGAACTATACTTGAATCTCTGCTCTATCACCTTATCATGTTATGTCAAGCAAGTTACGGAACCTCCATCATTTGTCAGGTAGGGAAATCTGTCTTATGGTTGCTGAGAGAATTAAATGAGATAACATAGGTTAAGTGTGTTTATCATAGTGTCCTGCATATAGTAGATGCTTGATAATGATTCACGTCATTCATTTCATTTTCCTCCCTCCCTCTGAATTATCAACAGGTATTTCTTCTTGAATAGAGATGGAATAGGAAGTCATCTTCCTACTTGAATAGAGATGGAGTAGGAAGTCATCTAAGTGACTGGAAAGGACTCCATTACAGCCCACCCAAAATAATCTCTACTCCTATTTGCATCACAGAAATTCTACCAGTACCAATTACCAGTTAATTATTTTGTACTCATAATTGACGAGTATTTAAGTACCTTCATTACCTTAGGCAAGTTTATTAGGCACTTTGTCCCAGGACAGAGAAAACCAATGTGAACCTGTTGCCAAGAAATTTAGTGGGGCACTAAAAGGGACACTCATCTGACCAGTTGGGCTGAGAGACCTATTTAGTATTTGGTATCTCCTAAATATAAATGTTTCTGTTGGATAATTATATATCTATGCTTATACTGGCACACATATAGAAACCAATGGTGTCATTACACCAGAGATATCTGCCTCTCTGTGAATGTGTTTTTTATCACGGCTTTCTATAAATATTTTTAGACTATTTCAAAATAACATATTACGTAAAATATTTAATTACATTTTTATAATAAAAACCTCTATTATCAGTAAGATTGTATCAATAAGATCCAGTATTAATTTCCTTCCTCTGTATATCCACAGCAAGGTAAATGCTTTGAATGGTAAAGCAGCTAGAAAAAGAGTTAGTTCTTTCTGAACTACTTAACCGAGAAAGCTATTGGAAGGCCCCAGACACACTTAATTATCAAAGTAGAGCTATCCTAGATCACCGCAGGACTTGGGGAACTTGAGACTAAGAAAAAAGAAATCACTCATTAGGAAGTGTGAGAAATGTCTTAGGGTTGATTTTGTTTAAATGCCAATGTGAACTGATCATTAGCATTTGCGAGAGCTGTGCAAATAACACCACCTAAGGGTCTAAACCAATGCGGAATTGTTACAGAGCAATTAATTCACTTCCAAGCCTTTTGTATTACCTCCACCTTATTTCCCTAGTGTAGATAGACAATTTGTTTTTTTAAAAAAAAAAAAATCAACCAAAAACTGTGATATTCTGCCAACAAGATTACAGGGGTGAAAGAACAACCCCCTAGTCAAATGCAAATTGTAGTCATATTAGCATGTTAATGAGCTAAGTGATAAACTGTGGGTCAAATTTCCCCTTCTCAGCTTAAATAGCACTCCAGAAGGGCTTATTTTAAAATGTTTGGGAAACCTAGGGACGGCAGCAATTAAGGATTATTATGTGAACATGATTTGTTCAGCAATATGAAAAATTAATAGATGGGACTTAACTAAAATGAGACATAATTCTTCCTAATGATTTACAAGTTATCAAGAAACATACCTTAAAGAAGATATATTTAACTGTTCTAAATTTGGAGTGAAGTCTTTTCAAAATTTCTTATATTGAGGTTTTTAAAATTTAAATCTGTTTTATCTAGTCGAAGGAAATTTAAGGAAGAGCCAAAAAGGAAAATAGAAGACAATGACATGTTTAGGGATATCAATTTCTCTTTCTTGACCACTTATCAAAGAAGTCTTTCTTGATTAAATCTACTCCCATTACCCGATCTCACCCTTACAAAGCAGGTTTGTGCTTTCATAGAATTTTTCATATTCACTAGCTTTTACATGCTCATGTTCATTTTATAAGCAGGTTTCATTGTATTTTACAGTGCCTAACTCAGCTTCTCGCCTGCTGGTCAGGCTCTGGAAAGCTGAGTGAAAACAGAAGGCAGCCAGAAGGTGCTGTGGGGACAACTTGCAATAGTGTCACATGGCCCTCCTCCCTCTTTCTATGTGCCCATGTCCACCTCTATCCTTGTTGCCACTTCCAGAAGCTTTGTAACCATGGGCAAGTTACTGAATCTCCCTGGACTTCAACTTTGACATTTGTAAAGTAGAGATGATAAAGCTTTAGGTCCAAGGCAGTGGTCTCAGCCTTGGCTGCGTAATGGAATCATCTGAAGAACTTTAAAAAATACTGATGACTATGTTGGATACAGTGAATTCTGATTTCTCTTCAAAGAATCAGTATGTCAGTATGTTCAGTTCTTTATCCTCCATTTTAAAGTTTAACTTCCTCGTAGTTTCAGTAAACAAGCTTTTCCACCAGTTTTAATCAGTATTTCACATCTGTTCCCCTGGTCACCTGCTCTGTCCTGACTCATCCCAGTCACCTGCTTTGACCTGAGTCACCCCTGGTCACCAGCTCTGACCTAAGTCACCTTTAGTTACCTGTTCCTAACCGTCCTTCCTGCAAAACTACCCACCCTGCCACTCTGGCTGATACCCCTGCTCTCTTTAAAATAGCCAATCAGAATTAGCTTAGACTGTGTGGTCCAACCCTCGCCAAGAGGGGAAGGACACAGCAGTAGGGGGCTACCTGCATCAGGAATAAGAACCCCTTCCCCTCCCTTGTTCAGGTATGCTCTTGCCATTACTCCATTCGTGACTCGCACCCTTCTATAGAAGTAAAAATTGCATTGCTGAGAAAATTAAATTTATGTTTGAGTGCTATTTCTTTGCGGCTCCAAGGAACAAGCATTTTGTTTCTAACAATCGAGGAACAGGCATTTTGTTTCTAACAACTGGGTGCATCCCAGAGCTTCTAAATTCATCAGCGTGGTTGTTGCCAGGGAATGGGAAGCTTTAAAGCTCCCCAGGAGATTGTAATGTCCAGCTGAGGTTGAGAACCGATATTCTAAGGAGTGTTATGATAATTAAATGAAACAGAGGGGAAAAAAGCAGCCTATAAGTAGTAGGAGGTAAAAAATAATTTGTTTCTTTCTTTCTCCAGTTAGTTTTACTATTTATGTTGATAGCTGTATTTGATCCTAGCTAGAAGCTGAGGGACAGAGAAAGAATTTTGTTCAAAGATTTTTTTTTAACTTTCTATTTTGAAATAATTTTAAACTTATAAAAAAGTTGCAAGAACAGTGTAAAGAATTCCCATATACCCTTCACCCAGGTTTATCAATTGTTAACAATCTACTACATTTGCTGTATCACTCCTCCATTCTCTGTATGCACTTTTTTTTTTCTGAACTAGTTGAGAGATAGTTATAGAAAATATGTCCCTTTACCCCTAAATAGCATATATTTACTAAAAACAAAGAAATATAACCACAGAGACAATTATTTGGAAAATTTAATATTGATACAATGTTAATATCTAATCTATTGTCCATATGTAATTATTTCTAGTTTTCCTAATAATGTCTTACGGCATCCTCCCATTACCCTTCTCTATCCTCACCCCCTTCAGGATTCAATCCAGGTTCATACATAGTAGTTGGTTGTCATGCCTCTTTAGTTTCTTTTAATATGGAATAATTCTCCTTTTCACAACACTGACTTTTTTTTTTTTTAATTACAGGCTAATTGTTTTGTATCCCATGCCATCTTTTTTGGTAAGCATATAATTAAATGCTTTTTATTAAACTTACAGGTGTGCAATCATCACTAAAACCCAGCCTTGAACATGTTTATCCCCCTCAAATGTTCCATTTTCCCCCATTCCCACCCCCAGCCCTAAGCCACCACTGATTTGCTTTCCATCTCTGTAGTTTTGCCTTTTTCAGAATGTCATATAAATGGAATCATACAATATATGGTCTTTATGTCTGGCTTCTTTTACTTAGCCTAGTGTGTTCGAGGTTCACCTACTTGTAGCATATCTCTGCAGGTTGTTCCTTTTTTATTGCCGAATAATATTCTAGTATATGGATATGCCACACTTGTGGGCAGCTTCTAAGATAGTCCCCAATGATTCCTACTTCCTAGTATTCATGCCCTTGTGTAATTCCCTCCCATTGAGTATGGGCTGGACCTAGTGCCTTACTCGTAATGAACAGGATGTGGCAGAAGTGATGGAATGTCACTTCTGAGACCTGGTTATACAAAGACTATGACTTGCATCTTGGGAGCTCTCATTCTCTCTCACTTTCTCAAGCCCCTTGGACTGTGTAGCCATGTTGTGAGCAGCCCTATAGAGAGGTCCACATAGCAAGCAACTAATTTTTCTGGGCAACCACCAGTGAAAGCTGGAGGCCTGCTAGCACCACGTGAGTTAGCATGGAAGCAGATACCCCTTCTCCATAGTACAGTCTTCAGATGAGACTATAGCTCTGGCCAACACATTGACTTCAACCTCAGGAGAGACTGAGTCAGAGTTACCCAGCTAAGTAAGGTAGATTTCCTGTTGTTTTTAGGCATTACATTTTGGGGTGATTTGTTCACAGCAATAGACAATTAATATACCACATTTAAAAAAATCTATTCTCTGCAAGATGGACATTTGGATTGTTTCTGGGTTTTGACTCTCATGAATAACTTTGCTATGAACATTTACACACATGTCTCAAAGGATTTTTTTTTTTTAAATGGCACCAAGCTCACCTGGCTTGTACTACCCCTACTGTTCCAAATACAATTTTGTTCTTTTTCAACTTGTTTCCTTGTTTAAAGCACTCTCTTATTCTGTCAAGTAAAATTGTGCAATCTACCACCTATGCACTTCGGTAATATCTGAAATCAAGAACACATGCTGGAGAGTAAATTGACCAAATTTTAAAAGCCATTCAAGTCCAATCTATACAGAGCCCCTACTACTTCTTGATAGGGTATTAATGTTTCAGGATATTAAAATATTATTTGGGAATAGTGGTGACAAAACATACATCTCTTAGAAAAAAAACATGTTTAATCTATTACACTTGCACAGTAGTCCTTCATTCCTTTAACTCTTAACAGAGGATACAGTTACCATGACATGTGTCTTTGTCTATTTTGTGCTGCTATAACAGAGTAATACTGACCGGGTAATTTATAAAAAACAGAAATTTATTTCTCTCAGCTCTGGACGCTGACATCTTGTCTGAAAAGGGACTTGTTGCTGCATCCTTCCTGACAGAAGGGCAAGCTAACTGACCATTGCGTGAGGCCTCTTTTATAAGGGCCTTAATCCCATTAATGAGGGAAGAACCCTCATGGCCTAATTACGTCTTAAACACCCTACTTTTTAAGACTAGCACTTTAACAACACCTGAATTTTGGAGGAGACACATTCAAATTTAGGATTTTGTTTGCATAAGCAAGACATGAGCCATTGTATTAGTTTGTTTTCATGCTGCTGATATAGACATACCCAAGACTGGCGGAAAAAAAAAGAGGTTTAATTGGACTTATAGTTCCACATGACTGGGGAGGCCTTACAATCATGGTGGAAGGTGAAAGCCACTTCCTGCATGGTGGCCACAAGAGAAAATGAGGAAGCTGCAAAAGGGGAAACTCCTGATAAAACCCTTCAATGCATTACATTTTATTTAATCCTTACAACTTTTATTTAATCATCACAACTTCATGAGGTAGATCCTCATCACAGGAAGGCCTTTTTGCATAATTCCATGAGGTGCCATTCACATTGTGATCTTTGTGAATGGGATCCCTGAAATTGTGTACTGCTCGGCTGCCTATTGGTATTATCTATTGCAATCTCCACTTTACAAATGAAGAAGCACAGAAAGGTTAAGTATCTTGCCCAGGCTTCCCAAGCTTGTAAGTGGTAGAGCTAAGATTTGCATTTAGGGTATCAGGTGTCTTCCAGGGTGATATGGTTTGGCTGTGTCCCCACCCAAATCTCATCTTGAATTGTAGTTCCCACAATCCCCATGTGTCGTGGGAGGGACCTGGTGGGAGGTAATTGAATCACGAGGGCATTTACCCTTATCCTGTTATCATGATAGTGAGTGAGTTTTCATGAGATCTGGTGGCTTTATAAGGGGACTTTCCCCCTTTGCTCGGCACTTCTCTCTCCTGCTGCCATGTGAAGAAAGGTGTGTTTGCTTCCGCTTCCACCATGATTGTAAGTTTCCTGAGGCCTCCCCAACCATGTGGAACTATGAGTCAATTAAACCTCTTTTCTTTATAAATTACCCAGTCTTGGGTATTTCTTCATAGCAGCATGAGAACGATCTAATACACAGGGTAAGAGCTCTTAACCACTGCGCTCTTGCATAGAATCTTACTGTTTGGCTAAAATGAAAAAGGTTATGTTAGATATACTTCTTAGATGATTATTTCTAGGGCATTGTTTCTCAAGCGGTGGTCCCTGGACTGGGAAGATTATCATCATGTGGGAGCTTGACAGATATTTGAACTATCATGACCCAGCTCCATCCCAGATGTATTGAATCAGAAACTGGGGGTAGGACCTAGCAATCTGTGTTTAACGAGCCCTCTAGCTGATTCCGATGCATGTTAAAGGATGAGAACTATTGTTTTAGGAAATAACTTAGTTTTTTAAATGAAAAAATATTTTTAAAAACATGTTTTCATTTGTTTTAGAGCAATTTTCCTACTCAGATAAGTTTAAGTGTTGAATATACTCTTGATCTGTACTTTAAGAATTCTAAACTCACAGAATTCAAGGAAAAGGCAAGGGTGGGAACAGGGCAATCATCCTCTTGGGCTCCTCTTTAAAAATGATGTAGCTACTCACTCCCTAGGTCTGTGTGTCTCCTCTCTCAAATGTTGAAACAAGGAGAAATTAATTTGTTTAGCTGTGCAGTGGGGTGCATCTCTTTGGGGCATCAAATTATTCATCCATGACTGCCTTACCGAAGTCCAGGGGAGGGGGTAGGGTCACATAGTACAAATGGGCCAGTAAAGTCTCTGTTGTGATGGAAGCAGGAGTCAAAATCTTTTGGAATAGAGCATGGATATAATTAATTCATCTCCAATACACAATTTACGTTTTATGTTATATAATATCAAATAGACAAGAATGTATTTTATTCCATCACATTTTTCTTACTTAACATATTGCATTTGAGTTTCTAAAGTTGTTTGGGAAAGGAGGAAGACATAGGTGTGGCCAGAGATCAGAAGTCCAATGCAACACAGCAATTGGTGAGGTATTCAATGCATTTTTCTGTTAAATGGCAGCACAGACACCAAAGAAAGGCCCAGTAAATAAAAGGGATAAATCATTCCATTAGCCAGATTAACTGAATTAAGATTGGTAATTTTTCTTTTAGGGACCTGAAGATATATTTTAAAAGAATGCGAAATGCAGTATTTGCTTATAAGAAAATAAAGTCGGCCAGTCGCAGTGGCTCACGCCTGTAATCCCAGCACTTTGGGAGGCCTAGGCCAGCGGATCACCTGAGATCGGGAGTTCGAGACCAGCCTGACCAACATGGAGAAACCCCATTTCAACTAAAAATACAAAATTAGCTAGGGGTGGTGGCGCATGCTTGTAATCCCAGCTACTCAGGGGGCTGAGGCAGGAGAATTGCCTCAACCCTGGAGGCAGAGGTTGTGGTGAGCCGAGATCGTGCCATTGCACTCCAGCCTGGGCAACAAGAGCGAAACTCCATCTCAAAAATAAATAAATAAAAATAAGAAATAAAGTCAATGGTAGTTTACACTTTCTCAAAGTGACATAATCAGTGGTGGAATTATATATTGTATCTAGCTATTTCCTGAACAATCTATCACCTTTGAATAAACCCTGCCTGGGCCTTTTTGGTCCTGGCTGCCCTGTTTCTGCTATACTGCATTCTCACCGGCCCCAGTTTATTGGATCAGAGGTGGATATCTGACCAAGGAGAAACAAGCTATTTCAGCCAATCAGACTCTCTGACTCAATATTTTAGTACCTGAACTGCATTAATGATGCAGCACTGGACTCTTTGTACTGACAGTCCAGAACTGTATTGATTCTTGTCTTTCCTGAGATTATTCCATTTCCTTTTCCTTGTAGACCATGGGGTGATATTTTTATAATGCTCCTTTTAAAGTAATTTATTATTTAAAGACACATATACAGATGGTAAAATCTATAAAGAATAACGAGAATAATTATCTCAAAGAGCAGCATAATGGTTGCCTCTGAAGGAGAGGGAGGGAGATATTTTCAGACAGGGGCAAATATGGACTTTTTTTTTTTTTTTTTTTTGGACAAGAGACTCGCTGTGTCGCCCGGGCTGGAGTGCAGTGGTGCGATCTCAGCTCACTGCAAGCTCCGCCTCCCAGGTTCACGCCATTCTCCTGCCTCAGCCTTCCGAGTAGCTGGGACTACAGGAGCCCATCACCACGCCAAATAAGGGCCTTTTAAGGTACAGCTGTGCTGTATTCATTACCTGATGGTGGTTACTCTAGAGTTACTTTTAATATTCGTACATGTATATTTCATATACTCTTGTTCCATAAGACGCAATTTCTCAAAGATTTTTAACTTGAGCTAATTTAGTGGGTTTCTATTCCTTTCAAGCAAACATATTTCAAGACCCATTATTATTTCAAGACCTATCATTATTAAAGATAATTTAGTAGTAGTGGTATTCATTCAAATAAATAAAGTGTGTGTGTGTGTCTGTGTGTGTTTAAAGCATGCTATTCAAATCTCACTGAACTCTAGGATTAGAATAAACCTTAGGAATGTTCTAGCTTGTTCAAGGTCTAACAAAAGAAAAGAAAATTGAGAGCCAACTCAGAATCCTGAGATTTTTCTACCAAGCTACATCACTTTCCTAATACAAGAGACAGCAATCATATCAGCAAGAAATGCATATTTCAAAGATTAAATTATTTTTAATGCTTATTTTATTCTTAGAAAACTTAACTGCTGGCCGGGCGTGGTGGCTCATGCCTATAATCCCAGCACTTTGGGAGGCCGAGGCGGGTGGATCACAAGGTCAAGAGATCGAGACCATCTTGGCCAACCTGGTGAAACCCCGTCTCTACTAAAAATACAAAAAAAAAAAAAAAAAAAAAAAAAATTAGCCAGGCATGGTGGCAGGTGCCTGTAATCCCAGCTACTTGGGAGGCTGAGGCAGAAGAATCACTTGAACCCAGGAGGCAGAGGTTGCAGTGAGCCGAGATCATGCCATTGCACTCCAGCCTGGGCAAAAAGAGCAAAACTCTGTCTCAAAAACACAAAAACAAAAACAGAAAACTTAACTGCCTCAGTACTGAAAATAAATTATCTTATGTAATATAACATCTATACATAAGCAACATTTTATATCATGATTGCTGGATATCAAGAACATCCAGAAAAGAAATTACTGCAATTTAAAATGGAATTTTACTGACAACTACTAAATTTTCTTTCCTGCTTATTAATGTTAAATCATATAATAAAGTGAATTTAATGACATAGTGAGTCTTATGAGTATGAGAAACATTGCTTCCTCTTTGCTAAACCCATCACATGTAATTGAAGATTAATAATACCACATGTTGTAAAAATTGGCTTATTTTCATTAATGGAAGTCATATCACCATTTCTGATGTTATGTCCCGTTACCTAGAAAGAAAAAAGAAGCAGAATGCCTACAGGCAGGACCTGCTATGTAATTTGCAGGGCCCAGTGAAAAATGAAGATATGGGTGCCTTGTTCAAAAAGCAGAGGTGGGAGTGCCATTAAGGGTACTAAAATATCAAACTTTTCTTTCTTCAGATGTTTCTCTTTCTCTCAACTTGTCATGGTGTTTTTTATTTGCTACTTAATGTTGTGCTCCCTTGCAAGGGGAATGCTTAGAGGGCAAATGGAGACACTCACAGGTGCCCGGGGCCCCATTCCTGGATTTGCTATGTTTTCACTGTCTACCAGCTGCCAGGTTCACCCGCTTATCAGCTGCAGGACCAACGTGCTGCACCCTGCAAAGAACAGGAAGTCAACCTCCCCTTCACATGGCCTGCCACTAATCCACAGGATACAGGCACCCTCCTTCAAGACCATAACCTCCACACCAGGAGACATTCAGTACCCAGATCATGGGTGGGCGAGAGACTTGACCCTGCCAAGACACCCATCAAATGTGCCATGGTGCTAACAGCCTAGAGCAGGGATGCTACAGTCATGCCCAGGCCCAAGATGCTACTAGGTGCATGTACCCTACTCAGACCTTTCCCAAACATACCATGGTCCCTGCTGGAGGCAGAGGGTGCCAGCAGACCGCAATCCCACCTCCATGACCTGGTTGCTACCCTGGGTAGAAGTGGTCACTTGGCAGGGGCAAAAAGAAGGAGGCTGGGCAGGGTTTTGGCTGCTGGAACATGGTAGAGCTAGCAGCTGAGAACCCCTCCTGGGAGGCAAGGAGATGGCAAGGGGGGGACATGTGTGAGCCAAGGTTCCAAGCCCCATCATATGCTCCATTGTCTCATCAAACTTCACTTAAAAACACAAAATCAAAGATAAAGATTTTTAAGGAGACTGCAGACATTAAACCCCAAAAGCAGGGCCCTTCTGAGCACCAGGTCCTATGGAACTGTACTGGTTACACCTATGAAACCAGCCCTATCTACCGAACTATATAGTTACTTCCAGGGCATGACAAAAATGAGATCACAGATACCTGTGTATATTTACAGGTATGTATTTATATCTGCTCTGAAATGTCTTTTTAGATGAAAATAGTATTACTGGTAGGATTCAAGTCAAGGTACAGTGCCAACCAGTCAAAATGATGAAGGTAATTCTTCCATAAACATATAGCTTTGATAAAGAAACAGATGGGAAAACATTGTGTACAAAAAAACTTTAAAATTTCTAAGGATTTTTTGCTATTACATGAAACACAGATGATTATGTGTCTAATTTTTGGAGTCTCTCAGTCAGTCCTTCAGTTACAAGGAGTCATCATTTCTGTTTCTCTTCCACATTTCATTTAATAGTAATCCTCACCAATCCTCAATGCCCAATCAAATTCCACCTTTTCTTTAAGGCCTTCTCCAGCTATCCCAATGTTATCCTTGGTTTGTTTGTCTCTTTTTTACCACTGGTAATTGTTAATTACCTTCCAACAATATGTGTGTTGTGTTTCCAAACGAGACCTTTACTTTCTTTGAGGAGAAAATTCGGATTCTCTAGTATTCTCTGTGTTCTTTATTTCTTTATCTCCCTACTCAGGGTTTAAGAGTCTGTCTTGTATTGTGTATACCTAATCACATTCTTTTTTTAAATTAGGGCTCCAAATTGTCTACATTGTTAAGAACTTGCTTAAATGACAGCAAACTCTCCATTGGAAATAAGAGGCCAGTAGGAGATGAGGCTGTATGTGAACATAAAACCTTAGGCCAAAAATCATATTAGGCAAAAATGTGATGCAATCTAAGAGAACATGATACAGTCTCTCACACAAAGGGCCAGCACCTTCCACTCTGTCCCCTCCCCACGACCCTGAGCACATGCTGTGGTGCCAATGCCTGTTTAACCCTGTTGGCAATATACTTGACCTCCAAGCACTTCTGAAACTCCACTTTCATCCTAACTATGAATGCTTTCCTTTTGTCTTCTTTTCTCAAGGCTTTGCTCACTGTTTATTAAAGAAACTAACCTCAATAAGTGAGTTAATGAAAGATGGAATAAACCCTACCAATTTCTCCCTTCTTAGGTGACGTTATACATTTGTAAAAGATGTTTTGGGGAGTCAGATTCTTCACCCAAAAGGAGCACTCTCATTATGTGAATTTTTGTCACTTTTATGGTCCCTCTCCCAACATCTTCCCTTGAATACTTGAACAGGTCCTTATTAATTCTGCTAATCCAACACCTAAAATTTTTCTTATGTAACCCTGCCATGGGAAGCCTCCATTTTTGCTCCATGCCAACCTTAAAGTAAAAATCAGAATACGTTCAAATCCCTTCAAAAGAAAACCCACCCTTTGGCCGGGTGCAGTGGCTCACACCTGTAATCCCAGCACTTTGGGAGGCCAAGGTGTGTGGATGGCGAGGTCAGGAGTTCGAGACCAGCCTGACCAATATGGTGAAACCCCATCTCTACTAAAAATACAAAATTAACTGGGTGTGGTGGCATACACCTGTAGTCCCAGCTACTCGGGAGGCTGAGGCAGGAGAATCGCTTGTACCTGGGAGGCAGAGGTTGCAGTGAGCCAAGATCATGCCACTGCACTCCAGCCTGGGTGATGGAGCAAGACTCCATCTCAAAAAAAAAAAAAAAAAAAAAGAGAAAGAAAGAAAGAAAGAAAAGAAAACCCACCCTTCAAATATTTAAAGCAATGGAGATTTTACTGAAGATTTTGTAAAGAAGCCAAGGGAGGGCTTTATAAACCATACTCTACAGCACACAACTTTATTAATGCCCCCTTCATTTTTCTTCTTTCCCTTGTTCCACCAGTGGAGTGGGGTGGGTAGAGAGTTTTCGATGTTTTCCCATAAAGGGCCAACTCACAGATCGTTCCCTATGTGCTGCTATTTCCCTTCTCTCATTTCTTCACTGCAATAGTCCCTACACAGGCTACTGGCCTCAGGATGAGTGCCTCTCAGCCAATGTATCAGACGAAGCAGTCCTAAAAATAATGGATATTTGGAAATAAAGTTCTGTTCTGTTCACAAATTGGGGAATGCTAATGACTAGAAAGGGAGTGGAAGTGGTATAAGTACTATCACACAACATAAGGAAGATGAACTCTTAGGTGAGGAAATGTGCACATCAGTTTAAAGTAGAGTTATATTTAGGACATGGGAATTTTTATGTTAGTATCAAAAAGAAATTAAAAACAGAAGTAGAAAGAAAATGGAAAACCCCTCAATTCATGTAATTATTTGCTTTCTTAAATGATTGTCAATTTGGCTTAGTCTTTGCTCAAATAAGACAGTACAACAAACACATGTAAAACTAGTAAACACAAAACGAATTAATTGATTCAACAAATATTTGTTGGGTGTGTATTATAAGCCAAACAGTGTTCTAAATGCTTGGAACACACCAGTGAAGCAAATAAACACTGCAGCCCCTGTGAGGCTTATGTTTTAGTAGGGGAGACAGAATTAACCAAAATATAATAAATAAGCTACGTAATGTGTTGAAAGATGATTGCTGTGGGAAAAATAGAGTACAACAAAGAAAGGGGATTGGGATTCCTGGGTTGTGGTTGCAGGTATTAATAATTTGCAGTATTAAATAAGAAGGGCAAGGCAAGCCTCATTGAGTAAGTAAAATTTGAGCAGAGACTTAGAAGAGATAAGAGGGTTAGCTAAGCAGGTATCTGGGGGAAGAACATCCCTGGCAGAGAACACGGCTGATCTGGCAGGTTATGCCTGGCACTGTCAAGAAAGAGCAGGGAGGCCAATGGTGTGGGGAGGGGTAGTCAGATCATGTAAAACTTTATGGGCTATTACAAGGACTTTGGTATTATTATTCTGAGTGAAATGGGAGCCATTGAGGAGTTTTGAGCTGAGGAGTGACATGAAATGACAGATTTTAAGAGGATCACTCTGGCTGCTGTGTTAAGAAAATACTCCTGGGGGCAAAACTAGAAGTAGGGAGTTAGGAGGCTATTCAAGTGAGAGGCTATTCAGGTGAGAGATGACTGTGGCTTTGACAAGGGTGGTGGCAGTAGAGGTAGGAAGAAAGGATCAGGTTCTAGATATAATGTATTTTGAAGGTATGAAAAAAACCAAGATGGCTCCCAGGTTTGAGCCTTATACAACCAAAAAGAGAGACTGAAGCAATTGACCATCATTACTAAGAATGCCTTACTCTAAATAAAATACAACACCACTGTGGAGCAAAAAGTTGCATTTGTTATAATTTGAAATCTCTTTAATACTCACTGCTTTTCCTGAACATTTAGCCTGGATTCAAACCCTATTCTGTCTAGGTCGAGGGCATTTAAAAAACTGCACACACTGTCTCTCCATTTGACTGCTAATTATGGAGGGACCAGAGAAGAGGTATGGAATTTCAGCATTTTGTTGTCCCTAAGATTTTAAATATATATACTTTAAGTTCTGGGACACATGTGCAGAATGTGCAGGTTTGTTACATAGGTATACATGTGCCATGGTGGTTTGCTGCACCCATCAACCCGTCATCTAGGTTTTAAGCCCCACATGCATTAGGTATTTGTCCTAATGCTCTCCCTCCCCTTACCCCTCACCCCCCTGACAGGCCCCCATGTGTGATGTTCCCCTCTCTGTGTCCATGTGTTCTCATTGTTCAACTCCCACTTAACAGTGAGAGCATGCGGTGTTTGGTTTTCTGTTCCTGTGTTAGTTTGCTGAGAATGATGGTTTCTAGTTTCATCCATGTCCCTGCAAAGGACATGAACTCATTTTTCTTTAAGGCTGCATAGTATTCCATGGTGTATATGTGCCTCATTTTCTTTATCCAGTCTATCATTGATGGGCATTTTGGTTGGTTCCATGTCTTTGCTATTGTAAATAGTGCTGCAATAAACATATGTGGCCATGTGCCTTTATAATAGAATGATTTATAATCATTCGGGTATATACCCAGTAATGAGACTGCTGGGTCAAATGGTATTTCTGGTTCTAGATCCTTGAGGAATCACCACGCTGTCTTCCACAGTGGTTGAACTAATTTACACTCCCACCAACAGTGTAAAAGCATTCCTATTTCTTCACATCCTCTCCAGCATCTGTTGTTTCCTGACTTTTTAATGATTGCCATTGTAACTGGTATGAGATGGTACCTCACTGTGGTTTTGATTTGCATGTCTCTAATGACCAGTGATGATCAACATTTTTCATGTGTTGGTTGGCCCCATAAATGTCTTCTTTTGCGAAGTGTCTGTTCATATCCTTTGCCTACTTTTTGATGGGGTTGCTTTTTTCTTGTAAATTTCTTTAAGTTCTTTTTAGATTCTGGATATTGGACCCTTGCCAGATGGATAGATTGAAAAAAGTTTCTCCCACTCTGTAGGTTGCCTGTTCATTCTAATGATAGTTTCTTTTGTTATGCAGAAGCTCTTTAGTTTAATTAGATCCCTTTTGTCAATTTTGGCTTTTGTTGCCATTGCTTTTGGTGTTTTAGTCATGAAGTCTTTGCCCATGCCTATGTCCTAAATGGTATTGCCTAGGTTTTCTTCTAGGGTTTTTATGGTTTTAGGTTTTACATTTAATTCTTTAATCCATCTTGAGTTAATTTTTGTATAAGGTGTAAGGAATGGGTCCAGTTTCAGTTTTCTGCATATGGATTGCCAGTTTTCCCAGCACCATTTATTAAATAGGGAATCCTTTCCCCATTGCTTGTTTTTGTCAGGTCTGTCAAAGATCAGATGGTTGTAGAGCTGTGGTGTTATTTCTGAGGCCTCTGTTCTATTCCATTGGTCTATATTTCTGTTTTGGTACTAGTACCACGCTGTTTTGGTTACTGTAAGCTTGTAGTATAGTTTGAAGTCAGGTAGCATGATGTCTCCAGCTTTGTTGTTTATGCTTAGGATTGTCTTGGCTATATGGGCTCGTTTTTGGTTCCATATGAAATTTAAAGTAATTTTTTCTAATTCTCTGAAGAAGGTCAATGGTAGCTTGATGGGAATAGCACTGAATCTGTGGATTACTTTGGGCAGTGTGGCCTTTTTCACGATATTGATTCTTCCTATCCATAAGCATGGAAGGTTTTTCTATTTGTTTGTGTCCTCTCTTACCTCCTTGAGCAGTGGTTTGTAGTTTTTGAAGAGGTCCTTCAAGTCCGTTGTAAGTTGTATTCCTAGGTATTTTAATCTCTTTGTAGCAATTGTGAATGGGAGTTCACTCATAATTTGACTCTGTTTGTCTATTATTGGTGTATAGGAATGCTTGCTTGTGATTTTTGCACATTGATTTTGTATCCTGAGACTTTGCTGAAGTTGCTTACAAGCTTAAGGAGTTTTGAGGCTGAGACAATGGGGTTATCTAAATATACAATCATGTCATCTGCAAACAGACAATTTAACTTCCTCTCTTACTATTTGAATATGCCTTCTTTCTCTTGCCTGATTGCCCTGGCCAGAACTTCCAATACTATGTTAAATAGGAGTGGTGAGAGAGGACATCCTAGTCTCGTGCCGGTTTTCAAAGGGAATGCTTCCAGCTTTTGCCCATTCAGTATGATATTGGCTACGGGTTTGTCATAAATAGCTGTTATTATTTTGAGATAAATTCCATCAATATCTAGTTTATTTAGAGTTTTTAACATGAAGGGATGTTGAATTTTATTGAAGGCGTTTTCTGCATCTATTGAGATAATCATGTGGTTTTTGTCTTTGGTTCTGTTTATGCGATCAATTACGTTTATTGATTTGCATATGTTGAACCAGCCATGCATCCCAGGGATGAAGCCAACTTGATCGTGGTGGATAAGCTTTCTGATGTGCTGCTGGATTCGGTTTGCAAGTATTTTATTGAGGATTTTTGCATTGATGTTCATCAGGGATATTGACCTGAAATTTTCTTTTTTTGTTGTCTCTCTGCCAGGTTTCAGTATCAGGATGATGCTGGCCTCATAAAATGAGTTAGGAAGGAGTCCCTCTTTTTGTATTGTTTGGAATAGTTTCAGAAGGAATGGTACCAGTTCCTCTTTGTACCTCTGGTAGAATTTGGCTGTGAATCCATCTGGTCCTGAGTTTTTTTTTGGTTGGTAGGCTATTAATTACTGCCTCAATTTCAGGACTTGTTATTGGTTTATTCAGCGATTCAACTTCTTCCTGGTTTAGTCTTGGGAGGGTGTATGTGTCCAGGAATTTATCCATTACTTCTAGATTTTCTAGTTTATTTGCATAGAGGTGTTTATAGTATTCTCTGATGGTAGTTTGTATTTCTGTGGGGTCAGTGGTGATATCCCCTTTATCATTTTTTATTGTGTCTATTTGATTCTTCTCTCTTATTAGTCTGACTAGCGGTCTATCTATTTTGTTAATCTTTTCAAAACACCAGTTCCTGGATTCATTGATTTTTTGAAGGGTTTTTCGTATCTCTATCTCCTTCAGTTCTGCTCTGATCTTAGTTATTTCTTGTCTTCTGGTAGCTTTTGAATTTTTTTGCTCTTGCTTCTCTAGTTCTTTTTTTTTTTTTTTTTTTTGAGCTGGAGTATTGCTCTTGTTCCTCAGCTGCAGTGCAGTGGTGCGATCTTGGCTCACTGCAACCTCTGCCTCCCAGGTTCAAGCAATTCTCCTGCCTCAGCCTCCCAAGCAGCTGGGATTAGAGGCATGCACCACCATGCCTGGCTAATTTTGTATTTTTAGTACAGACAGGGTTTCTCCATGTTGGTCAGGTTGGTCTTGAACTCCTGACCTCAGGTGATCCACCCGCCTTGGCCTCCCAAAGTGCTGGGATTACAAGCGTGAGCCACTGCGCCTGGCCTTCTCTAGTTCTTTTAATTGTGATGTAGGGTGTTGATTTTAGATCTTGCCTGCTTTCTGATGTGTGCATTTAGTGCTATAAATTTTCCTCTAAATACTGCTTTAAGTGTGTCCCAGAGATTCTGGTATGTTATGTCTTTGTTCTCATTGGTTTCAAATAACTTATTTATTTCTGCCTTTATTTTGTTATTTACCCAGTAGTCATTCAGGAGTAGGATCTTCAGTTTCCATGTAGTTGTGTGGTTTTCAATGAGTTCCTTAATCCTGAGTTCTAATTTGATTGCATTGTGGTCTGAGAGACTGTTTTTTATGATTTCCATTCTTTTGCATTTGCTGAGGAGTGTTTTACTACCAATTATGTGGTCAATTTTAGAATAAGTGCTATGTGCTGCTGAGAAGAATGTATATTCTGTTGATTTGGGGTGGAGAGTTCTGTAGATGTCTACTAGGTCCACTTGGTCCAGAGCTGAGTTCAAGTTCTGAATACCCTTGTCAATTTTTTGTCTCATTGATCTGCCTAATATTGACAGTGGGGTGTTAAGTCTCCCACTGTTATTGTGTGGGAGTCTAAGTCTCTTCGTAGGTCTCTAAGAACTTGCTTTATGAATCTGGCTGCTCCTGTATTGGGTGCATATATATTCAGGATAGTTAGCTCTTCTTGTTGCATTGATACCTTTACCATTATGTAATGCCCTTCTTTGTCTTTTTTAATCTTTGTTGGTTTAAAGTCTGTTTTATCAGAGATTAGGATTGCAAACCCTGCTTTTTTTTTGTTTCCATTTGCTTGGTAAATTTTCCACCATCCCTTTATTTTGAGCCTATGTGTGTCTTTGCACACTGATGGAGTGTGCTGTATATTTTATCCAACTTGCCAGTCTGTGTTTTTTAATTGGGGCATTTAGCCCATTTACGTTTAAAGTTAATATTGTTATGTGTGAATTCGATCCTGTTATCATGATGCTAACTGGTTATTTTGCACATTAGTTGATGCAGTTTCTTCTTTATGTTTTGGTGTTTTTGTTGTGGCTGGTCCCGGTTTTTCCTTTCCATATTTAGTGCTTCCTTCAGGAGCTCTTGTAAGGCAGGCCTCGTGGTCACAAAATCCCTCAGCATTTGCTTGTCAGTAAGGATCTTATTTTTCCTTCATTTGTGAAGCTTAGTTTGGCTGGATATGAAATTCTGGGTTGAAAATTCTTTTCTTTAAGAATGTTGAATATTGGCCCCCACTCTCTTCTGGCTTGTAGGGTTTCTGCAAAGAGATCTGCTGTTAGTCTGATGGGCTTCCCTTTGTAGGTACCTGACCTTTGTCTCTGGCTGCCCTTAACATTTTTTCCTTCATTTCAGCCTTGGAGAATCTGACAATTATGTGTCTTGGGGTTGCTCTTCTCGAGGAATATCTTTGTGGTATTCTTTGTATTTCCTGAATTTGAATGTTGGCCTGCCTTGCTAGGTTGGGGAAGTTCTCCTGGATAATATTCTAAAGTGTGTTTTCCAACTTGATTCCATTCTCCCCATCGCTTTCAGGTACACCAATCAATCGTACTTTTGGTCTTTTCACATAGTCCCATATTTCTTGGAGGCTTTGTTCATTCCTTTTCATTCTTTTTTCTCTAATCTTGTCTTCACGCTTTATTTCATTAAGTTGATCTTCAATCTCTGATATCCTTTCTTCCACTTGATCGATTCAGCTATTGATACTTGTATATGCTTCACGAAGTTCTCGTGCTGTGTTTCTCAGCTCCATCAGGTCATTTATATTCTTCTCTAAACTGGTTATTCTAGTTAGCAGTTCTTGCAACCTTTTATCAAGGTTCTTAGCTTCCTTGCATTGGGTTAGAACACGCTCCTTTAGCTCAGAGGAGTTTGTTATTACCCACCTTCTGAGGCCTCCTTCTGTCAGTTCATCAAACTCATTCTCCGTCCAGTTTTGTGCCTTTGCTGGAGAGTAGCTGCGATCATTTGGAGGAGAAAAGCCATTCTGGTTTTTGGAATCTTCAGCATTTTTGTGCTGGTTTTTCCTCATCTTCGTGGATTTATCTACCTTTGATCTTTGATGCTGATGACCTTTGGATGGGGTTTTTTTGTGGGCATCCATTTTGTTGATATTGATATTGCTTTCTGTTTCTTAGTTTTCCTCCTAACAGGCAGGCCCCTCTTCTGCAGGTCTGCTGGAAGTCTACTCCAGACCCTGTTGCCTGGGTATCACCAGCAGAGGCTGTAGAACAGCAAAGATTGCTGCCTGCTCCTTCCTCTGGAAGCTTCATCCAAGAGGGGCACCCACCTGAGGCCAGCTGGAACTCTCTTGTATGAGGTGCCTGTCCACCCCTGCTGGGAAGTGTCTCCCAGTCAGGAGGCATGGGGGTCAAGGACCCACTTGAGGAGGCAGACTGTCCCTTAGCAGAGCTCGAGCACTGTGCTGGGAGATCTGCTGCTCTCTGCAGAGCCAGCAGGCAGGAACGTTTAAGTCTGCTGAAGCTGTGCTCACAGCTGCCCCTTCCCCCAGCTGCTCTGTCACACTGAGATGGGAGTTTTATCTATAAGCCCGACTCAGGCTGCTGCCTTTCTTTCAGAGATGCCCTGCCCAGTGAGGAGGAATCTAGAGAGGCAATCTGGCCACAGCCGTTTTTCTGCGCTGCAGTGAGTTCTGCCTAGTCCAAACTTCTGGGTGGCTTCCTTAACAGTGTGAGGGGAAAACCACCTACTCAAGCCTCAGTAATGGCGGATGCCTCTCCTCCCACCAAGCTTGATTGTCCCTGGTTGACTTCAGACTGCTGTTCTGGCAGCAACAATTTTGAGCCAGAGGTTCTTAGTTTGCTGGGCTCCGTGGGAGTGGGACCCGCTGAACAAGACCACTTGGCTCCCTGGCTTCAGGCCCCTTTCCAGAGGAGTGAATGGTTCTCTCGCTGGGGTTCCAAGCACCACTGGGGTCCAAAAAAAAAAAAAAAAAAAACTCCTGCAGCTAGCTTGGTGTCTGCCCAAACAGCTGCCCAGTTTTGTGCTTGAAACCCAGGGCCCTGGTGGTGTAGGCACACAAGGGAATCTCCTGGTCTGCAGGTTGCAAAAACCGTGGGAAAAGCATAGTATCTCGGCGGGATAGCACAGTCCCTCTTGGCTTTCCTTGGCTAGGGGAGGGAGGTTCCAGCCCTTGCACTTCTCAGGTGAGGCGATGCCCTACCCTGCTTCTGCTCGCCCTCCATGGGTTGCACCCACTGTCTAACCAGTCCCAGTGAGATGAACAGGGTACTTTAGTTGGAAATGCAGAAATCATCCACCTTCTGCATTGGTCCCGCTGGGAGATGCAGACCAGAGCTGTTCCTATTTTGCCATCTTGGCAGGTCCCCGTCCCTAAGATTTATTGAATATTAGGTTTGTTTCTTTTGTTAGCAATTAGTATAGCTTTAAATGTAGCTGTGTTTTAATGAAGTTTAAATGGTCACCTTCTGAGCCCTAGATGCTTTATTTATTTATTTTGAGACGAAGTCTTGCTCTGTTGCCCAGGCTGGAGTGCAGTGTCGCAATCCCAGCTCACTGCAACCTCTGTCTCCCAGGCTAAAACAATTCTCCTGCCTCAGCCTCCCATGTAGCTGGGATTACAGGCATAAGCCACCATGCCCAGCTAATTTTTTGTATTTTTAGTAGAGAGGGTGTTTCACCATGTTGGCCGGGCTGGTCTCAAACTCTTGACCTCAAGTGATCTGCTTGTCTTGGCCTCCCAAAGTGCTGGGATTACAGGTGTGAGCCACAGCACCTGGCCGCTTTATTTCTGAGTTGAAAAATGTGATCTATATCAGTGATTCCCAAGTTTTTAAAAATGTGTACTCTTTCAAAACAGGACATGTCTCATCCCTAACATGGATTCATTGTAGTAGTTCTCAATGAGGTGGAGCTGGAAAACAGCCTGGTAGTTTAACAGACCCTGGGCCTGAGGATTCTATTACTTCTGCTCATTCTGTTAGATCAGTGGTTTTCAAACTGTGTTCTTGGAGGAACATCGAATAAACATACCTGGGTTTTCCAGCCCTTCCCTGCCTTCCAGTATCCTCCCATCTTCAATCAGAACAGGTCTACTTTGATCTATTTTATGAATTGGGCTTTATGAAAGATTTCATTCAAAGAATATGAAACAAAACAACTGTTCCATTTTAAACCATCTGAAAACTACTGTACTAATTCATTGCTTCTCTTACTTTAATGTAATTAGAATTGACAAAAATTCTCTGCTCGACCAAACCTTCTTCCAGCATATTTGTACACTGTCTTGTAAAGTCCATTTTTAGCAAAGAACTCTGCTACGTCAGTTTAGCAAGAACCTCCCCCACCTTTAGTATCTGACTGGATTCTTCATCCTCTGCCATCCTCCAGAGGATGTCTGATTATAGAGGATGTCTATAGCAGAAGAAACCTTCTTAGGTTAGTTTAGCCAGAATCCTCCTTACTGCCGATGTTTGCTCTTAGTAATTTTTCATCCACTGGCCCCTACCTGCTCCTTGGCTATAAATTCCCACTTGTCCTGCTGTATTCTGAGTTGAGCCCAGTCTCTCATCCCCACTGTAAAATCTCATTGCAGTGGTCCCTATACCTATCATGATGGTTCTGAATAAAGTCTGCCTTACCATGCTTTAACAAGTGTCATTGAATAACTTTTTCTTAACAGAATCATTTATGGGATTTTTAAAATGCAGGTTCTTATTCACTGGGTCTAGAATGGGGCCAGGGATTTTGCATTTCTTTTTCTTTTCTTTTTTTTTTTTTGAGACAGGGTCTCACTGTGTTGCCCAGGCTGGAGTGCAGTGGCATGATCTCAGCTCACTGCAACCTCCGCCTCCCGGGTTGGAGTGATTCTCCTGCCTCAGCCTCTCTAATCTCTGGGATTACAGGAGCGTGCCACTACCATACTCAGATAATTTTTGTATTTTTAGTAGAGACAGGGTTTCACTATGTTGGTCAGGCTGATCTCGAACTCCTGACCTCAGATGATCCACCCGCTTTGGCCTCCCAAAGCTTTGGGATTACAGGCATGAGTTACCACACCCAGCCGGGATTTGGCATTTCTAATAAACTTCCTGGTGATGCCAACACCGCTGAGTGTGCTTGGGCCACACTTGGAGTAGTAAGGATCTGAAGCTTAGGGGTTTGTTTTGTTTTGTTTGAGACAGAGTATTGCTCTGTCACCCAGGCTGAAGTGCAGTAGTGCAGTCTCGGCTCACTGCAACCTCTGCCTCTCGGGTTCAAGCGATTCTCTTGCCTCAGCCTCCTGAGTAGCTGGGACTACAGGTGTTCGCCACCACACCTAGCTAATTTTTCGTATTTTTAGTAGAGACGGGGTTTCACCATGTTGGCCAGGCTGGTCTCGAACTCCTGCCCTCAAGTGACCCACCTGCCTCGGCCTCCCAAAGTGTTGGGATTACAGGCATGAGCCACCGCACCTGGCCATGAATCTTAGGGTTTTAAAAAATCTAATATTTTTTCTACTCACCCAGAAAAAGTGTTTCTTAACAAAGATTTCCCCACAATGATCTTAAATTTACCAAAATGGTAAATTCTAGATTTTATTTTCTCCTCCCTGAGCAAGTCTCAGTCTATCTGCCTCTTTCTATTTACCCGTCTCTTTCTCTCAGTACCTTCTCTCTCTCTCTCTCTCTCTCTCTGGAAGGTAAACAATATTTAACCTTCTGGACATGCATTTAAAAATCTTTGTACAGTCAGCAAATATTATGCCTCAGCCAGTTCATCTCAGCAAGAGCTATGCTTGGAGGGTCTGGGAAATTTGCCACAAGTGAGTTATTTAAAGGCAGTTACAGGTGACAACAGGTGACACGCGCTCCTAAATTTAGCATCTTAATGAATTTCTCCAGAGTAAGAAGTTACAGTCTTTTACCCTTTCACCCGTTGTGTAAAACATTTAGCATACACTTGAGACTGATTATTTTCTTTCCTGTGTTAGTTTGCAACCCGTTCCTTTCTCAAAATACTTCCACAGCCACAGTTTCTTTCCCCACCATTATCCTTTTTTTTGAAGACACAAAGGGGTTATCCACTTTCAGAGCTTCCATTACCAGAGCTGATGCCCTGTAAATCTTTATACAGCTCTATACCTCCACATGACCTGTTTACTGCAAAGTCAGCAAACTTTTTTTTTTTTTGAGACAGAGTCTCACTCTGTTGCACAGGCTGGAGCGCAGTGGCGTGATCTCGGCTCACTGCAACCTCTGCCTCCCGGGTTCAAGCGATTCTCCTGCCTCAGCCTCCCAAGTAGCTGGGATTTACAGGTTCGCACCACCATGCCCGGGTAGTTTTTGTATTTTTAGTAGAGACGGGGTTTCACCATGTTGGCCACGCTGGTCTTGAACTGCTGACCTCAGGTGATCCACTCGCCTAGGCCTCCCAAAGTACTGGGATTACAGGCGTGAGCCACCGTGCCTGGCCAGCAAACTTTTTCTGTAAAGGTCGCCATAGTAAATGTTTTCAGCCTTACGGTCCATTGGTTTTCTGTCTCAGTTGCACAACTCTGTCTTTGTAGTGCCAAAGCAGCCATAAATAGTATGTTAATGAATGTGTGTGGCTATGTTCAATTAAAACTTTATTTACAAAAGTGGAAGGCAGGCTAGATTTGGCCCCCAGGGCCATAGTTTGCTGACCCCTGATATACAAGCATGTAGAAGCTGCATCACTCTGATTACGGCTCCTGGGAATTTGGAAGTGGGACCCTGAGGCTGTGTTAGGTAATAACTGTGGGTTGCTAAGCAGGAAAGTTAGACAAAGTGGGTTGGTAGCAGAGGTGGAGAGCCAAGGCCCGTATCTGGGACAGCCATAATGGGCCACATGTAAGCCTATAAGTGAGCAGAGAGTGAAACAGACACACAAAGAAAAGCCAAGACTAGATGGTGAGAGAGAGAAAGGGGAGAGTTCTTGTTAATGTTGGCTGTGCTTCCCACAGTTGTGTCTCACATAATCCCTGCCTATTTTTATATTCATTTCTCCTACTTTAGCCAGCTGGCATGAGTTTCTGTTTCTTGCAACCAGATAATCCCTAACTTGAGCAACCTTTTGTATTCCAGACATTCCAAATGACTGGCAGTTCTCTGACTTGAATAATCATGCTCTTTCCCCACTAGGCTTTGCTAGATATGGTTCCACCCCTCCTTCTACCACTCCCATTCCTACCTCTACTCTATATTCTTCTCTCTTCAATCTTTGTTCAGACATCTCCCAGGGCTGAGTTAGGACTTGATTCCCATTACTACTTATGTAAAGCTCTATCACTGCACTTGTATACTGCAATTATATTTTCTGATTTGCTTGTCTGTAGTTTTAACTACTATTTTCATCTCTGTACTAAGTGCAGGGCCTGGAACATAGTCAGTAGTTAATATGTTTATTTAATGAATGAGGTAAAGGTACACAGTCTATCTGTAAAATAGGGATAGATTCTAAGCAGCCTGAAGGCTCAGGATCCTCTGATATCCTTACCAGCTTCATGAGCCAAAGCAGAAATAACATAAACTAATGAATTTCTTCATGTGTAAAGGACTGTAGAAAAGTATTCCATATGTCCTTATACTTAACTTTGCTAATAGCATTGTTCAGACCCATAGTCACTGAATTTTTTGTCTGCCTGTTTTATCAGTAACTGAATATGTTAACATCTCCTCCTAAAATTCTGGATTTTTTATTCCTCGTAGTTCTGTAATTTTTGCTTTATATATTTTGAGGTTATGTTATTGGAGGAATACAAATTTAGAATATTTTTATCTTCCTGGCAAATTAAGTCTTCATTATTATGAAGAGTCTCCCTTTCACTCCAGCAGTACTTTTCGTCTTTTTTTTTTTTTTTGAGACGGAGTCTCACTCTGTTGCCCAGGCTGGAGTACAGTGGCGTGATCTCGGCTCACTGCAAGCTCCAACTCCTGGGTTCATGCCATTCTCCTGCCTCAGCCTCCCGAGCAGCTGGGATTACAGGTGCCTGCCACCACACCTGGCTAATTTTTTTTGTATTTTTTAGTAGAGATGGGGTTTCACCGTGTTAGCCAGGATGGTCTCGATCTCCTGACCTCGTGATCCGCCCGCCTCGGCCTCCCAAAGTGCTGGGATTACAGGCGTGAGCCAACGTGCCCGGCCCCAGTACTTTTTGTCTTAGTATCTACTTAATTTAGCTATTCCAGCTTCCTTTTGGTAATTTTGCATGGTTTACTTTTTTTCTATTTTTTACTTTCAAACTTTCTGTATTTTTATGTTCTAGATTATGCCCCTTGTAAAGAGCGTGTGGTTATTTTTGCCCAGTGACAATCTGTGGTAGTTGGTTACATCAATTGGTGGCCCCAGGTTCATCCTACTTCCTAGTATTTACACCCTTATGTAGTTTCCTCCTCTTGACTCTAGGCCTGTTATTTCCTTTATCTGATAGAATGTAACAGAAGTGACAGTGTGTTAGTTCTAAACCTAATCTTCTTGGGAACTCTGAGCTTGCATGTAAGAAGTCGGCTATCTTTCTGTAGAGGCTACATGGATTGGCCATGTGGAACAGAAGTCCTAGAACTACTTGTAGAAAAACCAAAGAACCCAATCAATTGTGAGAACCAAGGCCCCACACATATGATATCAGTCAAGCTGTTCTAACCCCCGGCCATTGGAGCCATCCTAGCTAGGTGCTAGACATGTGAGTGAAGAAGCTATCTAGAACATTTCAGCCCCAGCGGACATCACCCAGAGAAGAGAGAGCCTTCTCCATTATGCCCTGTTGAAATTTCTGACCCACAGAATCTGGAAAAATAATAAAATGGTTTTGATTTTAAGCTACTACATTTTTTTTTTTGGAGATAGGGTCTTGCTATGTTGCCCAGGCTGGAGTACAGTGGCACCATCTGGGCTCACTGCAACCTCCACCTCCTGGTTCAAGTGATTCTTGTGCCTCATCCTCCTGAGTAGCTGGGACTACAGGTGGGTACAACCACGTTTGGCTAATTTTTTTGCATTTTTATTAGAGATGGGGTTTCACCATGTTAGCTAGGCTGGTCTCAAACTCCTGACCTCAAGTGATTCACCTGCTCAGCCTCCCAAAGTGCTGGGATTACAGGTGTGAGGCACCGTGCTGGGCCTAAGCTACTAAATTTTGGGGTAGTTTGTTATATAACAATAGGCAACAAAAACAATCTTTGTCATTAAATTATGATCTGTTTTCATTTAGTGTAATTAGTGATATATTTGGGTTTATGTCTACCATCTTATAACAACTTTCTATTTGCTCTATCATATGTTCTTATTTCTCTTCTATCTTGCATTTAGATTATTTTTTATTTCCTCACATGCTCAAATTAGATTGGAAATTGCATAGTGTCCTGGCTTATTTTATGAATCAACTTGCCAGTGCCACTGGTGGCCAAATGTTTGGTCAAACACTATTCTAAATGTTTCTGTGAAGGTGTTTTTTGGATGAGATTAACATTTAAATCTGTAGACTTTAATAAAGCAGATTACCTTCCATAAGGTGGGTAGATCTTATCCAATGCCTTAATAGAACAAAGATTTATCTCCCATGGGCAAGAAGGAATTCTGCTAGCCGACTGCTTTTGGACTCAAACTGCAACTCTTCTTTGTCTCTAGCCTGTTGTTCTACCTTACAGCTTTTAGGCTACTAAGCCTCCACTTCTGTTTCTCTGAAGAATCCTGACTAATACAGTTTCTTACTATTTTCTCAATGATTATTCTAAAGCTCATAAGATGTATTCTTGACTTACCAGAGTCTAATATTAACTATCACTTTTTCCATACTTCTAGAAAATGCACTGATTTTAGAACACTTGATTCCATTTACCTTCTCCTGACATATACCATTATTTCGTGTGTGTGTGTGTGTGTGTGTGTGTGTGTGTCTTAAGAGGGTCTCTGTTGCTCAGGCTAGAGTGCAGTGCAGTGGTGCAATGATGGCTTACGGGGCTCAAGCAATCTTCCCACCTCAGCTTCCCAGGCTTTCCACTACAGGAATGTGCCATCGTGCCTGGCTAATTTTTTAATTTTATGTACAGATGGGGTCTCACTATGTTGCCCAGGCTTGTCTCTAACTCCTGGGCTCAAGTCCTCCTGCCTCAGCCTCCCAAAGTGCTGGGATTACAGCCGTGAACCACCGCACTTAGCCTACTGTATATTTTTAAATACAGAAGACAAGACTATTATAGTCTTATATAGTCAGTATCAATATTCATTTAGATTTACCTATATATTTATCATTTTTCTTGATCTTTATTTCCTACCATATCTATGATATAACTGGGATCATTTACTTCCTGCCTATGGAATGCCACTGTGAATACTGTTTTGTTCCTTTGGAAATTCCTTAATTTTACTTTCATTCTTAAAAAATATTTGTTTCATCCCTTTAAAGTTGTCATTCCATCATTTTCTGGCTTCAGCTATTTCTGTTAAAAAGTCAACTGCAAGTCTAATTTTCTTTTTTTTAAGTCCTCTCTTTTCTCTGGCTGCTCTTAAAGATTTTTCTTCTTGTCTTCAGATTTTAGCAAGTTTTTCATGATGTGTCTATATATCAGCTGTGTGGATTAAAAAAATATCCTGATGGAGATTCATTGGTTCAAATATTATTTAAGCTGAATACCTTTTCCCTTCCTTTTGGAATGTCATTTATGTTCATATTAAACTTCCTAACTCTATCTTCTATGTGTTCTATATTTTCCATCTTTTTTCCTTTTTGTGCTTCATTCTGAATAGTTTCTTCTGACTTACCTTCTAGTTCACTAATTCTATCTTTATCTGTGCCTAATATGCTCTTAAACCCATCATTGAGTCTTTATTTTCAGTTAGTAAATTTTTTTGTTCCAAAATTTTCATCTGGCTCTTTTTTCAAGTTTCTAGTTGTCTGCCCACATATTTAATCTTGTGTTTGATTTATTTGAACATAGTAGGCATTGTTATTTTTAAATCTGTACCTGATAATTTCATTACCTGACCCCTGTTGGGTCTGTTTTTGTTCTCTGTTGTTTCTGCTATATTTTTCTAATTTCCTTAGGTAACTGATTTTTAAAAATTGTGTACGAGGCACTGTGATTTCAAAATTATCTGTAGAAATTATTTGAGGCCTAGAATGATATAGTTTCACTCCAGAAAGGATTTTAGTTTGCTTCTGCCAAGTGCTTGTGGGCATGAGCTCAAAGGAATTATCCTAATCCAGTTTCAAGGTTGAGATGATCTGAAACTGAGCTACAGACCTTTTACTTTTATGATGGAGCTCTTTGAATTCCTAGTCCAAAGCAAGGGGCCTTCAACAGAGTTCATCTCTTTCTCTCTTAGTATGCCCTGAACTCAAATCTCTGTCCCCCATTCCTGCTCATCCTCTCAGCAGCCCTCTACGGAATTGACCTCCATCATTCCCCAGATCATGGCCTGGTAATTCCTCATTAACTTTTTAGCTTTCTCATGCCTTCAAGCTGATATCTTTCATATTTTGTTGAAGATTGATCCAAATTACTGTTAATACCAAGGCATACAAAAATGTAGATATCATTAAATATAGGTAGTTGCTTTTAAAAAATGCATTGAAAATGATCCTTCAGGAAAAAAAAATCAGACTTTTATTCATAATTCTAACCTTTTAGCCCAAGTGGCAGACCAGTATTTAGGAATATTATATACTAGTCCTGGTATTGTAAAATTTGAGATTAGTTACTTATTTTATTGACAAACATTATTGAACATCACCACTGTACCTGAAGCTCTTCTTAGAAATTAGATTATAGAAAAACTTGGTTCTTGACCTCAAGGGGCTTGAAGTCTAGACTCCTTATTGACAAACTGGTTATTTTTAGAATCATCAATTCATGATCAAAAAGTCTTTTGTTAAATTTATGTAGCATTATACAATGATAAATACATTTAAAACACAAACAAATATTTGAGCTTCTATCACTTTTTAGCCTAAGCATGGGAGCATTTTAAACAATATATTTTCTAATGCATGTGTCTTCCAGTAAAGTTTATCACTGAATATGTTTCTTGGAAATATTTTGGAGACAGAAGAATAGTAAGCTTCACAAGAGATCTTAAAGCCAGGATCATCTTTTTCCTAGAGTTCACTTCTTGTTTCCTAGCCTTTTTACTGTTGCAAACTCCTGGGAAAAGCTATTCACTCTGAATCATCATTATCTTTAATCAGGGCTTTTCCTTGGCAGATGTTCAAAGTCCTCTAACACAACCTGCAGGTATACAGGTATCCCTGGACTGTAAACTAAGGGCATAACAGATTTGCTGAGACCTCAGCCTTACTCACAAATTTTATTTAAATATGCCCAGACTTTCTGGGTTGAATCAGTCGGTAAGAGGATTAGGAGAGGCAATTTAGAGAATGAGGGTGCAGTAGATTCATCATTTGATCTGGGACAAATTACATAACTTTTCTGGATTTGTTTTCTCATGATAGATTGAGTTCCTGGATGATACATCTCTGAAGTATCGTCCAGCTCTCAAATTCTGTGATCCTTCTACAGTTAAACAGGACTGCTTAGCCACCTGATTTTAAAATAGATGGACGGCACGGCGCGGTGGTTCACGCCTGTAATCCCAGCACTTTGGGAGGCTGAGACAGGGAGATCACCTGAGCACAGGAGTTTGAGACCAGCCTTGCCAATACAGTGAAATCCTATCTCTACTAAAATTACAAAAATTAGCTGGGCATGTTGGCGCACGCTGTAATCCCAGCTACTCCGGACGCTGGGGCATGAGAATCACTTGAACCCGGGTGGCGGAGGTTGCAGTGAGCCGAGATTGCGCCACCGCACTCCAGCCTGGGCGACAGAGCGAGACTCTGTCTCAAAAAAATAAAAAATAAAAATAATAAATAAATACATAGATGGAGTAAGAGCAATGAGGAGAAAGATAATTAAAGTTCAATATATCAAGTAAGATATTAGTAAAATAATTTGTAAGAAGATTAACATATATTATGTTAGTAGCCACCACAACAATGGCTGGCAGAGATAAAACAAGACTGAGGTGTGAGGAGGCTATGGCTCCTTTGTGGCTCCATCTTCTTTCAATCTTCCCTTCGTTCTTTCCCCTGCTCCCTCTCTACTACACCCTCGTTCCAAGAATTTCCTTCAGTATGTCCATATGAGTGGGCAACAGTGATTGCTCCGAAGGGAGAAGTCACAGCAACTCCTGTTCCAATTGAAGCACACTGTACATTTGCCTTGTGGCCTCCGAATGTAGCTGTGAGGCCCTCCAGGACAGTGCAAGAAAGACAAATGAAACTGGTAGATGACTAAACAAGTTATATAAATGCAGCGTTCCATCTGTGGAATGACGGGATCAAATGTTTATATTTTAAAAATATATTCTGATGCCCATAATTCTTCTGCAGCTATCAGCCCCACAGCCTGACTTGTTTTATTGTCAGCAGGTAGCTTGTTTCACACACAGCTCACCTTCTACTCAGAGCCTGGACACACAGTGAACATGCTCAGTCAGTATCCGGGCTTCGTATACCTTTTCTTTTAGTCTACTCAACACCTTTGTGAGATAGGTATCACTACTCTAGTTTTTGAAGATATTGATAGAGAAACTCAGAGATTTAATTATCAGGATCATATTCGTAGCAAACTAGAGCCTTAGTGCTGCCACTTCTCATACCTTTGACGGGTCATTTTTCTAAGTCTCAGTTTCCATATCTGTAAAGTTTCCACTTCTAAGCCTCCGTTTCCGTATCTGTAAAGTTTCCATGAGTTAGATAGGGTTCTCAGATTTAGTAAAACGAACCAAAACAAACAGGAAGTATAACCCAAACGGGATATTCTTATATTTTTAAAAAAAATCTCCATTTTTCTGAAATTCAGGTTTAAATGAGCTCTCCTGTATTTCGTGTGGCAAAGCTATGTTATTATTATGGATATGACAATGGATGTGAAGTCCTTAGCTTCTGTAAATCCTATGCACATTAAATTTTGGATTTGATCCGTAAGTCTTTTTTTCCCTACTGCAAACACAGTGACTTGTTTCCACAGAACATTTCAGTCAAGCCAGAGTAACACTACTTTAAGTTACAGCAATGCTTTACCGTTCCTAAAGCGCTTTCAAAGCCCAGGCAATGGCGGAAGGTCTTGCGGAAACCCACATAACGTGGGGTGTCGAGGAAGGTCTCCTCAGCCCGGGCACAGGCACCGAGGGCCGTACTGCCCTGCGGCAGCCTAGCCCCGCCCCCGCGCCTCCTCGACCACTCAGCGGCCGCGCCGCGCCTCCGCCGCACTCCTATAGGTCCTTCCTCGGACATGCGAGGCCTTTGCATTTTCCCGCTTTCCCCTGCCCTGCTCAGCCCTAAACCCGCACCGGCCTACAGCGCCTCCACCCTGCTTTCCGTGTGAGCCCCGCCCTTCCGGACCCTGCATTTCACCCCCACCCCAGCCGCCGTGCCAGGCAGCCAGCCGGAACCCAGGCCCCTCCCTTCGGTAGGAGGTGGGCGGGAACCGGGAGGGGCCGGCCGAGCCCCCTTCCTCGGGGTCGCGGGAGGCGGGACTGGAGGGAGGGGTGGGGCTAATCGCCTTGGCGCCGCGTTGCCATGGCAGCGGGGAAGGGGAGGGAGGGGGAGGAAGCGAGCGGGAGGGGGATGTGGTGCTGCCGGGGCCGCCACTGCAGCTGCTGCTGCCTGCTGGTTGCCGCGTCTTCCCGGAGGCGACTGCTGGAAGCTGCAGGGAACAGCTGCGGTGCTCTGCCATATTGTGTCTTCCCCGGCCGGTCCCTCGCCTCCCGGCCGAGCTGACGGTGAGTCCCGGGCGGAGCGGTCCCCTCCAGGGTCGGCGCTCCCCGCCCCAGCCCGCGGCGCAGCTCCCGGGCGCGGAGGCAGCGCGAGCGACCCGCGCCAGGCGTGGGGCGCGGAGGCGGCTGTCCCGTGACGCGCCCGGACATTTTTGTCCAGTGAGGAATTTGCGCCGGCGCGGGGGTGTCCCCGGCGCGCGTATCGGGTGGTGTGTGGGCTCCGGGGGATGTCGAACTGAGGGGAGTGTGGCTTGTGAGGAGTTAGGAGTTTTTCCTGAGAGGTAATGACCGCCCGGGAGGGGCTGTCGCGCGGCGGAAACCGCGGCGAGGGGTGTCGTCTCTCCGGGAAGGCGTGGAGGGGGCCCCAAGGACCCTCAGGGCTCGGCTCGGGGCTGGAATCTGCTGTTAGGGAAGTACCCCAAGCACCTCGGAGCCTTTGCAACGCCCCCTCCTCTGGCTTGAAGTGGAGCGAGACATGTCGGGCTCGGAGTCCTCGTCCGGCCCCAGTTGGGACTGGCTGGGCCCCGCCAAGTAGTGCACGGGGAGGTGCCGGGGGCGGCCGGGCGTTGTGGTGGGCAGAGGCGGGTCCCGGGTGTGTGTGGGAGCGACCCCGGCACCCTCTCGCCCCTCCACCGCCTCGAGGGGGCCTCAGAGGGTGGCTGTCTTGGGAGCTACTGTTTCAGCGCTGCAATATGGACACTTCCTGTTCGCCGCCTCCTTTGGGGCCGTGGTTACCTTTGCCTTTTAGTCCTCTTTCCTGGCAAGGTGAGAGGTCTGCGGTGGAAGAGGCCTTCAGCCTTTCAAGTTTGCCCCACTGCAGCAGCAGCCTGTGTGGAACCCGGCAGGACGGTGGTAGTTAGCGGAAAGCAGCCCATGTGCTCCGTGCTCCATCCTCCACTACTTAACTCCACCCCCTTTTGCACCTTTGCAAAATGCCTCTTTTTCCACTGCATCTCTCGGGAGTTGGGGTGTCTGCTTCGCTGACGACCCACACTCTCGCAGTGTTCTTGCACTGGATTTCTGCTTTAAAGTCTTTTTACAGCAGTCTCTGAACTTCATTTTCTCCCTACTGGGAAAAAAGAGTTTTAGCGTGCAAAGAAATGACCACAGACTTTCTTTCTCCTACCCCAACTCCGAGGTGAGGGGAGGAGGGCAGTTAAGTATTTACAGGTTAGTTGAAGTTGTTTCTCCTATCTTTTTTCTGATTGTGACAGCCACGTGGCCGGCTGAGTGTAATAGAGTGCGCTAGCGGCACTAGGGGCTGAGGTTTCTCTGGTAGCCAGGGGCTTTGTAACTGTGCTGTCGCCTCGCATGTACATTTATCTTGGTGGGAGAAGCTGAACCATTCATGCCTGTACCTGTTCCATCCGAATCTTAAGACTTACCTCTGTTACCTTGCAGTTCTCCTAAGGTGTATACCGACGTTTTTTGCCGTTCTCTGCTGTTTTGTTGATCCATCTTTAAAACCTCAGCATTATTAGGTACCATCATAGAGTGATGGGGAATAATAGAGTAGTGCATTATGGAGTTTGCCAACTTTGGGAAAAAATATTACTTGAATTTCAAAACCATTAATGAGAGATTCTAATGCAATCAGAAGTAATTGCATTATCTGGATTTCTTTTTGATAGTTTTAGAAAAATCTATTTTTTTCTTTTTACATAAAAATTGTGATCTAAACATACGTAAATAAAATTACCAGTGAAAATACTTTTTTAGGGATGAAGTAGTGATTTGATTTGTGTATATGTGTGCTTTGTAAAGCTTTTTTTGAAAAATGTGAAGTTAATATGAACGTTAACATGAACAGATTTTAAGAGAATGAAATATAATTTTTAGAATATATAAAAGTAGAAGGTCAAAGAGTTGAAGATAAAAAATGAACTTTTGGAGAGTTTGGAAAATTTTTGAATTTAAGGACAATCCTTGTTTACTAATGCATCGTTTCATTTTGTGAATGCTTTGGTAGGTTTGAATTATTTCTGTATTGTATGTTTTTATTTGAATCAATTTTACTGGAAGAATGTTAAACCACAGGAACCATTTAAAATCTGCACAAGAACTGTATAGAGAAGTTACAGCAACACCATTTTATTGGAATTTTAATTACCCCATAACAATGGTGCTCAATCAGAAAAGTTAAATAAAGATATTGAAGTGGTATCTAGGCCTTAGGGCAGAAAAGACAATACAATTGAGAAATGAGTATATATGCTAACCACTGAGAGCAATTTTTAGTTGAGAAAGAAAAGTAAATGAGGTCATAAAATACTTATATAAGGCTAAGGCAGGAGGCTCTCCTGAGATCAGGAGTTCAAGTCCAGCCTGGGCAGTGTAGCCAGACTCCCATCCCTTGAAAAAAGGATTGCTCAACTCGTGCCTGTAATCCCAGCACTTTGGGAGGCTGAGGTGGGAGGATCACCTGAGGTTAGGAGTTTGAGACCAGCCTGGCCAACGTGGCAAAACCCCATCTCTACCAAAAATACAAAAATTAGCTGGGCCTCGTGGGGCATGCCTGTAGTCCCAGCTACTCGTGAGGCTGAGGCAGGAGAATCGCTTGAACCTAGGAGGTGAAGGTTGTAGTGAGTTGAGATCATGCCACTGCACTCCAGCCTGGGCAACGGGGCAAAACTCTGTCTCAAAAAAAAAAAATTTTTTTTTTGAAGGGTTGAGAACAAAGATTTGATGCTTTGGGAAACTAACATTTAAGGAGCATTTGGTTTGGTCACATGTGACTTCAAAATTAATACTACAGATGTGTACAATGCCTATAGCCTATAGTATTGCTTTTTTTTTTTTTTTTTTTTTTTTTTTTTTGGTGGAGTCTGGCAGCCTTTCTCCCAGGCTGGAGTGCAGTGGCGCTATCTTGGCTCACTGCAACCTCCACCTCCCGGGTTCAAGTGATTCTCCTGTCTCAGCCTCTGGAGTAGCTGGGGTTACAGGCCCCTGCCACCAAGCCTGGCTTATTTTTGTATTTTTAGTAGAGACGGAGTTTTACCATGTTGGCCAGGCTGCTCTAGAACTCCTGACCTCAGGTATCCGCCTGCCTCAGCCTCCCAAAGTGCTGGGATTACAGGCGGGAACCACCACGCCCGGCTTATAGTATTGTTTTATTAATAATTTTATATCCTCTAAATGAGAAGGCTATCCCTGTCCTGCCACTAATATAAAGGGATCAAAAGAATGTTTATTATTATTTGCTTCTAAGGGATTTTGATCCATATATACTTTATTTCCCTTACCCTAACTTTTCTATTTAAATAAACTTTTTATTTTAGAATAGTTTTATAGTTACAGAAAAGTTGCAAGCTAGTATACAGAGTATACCTCACCCAGTTTCTCCTGTTCAATTTCCTACATTACAATGGTACATTTGTCACAATTAAGGAAACAAAATTGTTACAGTACTATTAACTACATACTTTATTCCTATTTCGCTAATTTTTCCCTAATGTCTTTTTTTTGTTCCAGAATTTCACTTTCTATGACTTCTCTTTGTTTTGATGACTATGACAATTTTAAGAAGTGCTTGTCAGACATTTTATAGAATATCCCTCAATTGAGATTTATCTGGTATTTTTCTGATGATTAGACTGGGATTATGAGTTTTAGGGAGGAAGATAACAGAGATGAATTGCCAGTCTCATCACATCATATCAAGGATACAAACTAACGACATGATAAAACTGATGACGCTTACCTTGATCAGGTGGTTGAGGTCTTTGTGGAGTTTCGCCCACTTTCCTGCCTCCTTCCGATCTCTACTCTTTTGGAAGCAAGTCACTAAGTACATGCCATACTCAAAAACCTTAACCTAATTTTGATTCATGTATTTGTAATTTCCCTCGACCTAATTTTCCTTTCTATAAACGAATACTTAAACTTGGACAGATATTTATTTAGTATCTATTGTATTTAGGTGCTAAGAATACAGTGGTGAGCCAGAGAGACATTTGTTCTGGAGTCTGCCTGATTTAAGTATCACATAGGATGTATCTCCTCACCTTAGGTCTTGATTTCGTTAACAGTTTATAAACATAAAATTACTGAAGCCCTGAAAGGCTAAATAATAAATAAAAGCTTGAGTAAACATTTAGAATATATGTTATTAGCATAAAGTTTAAATATATGTACCATAAAAATAGCCATCTCTTTGCTCCCAACACAGATAATGGAAAATTACTTTGATTCTTCCCGAGTAGATACATTACTGTTAAATCCCTGGGATAGTTTAATTACTGTTAACTATCTTCCTATCTTAAAAATGTTTACAGGTGTTAGAAGAAAATTCTTGCCTTCTTGCTAGTGTTTTTACAGGTATTGGTGCTTCTGCCACTCAAAAGCCTTTTTTTTTTTTCTGAGAAGTGCTTTGAAAGGTGTGTTGGAGAAAATACATGGGGAAAATAACAGGGACCCTGGTCTCTGTGAGAAGCCATGCTTACATATTTATGGAAAAAAAAATGAGACTGAGGAGATAAAAAACATTAATCAAAGTTTTCAAAGTGATAATAAACGTTTTTGGAGGGAATTTACTGTATATTTAATAGAAGAGTAGAAGAGTGCTGCCATCCTAACATTGGGAATGTTACTGGGAATGTTTTTAACCAAATAATACCAATTTTATTGGAGAATAAAATTTTATTAAAGACTTATTGAGTAAAGATTTCAGTTAATATTTTTCTGGTAAACTGGGTTAACTACAAAACACTCTTAATTTGAACTTTTAATTGAAATTCTTTCTAAAATATGTCATTAATACACTTTAAATTGTATAGCCCACTGAACAGAATTTTCATATATTTAAATTCTTTTTTTTTTTTTTTGAGACAGGGTCACACTCAACCCTGCTGGAGTGCAGTGGTAACAATCACAGTGCACTGCAAGCTCCACCTCTTAGGCTCAAGTGATCCTCCTGCCTCAACCTACCAAGTAGCTGGGACCACAGGGGCGCTCCACCACCCCTGGCTAATTTTTTAATTTTTTTTTTTTTTTTTTTTTTTTTTGGTAGAGGGGAGATCTGACTATGTTGCCCAGGCTCGTCTCAAACTCCTGGGCTCAAGGGATCCTCCTACCTCAGCCTCCCAAAGCGCTGGGATTTTAGGCATGAGCCACCTCACCTGGCCAATCTTTAAATTAAATTTTGCATTATACAGGGTTAGTGTGGTTATTCTGGGTTTTATATGTAACCTTGGAGATAGAGAATTGAGGAAATTGACACATTTATATCTTTGTAGTTTGTTTCTTTTTCTTAAAAGAGGAAATACAGAAAAAAAGGGGAAGAGGTTTCTTATAATTAAGATTTTACTGGTCCTTTTGACTGCACCATGCCTTTGTCCAACCCTTCCAACCTTAAAAATTCAGTTTATATACTACCTCTTTCTATGCTGATTGAAGAATTATTAATAATCATAGCAACAACTGCAGTCTTTATTGTGTTTACTATGTATTGGCATAGTTATACTAGACATATGAGTGTATAATTTAATTTTTTTTTTATTTTGAGATGGAGTTGTGCTCTGTCGCCCATGTTGGAGTGCAGTGGCTCCATCTCAGCTTACTGCAACCTCTGTCTCCCGGGTTCAAGCAGTTCTCCAGCCTCAGCCTCCCGAATAGCTAGGACTACAGGCACACACCACCGCGCCTGGCTAATTTTTGTATTTTTAGTAGAGACAAGGTTTCACCATGTTGGCCAGGCTGGTCTTGAACCCTGACCTCAAGTGATCTGCCCACCTCGGCCTCCCAAAGTGCTGGAATTACAGGTGTGAGCCACTGCACCTGGCCATAATTTAATTTTCAATAATGCCGTAAGGAGTGTCATAGTCTCATAAACAGATAATGAGAAATTGTGTAAATGTAATACTGGGTATTTACCCAAATCTCTCAGACTTGAAAAAAATCATTAATCTTTGTACTACAATCTGAAGTCTTTAAAAAATGAATATTTGTTAGGATGAGATGCTTACATCTTGATCTGTTCCTAAGGAGTAGGGAAGAATACAAGGTAGGGAGAGAAACTAATATTTATAGAATGCTTACTCTGTGGCAGGAATGTTGCTACTTTATTGTTATAGCAAGTTAAGTAAGTGGTATTATTTCCTGGGACTCAAGGAGGTTCAGTCATTTGTCAGAGATTGCCTAAGTATGTTGGTGGCTGGTGGGTCAGTTTGACTTGAGAGACTTACTCTTTCACTTTTCTCTCCTTTTTTTTTTAACTTGCCCCAAAGCAATGAAGATACTGTTTCAGTTTTCTAGTACAGCATCTACTATATTTATTCATTCATTTAAACATTTAAATGTTCACTACATGTTATGGTCTGTAGTAGAGCATAAAAATGAATGTATTGAGTTCTGCCAACAAGGATTTATATTCTAGTGTAGTATTTCTTAAATGGGTGACTGAATTGGGGTGGGAAATTTTGACCAGCTTTTATTAAAAAACAATCTAGGCTGGGCACAGTGGCTCATGCCTGTAATCCCAGCACTTTGGGAGGCCAGGGTGGGCGGATCACGAGGTCAGGAGATCGAGACCGTCTGGCTAACACGGTGAAACCCCGTCTCTACTAAAAATACAAAAAAAATTAGGCGGGCGTGGTGGCGAGTGCCTGTAGTCCCAGCTACTCGGGAGGCTGAGGCAGGAGAATGGCCTGAACCCGGGAGGCAGAGCTTGCAGTGAGCCGAGATTGCCCCACTGCACTCCAGCCTGGGCGACAGAGCAACACTCCATCTCAAAAAAAAAATTTTAGTACATTTTATGTGGTAAGGGTAAAAGTATTATTTCATGAAAATTTTAGTACATTTTATGTGGTAAGGGTAAAAGTATTATTTAGTACATTTTATGTGGTAAGGGTAAAAGTATTATTTAGTACATTTTATGTGGTAAGGGTAAAAGTATTATTTCATGAAATTGTGACCAGCTTTTATTAAAAAAAAATCTAAAAAAATTTTAGTACATTATACATGGTAAGGGTAAAAGTATTATTTCATGAAATGTTTGTTTTAGTTAAATATGTATGTATATTGTGGGTCTCTATGAAAAAAATACATTTCTTATTGTGGGATAACATTGAAAGTGAGAACTACAGGTCTAGTGGCTGAGATAGAACTGTAAGCAAATAATTATACATAATTAGAATAGCAAGTAAGTTCCTTTTTTATTTTGAGATGGAGTCTTGCTTTGTTGCCCAGCCTGGAGCACAGTGGCGTGATCTCGGCTTATTGCAATCTCCGCCTTCGAGGTTCAAGCAATTCTTTCTCAGCCCCTGGAGTAGCTGGGACTACAGGAATGTGCCACCACGCCTAGCTAATTTTTTTGTATTTTTAGTAGAGATGGGGTTTCACCGTGTTGGCCAGGCTGGTCTCGAACTCCTGACCTCAGGTGATCTGCCTGCCCCGGTCTCCCAAAGTGCTGGTATTACAGGTGTGAGCCACTGTGCCTGGGCTAGAGGTAGATTTAAATTAATAGCAGCAGTTTATTTTCCTAAATTCTTTTTTTTTTAATTGTAAAGTGAAACAAATGCAGAAAACCACACAAAACAAATGTGTAACTTAGTGAATTATAAGGCTAGCACCTGTGTAACCCTGTCCTTTAAAAAGTAACCACTGTCCTGGGTTTTCTGAAAATGAATTAAGTTTTTGGTTTTATTACTCAAGTATGTGTCCCTAGATGCTATAGTTAAGCCTGTTTTCTTGCTCATGCTCACGCTCACGCGGATTCTTGCACTCCCCCCTCCTTTTTTTCTTTTTCATTAAGCTTGCTTTCTTTACACCTTCTGTTTCTCTAAGATTTTATCCAATACATTTTTTTCGTAATCCTTTAAGTCTTCATTTCTGAAATGATTTTTTCCCTTTTATTTTAAATTCTTTCTTGAGCTCTATCACCTCATGTCTGAGCTTTTCTAATTCTGATATATTTGATATATATATAATACAATATATATTTCTGATATATTTGATATATATAATACAATATATATATCTGATATAGGTATTTCTCATAATTTTTTTAAGTTTACTTTGAAATAGGAGTTCATTTTTATCTCTTTGAGCATCTCTTTCAGACTTGCTTTTATTGTTTATAGGGATGTTATTTTATTGTTTCTTTTTTTTTTTAGTTGTAACTTTGTGTGGGATTCAATCTCTTAAAAGTATGAATGCTTTCATTTATACTGTGCTAGGAATAAGATGCATGTAAGTAAATAATTGCATTATGAGACATATTCTTCTAAACATACATTCAAGGGTATTATGAGAACACAGAGTAGGAGCTTACTTTCCCCAAAGTGTAGGGATTGGATGAGGTGGACTTTAGTCATGATGGAGGTTTTTTATTGGTGTATCAATATTTTTAAATATTCTGTTTTTTTTTTATAACTGATATATTTTTGAGGGTACATGTGATATTTTGGTACATGTTTACAACGTGTAATGATCAAATTAAGATAATTAGAATATCTGTCACCTGAAACGTCATGGTAGTTCTGATTTTAGTTTTTGAGGAAACTCGATACCGTTTTTCATAATGGCTGTTACTTTACATTCCCACCAACAGTGTATGCGCATTCCCCCTTTCTCCACATCCTTGCCAGCATTGTTAATTTTTGTCTTTTTGTTAAATAGCTCTTCTGACTGGTGTAAGATGGTATCTCATTGTAGTTTTAATTTGCATTTATCTGATGATTAGTGATGTTGAGCATTTTTTTCATGTTGGTTGGCTGCCTTTATGTCTTGAAAAGTTACTGATCATGCTCTTTGCCCGCTTTTTGATAGAGTTGTGTTTTTCTTGTTGAGTTGTTTGAGTGCCTTGTAGGTTCTGGATATTAGTCGTTTGTCACATGTATAGTTTGCAAATATTTTCTCCCATTCCACATGTGGGTTCTCTTTATTGATTATTTCTTTTACTGTGCAGAAGCTTTTTAGCTGATTAAGGTCTCATTTGTCTGTTTTTGGTTTTGTTGCAGTTGCTTTTGAGTTCTTAGTCATAAATTCTTGTTCAGGCCAATGTTCAGAAGAGTTTTTTCTCGGTTTTCTTCTAGAATTTTTATAGTATAGTTTCAGGTCTTACATTTAAGTCTTTTCTGTAGCTAATTTTTGTATATGGTGAGAGATGGGTCCAGTTTCATTCTTCTGCATATGGCTATCCAATTTAGTAGTGCTTTTTATACAAATGAATTTACTGTTGACTTCCTTCAATTACTACTTTGAAATACTGTTCAGATGGAATTAAAATAATATTTTAAAAATTTTCTTTTGCTATACTATTGTCATATGTCATCAACTATCTCTTAAGTAGAGACCTGAAATTTAGAAAGTGAAAAGGTCACAAAGTAGAATGGAAAACATAGTATAACGCATAGTATTCTGTACGTGAATGACAAATTGCTCAGTAATTTTTTTTTTTTTTTTTTGTGACAGAGTTTCGCTCTGTCTCCCAGGCCTGGAGTACAGTGGCACAATCTTGCTCACTGCAACCTCCTCCTCCTGGGTTCAAGTGAGTCTCCTGCCCCAGCCTCCCAAGTAGCTGGGATTACAGGCACCTACCACTTTGCCTGGCTAATTTTTGTATTTTTAGTAGAGACGGGTTTTGCCATTTTGGCCAGGCAGGTCTCGAACTCCTGACCTCAAGTGATTTGCCTGCCTTGGCCTCCCAAAGTGCTTGGACCAGTAAATATTTTAATGAATATCATATTTCATCCTTCAAATTTTTTTTTGTTTCATGTAGTTTGATTAAAATGACTTCTTTGTTTAGTTAAAACAAAACTTGATGTGGTATGATTTGGGTATAATTTTCCCTTTGTACTTCTATTCAAATTGGCAGCAAGTTAGAGCCAGGTTGTGCTTGCTTTTGAAGTACTCTGCTTAGGGATATTGAGTCCATTGTTTTCTATTTTCTTTCTTTGGTTAACGATACTTTTGACTTGGTGTGTATTAAGTATCTTATAAAATAACTTTAGTGTTTATGAAGTGATCTCATGTCTATTGTTTATTTTGGTCTCTTAACATAAATAACTACAGTAAAAAAGAGGAAATGTAAATGCAGTTGGAACACGGAGAGATTGAAAGACTCTAACAGAAAAAAGTTGGGGTGGGAATTATGTGGAGGAGTTGTCGTTAAATTAGGTCTTAAATATTAGGGTTTGACTGAATGATGAGAGGGAAGGTAGACAATCCAGTTGTTAGAATATCAAAAGCAAGCATATAGAGAAATGTATTTGAACAGGATTAGTATAGTTTGGACTGACTTCTAATACAGAAGCATTAGCTTGAGGATGTAGATACTGAATCAGTTATTGATTTTTGTTTGTTTGTTTGTTTTTGGTCTTTTGTACTTAAAAAGCAATCTAGGCAGGATGTCAGGCTAGTGTAGCAGTGAATAGTGTGAATTCTGGAGCCAGTACTTCCAGTTTGGAGCACACCGTTTAATCCTTCTCTATGTGTGTTTCTGCATATAAAATAGACACTAATAATGGCAACTACTTGATAGGGTTGTTATGAATAAGATTAAAAGAGTTAATACTAGTAAAGTATTTACAACAATACCTGTTACCAATAAGCATTCAATGAGTTTTTTAAATTTATGAAAGTACTAGCTCTTTCATTTTATGTGTGTGTGTGTATTTGTAATGTATACATACATGTGTGAGTATATATGGAATATAATGTGAGTGTATGTGGAATAAATACCGAAAGGAAATGTAGATCTCACATGTATGTATCTATAGGAAAGGTAGTAATATTTGAATTTCAGTTTTGATTAGAATTTAGATTATTATAATAAAGTCTAACATCTCATTTTACAGATGGAAAAATTATGTACTAGCAGAACTAGAACCAAGATTTGCCAGACAACAAATATTTGAGCAGTAAACAAAACAGACAACTAGCTCTGCCCTTATGAAGCTTTCAGTTAGTCAGGAAAGATATGTATTAAACCATCTCAGGTGTGACAAATGTTATCAAAAGGTTCGAGTACTATGGGAGAGTAGAACTGGGGCCCCTCCATAGTCTGGGATTTTAGAGAATTCTTCCCTCAAGATTTCTTTTTTTTTTTTTTTTTTTTTTGAGACGAAGTTTTCCTCAGTCGCCCAGGCTGGAGTGCAGTGGTGCGATTTTGGCTCACTGCAAACTGTGTCTCCCAGGTTCAGATGATTCTTGTGCCTCAGCCTCCCAACTAGCTGGGGTTAAAGGCACATGCCACCACGCCCAGCTAATATTTGTATTTTTAGTATAGATGGGGTTTTTGCCATATTGGCCAGGCCAGTCTCAAACTTCTGGCCTCAAATGATCTGCCTGCCTTGGCCTACCAGATTGCTGGGATTACAGACATGAGCCACCGTGCCCGGCCTTCTTCTCCCAAGATCTCCAAGCTGTGGTGTGAATAATAAATAGCAGTTAGCCAGGGTTAGGTGGAATGAAGAGTGTTCCAGGCAGAGGGACTAGGATTTGTATAGGCTTTGAGAGAGGAGAAAGCATGGTCTATTCAGATATCCGAAATGGAGAGAACAAGGGAAAGAGTGGCAAAAAATGTGACCTGAAAGGTTAGAGCATGGCTAAAATACGCAGGGTCTTGTATACAAGGTTAAGGATTTTGACCTAAGGGTCCCCTTGATGGATTAAGCAGGTAAGGGACATTGCTAGATTTACATTCTGCAGTATTACATTAGTGTATTACAGAGAACAAATTAAGAGAGAGTCTGGCATAAGTTTAGGGAGATTAATTTAGGAAGATACTGTAGGAGCTACTGTGTGTGGTTGTGCAGAACACACCATAGGGGTTTCCATTCATGTATACTGGTTGAGCATCACTAATGCAAAAATCCAAAATCTGAAATGCTTCAAAATCTGAAGTTTTCTGAGTGCCAACATGCCACAAGTGGAAGATTCCACACCTGACCTAATGTGATGGTTTGTAGTCAAAATGCAGGTGCACAACACATAGTTTATTCAGCATCTCCAAGGGAAAAATAAAATTACCTTCAGGCTATTTGTATAAGATATATATGAAACATAAATGAATATTATGTTTAGACTTGGGTCCCATCCCTAAAGTATCTCATCATGTATATACAAGTAAATATTCCAAAGTCCCAAAAAATCCCCAATCCAAAGCATTCTGGTCTCAAGAATTTTGGATAAGGAGTGAGTATTCAACCTATACTACCTTTGGAGTGGTCTGGATGAAAGATAATGTTGACCTAGGCTATAGTTGTGACAGTGAAAATGGAGAAATGTGGACAGATTTCAGAGGTATTTCAGATTTAATGACTCCAAAATTTATCTCCAGACCAGACCTCTTTCCTGAACTTTACGTCACGTATATCCCAAATGCCTGTCCTACTTGGATATCTCACAAATGTCTCAAATTCAACAGGTTTTTAAAACAAAACAAAACAAAACACTGCAAACATTAATCTGTCTCCAAAAAGAAAAAAAACAGTCATTTTCTCTTCCAGTATTTATAGTAGCAAATAGAACTAACATCCACTCACTTGCTAACCATGTCTACTAGTAGTGACCACTAGACTACTTAGCTATATGTAGCTGCAGTTGATATGGCTTATTAGAATTTAGGTTGTATTCCATATAAGTTTATTTAGAAACATTTATTTTAGAAAGTATTACTTTCTAAAATGATCTGGAGATAGTCTTTTTTTTTTTGAGATGGAATTTCACTCTTATTGCCCAGGCTGCAGTGCAATGGCACGATCTTGGCTCACTGCAAACTCTCCCTCCTGGGTTCAAGGGATTCTCCTGCCTCAGCCTCCCAAGTAGCTGGGATTACAGGCATGTGCCACCACGCCCAGCTAATTTTGTATTTTTAGTAGAGACGGTGTTTCTCCGTGTTGGTCAGGCTGGTCTTGAACTCCCTACCTCAGGTGATCCACCTGCCTTGGCCTCCCAAAGTGCTGGGATTACAGGTGTGAGCCAACGTGTCCAGCTGGAGATAGTCTTTAATAACATTAATATCTTTAATAATTTTTTAGCATAAATATATTTTTAAGTCAGAGTACGTATGAGGTTAATGTAGCCCTATTTAAAATCAACTTAATTCTGTTAATTGTATTTTTGTTTTGTTTTTAGAATTACATATAAAATCAATATATTAAACCAATCAGTAGAGAGTCCTAAGTTTTACTCTTGCTTTCCAAATTTGACATTGGGGCTATTAGTAAGGTATCATTGTCTGCATTTATTAGATTTATTTCTGATCATGAATATACTTTTAAAAGATGCTTCTTTTCAGTGGAGCAATTTATTTGGCTATAGGTGATATACTGCATGACTATGACTTATATTCAAGGCATTGAAATATTATTATACATAAACAAATTTTGATGACAAGACCACGTGTTTATATTCAAATGCCAACCAGATTTGTCCTTTAGGACTTTCGCTCTGTTGACTTTTTAAGTTTCTATAACTTTGTTCCTTTCAGTGTTGTTTTTCAAGTGCAATGTAGTCATCCCTTGATATCATGGGGGATTGATTCTGGGACCTCCTGAAGATACCAAAATCCACAGATGCTCAAGTTTCTTGTATTACATGGTGTAGTATTTGCATATAACCTACCCACTTCCTTCCATATACTGTACTTTAAGTCTCTAGATTACTTATAATACCTAATACAATGTAAATGCTATATAAATAGTTGTTAAACTGTATTGTTTAGGGAATAACGACAAGAAAAAAAGTCTATATCTGTTCGTTACAGACACAACCAACCTTTTTTTCCCCCCAAATATTTCTGATGTGCAGTTGGTTGAAGCCATGGATAACAGAACCCACAGATGCAGAGGGCTGACTGTACAAGTCTGTCAAAAAACCAAACTGCTGGTTGGCTAATAATTGGTCACTGTATGACTTATAGTACAGGTGATATTACTTCTGATTCTAGATGGTAAGTATATTTTTCTCCTTTAATTATTATTTTTGCTCTTTGATTTCTGTGCTGTCAGTTTTTTTTTCTGCTTTTAACAGTTTTGTTTAGATGTGGCATTGATAGCAATCCTTAAGTTTAAGTAGATGGGTTTTCTAAGTCAGATTTACTCTAAGAGCTGTAGTGGTTCTTTTCTATTGTATTTAGTAACATGTAGGGTATGTAAGTGTTATGTTTGAGATAATAGAACTTTATAAATTATTTAGTCACCAGTTTTTTTTTAACCTTTGTTCAAAATAGCCATTTTTCTTAAAACAGTTTTTACTCAATTTAGATCTTTTGTGGTACTGCTTTTTGAAATCCGTGTTTCTGTGAAACGGAGGAGGATTGTGTACTAGAGACTCATCTTGATGTATTTGGTCTTTATGCAGAAAATATCAGGTTTGTAAGTTATTGCTTCATTTTAACTTCCCCAAGAAAGAGACGAATGACTACACTTTTATTTTTGAGACAAATGCTGCAACATTGTGTAGAGGAAGTCTATACACTGTGTACAATTGACAGAAAATTATTAATATTTAAATAGAAGTAGCATCTAAACACATGGTTTACAAATTGAATCTGTGCAAGTTAGTATAGGAGAAAAGTAAATTCAGTGGAAAGTTGCCACACATATTTTTTTTCTTTTTTTCAGTTTTAATGGTATCTGCTTTTAGTATGAGTTGGAGAAGGTTTTCCCCCCACTCACTTTTATTTCATTTTTTACTCTCATTTGAGAAGCAATTTCTCCATGAGACAGATCTTTGACCCTTTTGTATTCTGCACTCCCATCCCCCTTGACTAGAAAATGCAGCTGCACACATTTTTTGTTTAGAGACAATGGATCACATGCTGTGTCACCTAAATCTGTGACCAAGAGGCAGTTTTATCCCTAAGAGACCATAATGCTTCAGTTCTCCTGGATACATGACATCATGTAGCATTATAATCAAATATACATCTTTTTGCAGTACATTTGGGATTTGATTTTACCCTCTAATCTCAGTATTGGATTTTATGGGGATAGACATTATTTATAATGGAGAATCTTAATCAAAACAAAAAATGTATTGTTAAATCAATAGGAAAGGTTGTGAGTTCCTTCCTTTTATATGCCTTTTTTTTCCTTACATGAGGTTTACCAGTGTTTTTAGATATTCTGAGATTATAGAATATCTTTAAAGCTGTAGTGGCTGTTAGGTTTATTACACAGTGCATTGCAAATAATGTGTGTTCAGTAAATGCTAGACTTTATTTTTGCTACTGACTAGACAAATTAACAGGAAGAAAATGGTTTTCCTTTTTTGAGTGAGAACCAACCTTAATTACCAAGAAAAAAAAATAAATAAATAAAAAATTGTTTTCCTTTTTAAAAATGAGGTAGTCTTCAGATTTAGAAAATATTAGTATCTATAAACTGCTAAAATATATTATGTCATTTATTATAATAAGCTGATAATACTTTTGAATAAATCTGGAAAATACAATGCTGTGGCTTCCAGTCTTGAGAAATGGTACCTTATTATAATTAATAAATATGATTCATTCCTAAGAATATTGGAGGTGAGGAAAGGAGAGGAAAATTGAATGGAAATTTCTTTTATTATGTATTAAATCTTAGTGGCAAAGCTTATAAAATTGCAGTGAATAATTGAACTAATTGCTATGCAGCTTCCATAAAATTCACAAACATTTGGATTTCTGGGCTTTGCCATAGCTCTGTAGCAGACATTTCTTTTTCTATGAAAAACATTGTTTAGTGATCTGAATTCAGTGAATGACTACCTCTTTCTCTTTACTAGGGTTATCTTAGCCTCAGTCAATTTGTTTTTTTAATATTGGTTACTTGAGAGTGATTGGATAAGAAAGCCACAAATCTGAGATGATGCCTACTTTCTGGTTGCTCTTTTGACATTTGTGAAATTGCTTGATTTGCTGATGACATGCAGTTCTTGGTGGGTGGTAAAATAGCAAGTCAATAACATAAAGTTTCCAAATATCTTAAGACCACCTAAAAAGAATTAGAGATAGTAAACTTAAATTAAGTGTAACCCAAAAATCCTATTCTTACATGCTTCAGGATTCACATGTTTAAGTATTTAATGAGACTGATTTTAAGTAGGAAGCTGGAGTAGTAGGGTCAAAATGGTGAGAAACAATTTTATCTGTAGGCTAGATGCTGCCATATAGTTTGAGGTTAATTATTCCTTGCTTAAAGCATGGAACCGGCTACAGTCTTCCTCAGGCCCCTTGGTACAGTTATTCAAGTGTTGGTTTCAACTTCTTTCCAGTTCTAGTAGAAATAACAGATGGCATGGTTCTTTTTCACTCCATGTAGTAAAGCTTATTAGAAACAGCACAATTGATGTTCTTCATTACCCAAAGAGGTAATAAGGAAAGATATTCAGTGACTGGCTCAAGGGTACAAGGAAAAAATTAATTTGCCTAAGTTTGCTTTGGGCTATCAAGAATTGACTATTGTATTTTGTTTTGATCTGAGTCTTTTCTCAGTGCTATATTTTATTTCCCAGTAAGAATTCTTAGACAATATAATGGATGAAATATAAATTTTAAAAAAGTAAACAATTATTTAGAAACAACATAGATTTAGGACTCTAAGAACTATAGTATAGGTAAGATAGAAACAATTAAAATTGAAAATGTAGCATGAAGAGATTCAATAATAAAACTTTAAAAGCACTTTTTAAAGGTATTGAACTCATAATTAATCGAACCAAGTTAATTGCAGCTATTCCTTATTTGCTGTGGACCTATGTAAGTTATTAAAGAATACACTAAAAATCATTTATGTTGGCCAGGCACACTGTTTCACACCTGTAATCCTTACAATTAGGGAGGGGCCAAGGCAAGAGGATCACTTGAGCCCAGGAGTTTGAGACCAACCTGAGCAACATAAGGAGACGCTGCCTCTACAGAAATAAGAAAATTAGCTGAGTGTGGTGACACACACCTGTTGTCCCAGCTACTCAGGGAGCTGAGGTAGGAGGATCGCTTGAGCCCAAGAGCTTGAGGTTGCAGTGAGCTATGATCATGCCACTGCACTCCGGCCTCGGTGACAGAACCAGAAAAAAAAAAAAAAAGAAAGAAAAATCCCAGAACCTTTATGTTCATGAGAATTTCTGAACTTAGCTGGATTTTTTTTGGTCATTAAATATATATTCATATACCCATATTTTTAATGTACTGTAGCTGCTAGGCTGAAATTAACCGTGTTATTTATATATTTTTCTCAGATCTACCGCATTTGTTAAAAGTATTATCTCAAAAATGGATGGAAAAATTATTATTTTGAGTATTTTAACTTAAGAATTCTGAAACAGAATAGTACATTCTAAATTAGTTGGACACAATGAATGTAACTAGGAGATATTTATATTCCTGTCCTGTTTTCATGATGCCATTACATTTGTTGCTGTGTCTTTTCTTTTTGTTTTTGAGAATGGCATTAATAGTGAAAACTCATGATTATTTCAGAGGTAGTATAGTTATTTTTATTGTTTATAAATTCTTTTTTTGTGTGTGAGAATGTTGGCATCAGACAAAGCTGTTAATAATTTAGACCTTTCTTGGCCATTAATAACAAAATATTAAAAGTTTATAATAAAGTACTTTTGGATTAAACTACAAGGATTAGAAGAAGGGTTCTATCATGTTGCATGATTGGCAAAATATCTGCAGAGTGCATGGGGACAAATATAATAAGGAAGTGAAAGTCGAATCGTAAAGAAAATGATGAAAGACGTATTGTGGCACTCTTCCAAGAAGTCCTGATCTCATTTGGCCACCTCGTCAGTGGATGTCATTGGTCGTGAGGGAGATCTATCCTTAACACTAGACAAATATGTTTTTAATTTCAAAACTTCAAAATATAAAGCATTGTTACTGATTTTGTACCCTGATTTTTATATTTGGAGGTTATAATATTTATACATCTACTTTAGGAAGAAAGCTAATAATTTTAAAATTTATAGTAGTAATAATCATCATTACCATCTCTGCAGCGAGTATTCATTGTATACTTACTCTGTACCTCTGTTCTAAGTGCTTTATTTTTGTTGTTTAATTTGTACTAAGAATCCTATGAAAGTAGGTAGTATTATAATTCTAAGTTGATAGGTCTCATAGCTTAGTGAAAAGCAGGGCTGGGATTTGAAGCCAAGCAATATTTCTTCACAGCTCATGCTGGTAATCCTTTGGTTCACTGTCTCCAGATGTGATTAATATCAAGGTAAATGATTTAGATTTTCCTTTTTCAATTTTTAAATTAATGAAGTTCCTTATCCTTCATAATTTCAACTTCAAATATATTGCCTCCTCAAGTTTCTGCCCAATATCTCCTAGTGTTATGTATGTTAATCCTTTCTAAAGGAAGAAGGCTTTCATTTTATAATTATATAATATTTACGATAGACTCTAAGCATGACAACAGAGCCATGCATGTAGTAGAAGCAAGAAGTTTCTGATTTGAAGCCTCTTAGAAAAGAACCAGCAGAGGTTCTTCTGAATAGTATATCTCTTATACATCTCTTTCTCTACCTTTTATCTACATTACTAGATGCAGAGATACTATAATCATAGTCCAATATAGCTAATACTTTAGCTTTAGCATTTAAAATTCCTATATACATTTTATATAGATTTAAATTTCTATATTTAAAATTCCTATATACATTTAGGTACTTCTGACATTATAGTAATTCATAATACATTTCCTTATCAGGAGGTTACTCACTCTGTATCCTCACCTGTTAAACCACAGATAGACAAAAAAGAGACTTACAAGTATTTGTTGGGGGGAATCACGAAGTTTATGCATTAAATTCATGTCCCTTAAGGTAAGCTCTTTACCCTTATTAAGATTTTATTCAGATCTGTGATATTATATGAAATTCTAATGAAATTTACCTGGCTTTCCATTCTGTAACAGATAATAAATCTAAAAGTCCATTTCCATGATTTAGAAATCCAAAATGCTCCAGAAGCCAAAAGTTTTCTTAACCCTATAGTGGCAAAACATGATCTGAGTGGATGTAAGGGTATTGGTGGTCTTTATTTACAGCCCCTCTTTACTGTAAATATACATTTTGCCACAGAAATATTAACATAGTTATTTTGGGGTGTTGCCTCAGACTTCACTAGGATGTGAGGTGTGTGTGTGTGTGTGTATGTCACCTTTCTGAAATCCAAAATATTCTGAATTTTGAAATATATTTGGCCCTAAGGTTTTTAGATAAGGGATTGCAGACCTGAATAATCAGGTACATTGACTACATACAGTACCATTGAGGACTAAGATATGGAAGTAAGGTTTTTTTGGTAACTTAAATATAGCAATTTGAGACCTTTCAGTATGGAGCAGTGCCCCTCTCAAATAATATGGATCTCTTTTAAAGAAAAAAAAATCTCGTTTTGAGAATCTCCAACTATAGTTCTTAAGGCAGTTTTCTTTAAAAATATCTCTCACTTTTCTCTTTGAAAATGGTAAAATACATTTTTTATTATTGAAATGAAAGCACAAAATGAAAATTTGCAACACTTGTGTGGCCTGTAGAATGTATCCATTAATCTTTTACCTCCAGGGATACTTCCAATTGAGATTCATTGTCATAATGACAACTCTTGTTAGAAGTATGTCAGACTTCTCAAGTGTGCTGAGGGAGAAAGGAAAACATAAGAAATTATGTGCTAAAATAAAGGATAATGTACTTTAGTGACGTTGTCATCAGAAACTAATGTAAACATCTGTTTCCAGCAGCATGGTGAACCACGTACCTGGATCAAGGTACCAAGTACCTTCAGCTTTCTGCTGAAAACAACCTAAAATGCTGGATAAAATAAAATCTTAAATGCATCAGTGCTCTGGCGCAAAGGGGAGAGTACTTAGGCCAGGCTGAATTCTGAATCTGGCTATTGCTTTGAGGATATTTGCCAAATCAGGTGAGCTTCTCTGTTCATGGCTTTGTGGGGCTCAGGGATCAGGAAGCAAAGCCTAGACCCAGTCAAGATGGAGCATTTAGCAGGAAATAGTCTTCCTCATTAATTTGGAGCCCCATTGTACTGTACCTTTATAAGAGTGATATAGAAATTATTTCCCTTTATGCCCCCAGGGTTTCTACAGAGAAATTTTCTTCTAGAATATTACTGCAAATCGAAAAAATGTCACTGAAAATGTGCTACCACAAACCAGCTCTCACACTAGTTTGCAGCATAAATTCACACTAAACCTTAAGAATTTAAAATGATCCTGGGCTGTTACTACTCCCAAGGGCCTGATAAAACCTAACATATAATCATCATTATCAAAGAATTCCCATTGGTAAAGTTCTAATGAAAATAAGTGGCTTATAATAAAAATTACAGGCCATCCAAGGAAAAAGGCACAATATAAGAGAATCATTTGAGTCAGATGTGCAAATAGTTCACGTTTTGGAATTATCAGATGTAAAATAGAAAACAAATACGTTTAATATGTTCAGTAACAGGCTTAAAAATGAAGAAAAGAGCAAACATGTTGAAAAGGAACCAGAAGTTTTAGAAATGAAAATAGTAATTGAAATTAAAATTCAGTGGATAGGTATAAAAGCAAATATGCTGTTGAAAAGTTAGCATAATGAAAGGTAAATCTTAAGAAATTTAGACCACAAGATAGACAAGAAATTGGAAAATATAAAAGAGGTTAATAAAGGGAACATTTTTAAGAGAAAAGACAGATTACCTCCAAAGGAATATTCAGGTTTCGATAACAGTAATGGAAATAGTAGTGGACTATGAAATGATATGCAAGACAAAATAACAGCGTAGAATTCTATAGCAAAAACATGTTCATACAAATAAAATGTGAAAGTTCAGTGACAGACTATTTTTTAAGCAGAAGTAAATGATCAGAAGTAGAAAATCTGAGATTTAAGAAGAAATGATCAAAGACGGTGACAATTATATAGGTGAATAAAAGTGGACTCCATAAATAATAATAGCATCTTATGAAGTTAAGAAAAAGCTATATTGGCTGGGCACGGTGGCTCACGCCTGTAATCCCAGCACTTTGGGAGGCTGAGGCAGGCGGATCATGAGGTCAGGAAATAGAGACCATCCTGGTGAACACGGCGAAACCCCATCTCTACTAAGAATAGAAAAAAGTTAGCCAGGCGTGGTGGCAGGCGCCTATAGTCCCAGCTCCTCGGGAGGCTGAGGCAGGAGAATGGCATGAACCCAGGGGGCAGAGCTTGCAGTGAGTGAACATCGCACCACCGCACTCCAGCCTGGGCGACAGAGCAAGACTCTGTCTCAAAAAAAAAAAAAATAATAAAATAAAAAATAAAAAGCTGTATTATAAACCAGGAGAAGGTGATTGGAGCTAGCATTTAAAGGACTTTTTATTGTTGCTTGGCACGGTGGCTCACGCCTGTGATACCAGCACTTTGGGAGGCCGAGGTGGGCAGATCACTTGAGGTCAGGAGTTCAAGACCAGCCTGGCCAACATGGTGAAACCCAGTGTCTACCAAAAATATTTTTTTAAAAAAGCCGGGTGTGGTGGTGCACGCCTGTAGTCTCAGCTACTCAGGAGGCCGAGGCAGGAGAATCGCTTGAACCTGGGAGGGGGAGGTTGCTTTGAGCTGAGATTGTGCCACTGCACTCCAGCCTGGGTGACAGAGCAAGCCTCAGTTTCCAAAAAAAAAAATATATATATATGTATATGTGTGTGTGTGTGTGTGTGTGTATATATATTTATTTATTTACGAGCAGACTAAAGATAACTGGATTTTTAGAAGTATATATCAAAATTTATAAGGTGACATTTCAGTGATAGAAATATGTATATAATTTCCACACTAGTAGAGGATTAAAAAAAATGGAATGAGAAAAAAGAATCATTCCAAAGAAGGCAAAAAAAGAAAGAGAAAAATTAACATGGAAAGAGCAGGATACCAAAAAGGATGGTAGAAGTAAATCCAAATACATGTATGCCTTTAAAAACAATATTCATGTATATGGGGTTTAGGATAGAGACTACAAGGAAACAAAGGAAAATGTTGAAAGTAAAATGATGGAAAAACATACACCTGGCAATTTTTTTTTTAATTTTAGTGTGTACATAGTAGGTGTATATATTTATGGGGTACGTGAGATGTTTTGATACAGGTATGCAATGTGAAATAAGCACATCCTGGAAAATGGGGTATCCATCATTTCAAGCATTTATCCTTTGAGTTACAGATAATCTAATTACATTCTTTAAGTTATTTAAAAATATACAAATAAGTTATTATTGACTATAGTCACCCTATTGTGCTATCAAATAGTAGGTCTTATTCACTTTTTTTTTTTTTTGTACTCATTAACCACCCCCACCTCCCTCCCACTAATCCTCCACTACCTTTCCCAGCCTCTAGTAACTATCCTTCTACTCTTAGACGTTCATGATTTCAATTCATTTGATTTTTAGATTCTATGAATAAGTGAGAACATGCGACGTTTGTCTTTCTGTGTCTGGCTTATTTCACTTAACATGATCTCCAGTTCCATCCATGTTGTTGCATATGATTGGATCTCTTTTTTTTTTTTTTTTAAAGTGAGACGGAGTTGTCTCCCTTTGTTGCTTAGGCTGGTGTGTAGTGGTGTGATCTCAGCTCGCTGTAACCTCCACTTCCCGGGTTCAAGCAATTCTCTTGCCTCATCCTCCCAAAGTAGCTGGGACCACAGGTGCACACCACCATGCCCCACTAATTTTTGTGGGGTTTTTTTTTGGTACAGATGGGGTTTCACCATGTTGGCCAGGCTGGTTTTGAACTCCTGATCTCAAATGACCCGCCCACCTCTGCCTCCCAAAGTGCTGGGATTACAGGTGTGAGCCACCACGCCTGGCCTGATCTCATTCTTTTTCGTGTGTATATGCACCACATCCATTTCTTTCGTTGATGGACACTTAGGCTGCTGCCTGACTAATATTAATGGAAAGAAAGCTAGTATATAATTTCAAATAGACTTAAAGACAAAAAGAATTGATACATAATGGGAAATGGCTAATTTGGCAGGAATATATATGTTTTAAAGTTACATGCAATTAATAACCATAGCCACAAAATAAAGCAAAAAATTAACAGATGTACAAGGAAAAAATTGAAAAGTTTTTCCAGTATAGCAGGAGATTGTAATATATCTGCCTTAGTATTTGATATAGAAAGCAGACCCCAAAAAAAGATTAGTAGGAATACAGAAAATTTAAACAGTGCGATTAACAAGCTTCATCCAATGGACATATATTTCATCCATGCACCATAGAAACATCAAATGAATCATTATGAAAATTAATCATGTACTGGGCCATGAAACAAGTTTCAACAAATTTCAGAGAATTGATACCCTATACACTGTTATAATACCAACTCAGTTAAGTTAGAAATAGGTAACACAAAAAAACTTCCTTTATCACATGGAAACTAAAAAAAGTTTTCTCGATATCTCATCGATCAGAGAAGAAATGCTGGAAGTTGGCCTGTTCTTTAGTAGGAGATGTTAAATCATACCTCAGGTTTGCTTGCAGCAAACAAAAAACTGAGAAATGGCCCAGATAAAAGGCCTTGCATTCTTAACAGGTGAGAGTGTGCAGGGATGCTAAGGACTGATGGTGGATAGGTTCTCCTAACAGGAAGGATGCCATTTTTTTTTTTTTGAGACGGAATCTCGGAATCTTGCTCTGTCGCCCAGGCTGGAGTGCAGTGGCGCGATCTCAGCTCACTACAAGCTCCGCCTCCTGGGTTCACGCCATTCTCCTGCCTCAGCCTCCCCAGCAGCCGGGACCACAGCCGCTCGCCACCAGGCCCAGCTAATTTTCTGTATTTTTAGTAGAGGGGGTTTCACCGTGCTAGTCAGGATGGTCTCAATCTCCTGACCTCATGATCCGCCCGCCTCTGCCTCCCAAAGTGCTGAGATTACAGGCATGAGCCACCGCGCCTGGCCTGAAATTTTTAATAAATGGTGCTGGAACAATTTTATGTTTATATGTGAAAGATGAAATTGGATAAAAAATACATGTATACATTTTTGGTGAGTTGAAGATTTAAATGTAAAAGGCAAAAATTATAAAACAAACTGTAGACCATAAAGAAAAGGGTTAATAAATTCTACCATATGAAAGTAAAGAAATTTCTTACTAAAAGCAACCAATAAAGAGATTGAAAAGACAAGTCATCTACTGGGGAAAGATATTTGCATCACATATAAGTTATTAGTATCCAAACATTACAAATCATTAAGAAAACCCATAAAAAAATGGGCACAAGGCTTCAATAGATACTTTATGGAAGAATAAATCCAAATGGCATATGTATAGATATATATTCATAGCTATATGTTCATATATATCTATACATTCATATTCTATATATCCATATACAGATATATATGAATGAATAAAAAGGTCTTCTGCCCTGTTACTAGCCTGGGAAATGCAAATTAAAACTGCAAGGAGATGCAGTTTCAGAGTTGATATGGTCTGGCTCTGAGTCCCCACCCAGATCTCATCTTTAATTGTAATCCGAATTGTAATCCCCAAGTGTTGAGAAGGGGCCTTGTGGGAGGTGATTAGATCATGGGGGTGGTCCCTTCAAGCTGTTCTTGTGATAGTGAGTTCTCACAAGATCTGGTGGTTTTATAAGGGGCTTTTCCCCAGTTTGCTCAGCACTTCTCTCTCCTGCCACCATGTGAAGAAGGACATTTTTGCTTCCCCTTCTGCCATGATTGTAAGTTTCCTGAGGCCTCCCCAGCCATGCAAAACTATGAGCCAATTAAACCTCTTTCCATTATAAGTTACCCAGTCTCGGATATGTCCCTCTAGCAGTGTAGAAACGGACTAATACAGTAGTCATCAGATTGGCAAAAACAATTTTGGCAAGTACATGAAGCATTTGGTATATACACTCCTGGTTAGTGGTAACTGATTCAGCATTTTTTGGTAAGCAGTTTGTCATCAATTAAAGTTGAAGGCTATTCTGTGACCAAATAATTCTACTTCTTGACATATGTTCAACTTTTAGATGTATACTCAAGAGAAATTTCTGACACTTGTATACCAGGTGATATGAACAAAGACTTCTATAACAGTAGTACTTGTAATAGCCCCAAACATAAACAATTAAATGTTCCTTAAAAGTATAAGAAATTATTGAATATTCATAAAATGGAATACTAGTCTCTGTAAAAATGAATTACTGCTACAATAATGTTAATGAATTCGATGGGGGAAAAAACAAGTCTCAGAATGTCTTCCATATAATTTAATTTTATGTGATGTTTAAATGTGGAAGGCTAAGTAATGTTTAAGGATTCTAACATCTGGGAAAAGTATAAAGAAAAAACCTTTTGTTAACTCGGTCTTTAATCAGTTAAAAGTGTGGAAAAGTAAGTCAAAATTCTGATTGGTTAAATCAACATTTTGTGTTTAGTAGGTTTCTTAGTTATTTTGGGCAAAAATGGCTATCACTGTGACACATCTAATTCTCTGTAATGCAGCATATTATGTTTTAGGTAATGCTGAAAATTCTGTGGCTTTGTTTCCCTTTTCTTATGTAGTCTCTGAAGCATTTCTCTCTTACCAATGTTAATACCAACCTAAGCAAAAATGCTCTCCTATGACCTTTTGGGAAATGATCAGAGAATTCCAATACATAATTTTATATTTCTTATCCTAGAGTAGGATATCACTATAACATTGAACGTAATATGCAGATGTGCAAATCTCTGTTAGACACCTTAGGAGATGCATGAGCTGCACAACTGTGAAAAAAAAAATAGTACATTTAAATCCGAAGCCTTCTTCTCAAGATACCGCCATGGCAGGCACACAGTCAAGCTCTAGATGGGTTCCAGAGTGATTGTACTGGGTTGGTTTGAACTCTCCACTTTTATTTTTATTCATTTTTCTTATTTTATTTATTTATTTATTGATGTCTCCATAGAGACTGTCAAAAATTGCCAGTGCTGACTATATCGCAAGTAATTGCAGTGGGGTATTGGGAAAAGTTTCCAATTAGCAATAATTGCACTCAGATAAACCTCATTGGCTACGATACTGCTACTGCACAAAGCTTGAACTCTCCACTTTTAAAATTCTCCTCGTGAATAATTTTTTTTCTTTTTTAGAATGTAGAAGATGGGAGCCTTAACACAAATGTGTACTTTGCTAAAGTGTATAGTACATTTATCTACTTTTTTGGATAGCAGTGTCTTGGCTTAGAAATTCGTTTATTAGTGGTTGTATTAATTACTTGGATTAAGCTAGTTATACTCCTAAAAATTAGAATACATTTTTTAAATCCCACATCATACTATTTTGGCCTTTTTTTTGAGTAATATTTGTTATGTATCACAATTTTATGTGGTTCATTGAAATACTGTTCTTAAAGGAGTAATAAAAAGAAATGTTACATCATAGGCCCAGGTTTCCTTTTATTTATGCATTTGGCTTTATGAAGCAAACTGACCATGCATATTATTAATGCTGTGCTAGTGAATGTTTTCATTTCATTTTAAGATGTAGTTTCTCATAAGACTATAATTTTTAAAATAAATAAAATAGAAAGTTTTCTTGATTTTATTGTGAAATATACAGATCTTTTTGTAGTAATATTGCATATTTATATATTCCTGAACACACTAAAATTGTGCACAGCTGATGGGCCAACTCACTCAAAAGTGAAAAATATGCAGCTTTGTAACCAGAATGCTAACAAAAATAAATCTTAATGAGAATACTAGAATATATTAAAACATATATGAAATTTGTCACAAACAAGTAATATGGTCAGTTTAGGATTTTAAAAAGAACATGAACACTGTGCAAGGAAGGGTTGAAGCTACAGGATGATGGATGCCAGGGTAAAATGCATAAAGATTTGGAAAGAAGAGCTCATTAAACACTTCCAAGAAAGAGCATGTGGCCAAGCTGTGCCAAGAGGAAGAACATGGGTTGAATGAGAATTGTGTACCGTACTGTCTTTTCAGCAGCTTGCTGCTTTCCACTGTGTTAGCCTATTTCGGGTTCAGCTGTTGTTGTTTGGTAGTACAAAAACATAGGCTGAGAAGAATCATGTACAAACCAATATGACTTACATTATACTAAAATCATTCCCTTATTTACCAATGGGCTAATTCGTGTTATGGAAAAGGTTTGTAACAGAACAAGCTGTACTAAGAATATAAGAGGTGGCTTCTGTTTTTGACTTGAGCTCTCTGATAAGTCCATGACCTTTTTAAGATTTGATTTTTGTGTGTGAAATGGAAATACTACATCTAAAAATAATGTAGTACAGCCTTTTCTCCCTTGAGCTTATTGTTTTAATTTTAAACTATAAAAATAATAAGCACATTAAAGAAAAATTGGGAAATAGAACAACAAAGACAAAAATTAGTAATATAAATCACCGTTTTCTTTTTTGTATGTATTTTTTACTTTTTCACTGGTTTTTATAAGCTTTTTAATTTATTCACATTCTTCAAGTCAGTAATTTTTAATGGCTACTAAATATTAGATTGAATAGTTGGGCTTTAGTTTACCATTTCTCTGTTATAGAAAATGTAAGTTGTTTATAGTTTTCCATTATCTTTAATAATTCTTGGATGAATATCTGTGTGTCCCTCCACACATCGTGGGTTGGGAAGGGAATATCTTTTTCCCTACATAAGATTATTTCACAAAAGTGACACATTTGGAATTGTTGGGTCAAAGAATGAAATTTTTAATAATTCGTGATACACATTTCCATTTAGCTTTCCGAAATGGCCCTAGGTCCTTGCCCAAAATTGTTTATTTTATATTTTTTAAAATAAGTTTTTTATATAATTTTTTAATTTATGTATTTGTTTGCTATTTGTATTTAATATGTGAGAAAAGATCATTTGCCTGTTTATCCATTGTGGTGGACTTGGTGTTCCAAATGGATAGTGCTCTGTCTACGGTCATAGCACCCTGAACATGCCTGATCTCATCTAAGTGGATAGTGCTCTAAAGTGTTCTATAAGGATAGTTTATAAACGGCTTTTTTTCCTTCTTGAAAACACAATGACAGTTCAAACCTTACTAAGATAATGTCAGCACTTGGTTTTTAATAATGTCAATACTTGGTTTTTAAACTTTGCTTGGATTAACACTCTGTAACTCTTTGGCATATTTTGCTGCCATACTATTTCTTTACATCTTAATGAAATTTTTTTGTAAACTTGTAATTCAGAGGAATAACATACTTGCAACCATTTAAATTACTTATGAGAAAATTTAGTCAATAGTTATCAGGAGACTGATTTTTGAGTATGTTACGTTAATAAAACTCACTATTTCTGTTTTAAGTAGTATTGATAAAAATTCAAGTTTCTTGAGCGATTGAGAGTGACTCTAATGGCCAGAAATTTGAATATTGAACTTAGCCTCGTTTATAATTTTGGCTCCACTTTTTATTAGCTTTAGAACCTTAGGGAAATGGCTTACTTCATTTCCATTTCCTTATTAACAATGAATTTCAGTTTTTTTTATTGTTACCATTTAGGATGTTTCCTACCATTAAGGATTCATTTCCAAAATAAATTAACTCTTCAAGGCAGTTAGTGCACCTTTTTGCAGAATAGACAAATAATTTGTATTATGAGTTCATTTCCATCTGAAATAATTATGATTTGAGTGTCTACTCATACTCAACATTTTGAAAAGATTCATTAGGAATGCAAAAGTAAAAAACTCTTATCCCAGCTAGGCATGGTGGCTCATGCCTGTAATCCCAACACTTTGGGAAGCTGAGGCAGGAGGATTGCTTGAGGCCAATTGTTTGAGACCAGCCTGGGCAACCATAGCAAGACTCTGTTTCTATAAAAAAAATTTAAAAATTAGCTGGGCATGGTGTGTGCCTGTAGTCCCAGCTACTTGGGAGGCTGGGGCAGGAGGATCGCTTGAACCCAGGAGGTGGAGGTTACAGTGAACCATGATATCGCCACTGTACTACAGCCTGGGTGACGGAGTGAGACCCTGTCTCTTTAAAAAAAAAAAAAGACTCTTGCCTCCTCATGGAATTCACAGTTGGAAAGGAAGGGCATTTATTGAACTAAGGAGTAGTTCAGAGTAAGTAGAGATGATGCATTTTAAAGCCTATGACATAGAATCTGTAATGTAGTAAAATCTCAGCAAATGTTAGCCACTGCTGTTTGGTACTTTCTAATTTCTAGATGTAATGGAAGATAGATGGAGATTTAAGTGACAAGGCAAAAGTGAGACATTAGAAATTAATCACTCCCTTCTTTAACTGAACACTGGGTACACTAAAGAGTGGTTTTTTGTTTGTTTTTTAAGGAAGCAAGACATTATTCAATTCTCATTCGTCATGTTTTTAAGTCTCTATGAATAGAGAGACTTTGATAAAATGAATAATTTGGTCACTTACATAGTACAGGATATCAGTTCTGAAATACATTGTGTGCTCATATATGTGAATGTTTATTTATGTGTGGTTTTCATAAGAGATTGAAACAGAAACCAAATCCGTTATCGTTTGATCTTTTCCTTTTTACAGTGTTGTGATGTTTCAAGTTATGGGTGCACAGGAGAGAGATAAGAACTGGATATGGAAAGAATGCTGTTAAGATTTAAAATGAATAGGATTTGAGTCATTGGTGCTCATGGGTGTTGTGTACATACTGTTGCCAGCACATATTGTGGTTAGAGTTTTGTTTCTGGAGTCAGTCTGCCTGGATTTAAATTCTGACAGTTCCACTTACGCTTAACCTCTCTGATTAATTTTCCTCATCAATAAAGTTGAATTAATAATAGTGCCTACCTTATAGGGTTTAATTGACAGTTAATTGAGATATCATATGTAAATTGTTTAGCACAATGCCTGGGCACTAAAGTATTATCTAAGGCTGTTGCTAATGGAGTGCTCTGAGGCTAACTACTTCTGGTGGTAGCTCCCAGAATCCAGATAAACTGTTCTACATCTAAAATTAACTAGTTTTCTCTTTTACATAACTGACATAAAAAGTAGAAATAAAATTAGCCGGTTTTCAGAATTCTTGAAGTAACCTGCCATCTATGTCTTAAGCAAAACAAACTCTGGAGGTACCCCCCCCCCCCAATTATTTCAGTTACACAAGCATAAGTGGGTTGAATAGGATAATAGTCGGTTTTTCACTGAATTTAGAAATGAGTTATCTTTATGAGCCATTGAAAATTAATTAAATAGCACATTAGCCTGTTGCTTTCTTCTCTGGTCTGTTATTGTCTCATGATAAAGTTTTTGAATAGAAGGGTGTTTAAAGTGCAAAACAAAAATAATTTGAGAAAATAGAAATGAAAAAAGAATAGTAACAGCTATTTTTCGCTCTCCTTGAAAGTACAGGGACAGTTCATACCTTACTAAGAGAATGCCAGCCTTGAAATGTCAGTACTTGAGATGATATAGAATGCAGAGTTTAAAAGTACTGGGATTTTAAAAAGAAATGATAACTTATAGTGAATTTAATTTAGCTAATGATAAATTTAGTGAATAAGAAGTGTTATCTTGTTAGACTTACGGAAGTATAGAGTAGAATGGTTGGTAACCAGATATGGGTGGTGGGGGTAGGAGGAGGGTGTAGGGAAGGGGGAGATGTTAGTCAAAGAGTACAAAGTTCTGGTTACACAAGAGGAGTAAGTTCTAGTGACCTATTGCATAGCATGATGACTGTAGTTAATAATAATGTATATTTCAAAATTCCTAAAAGACCATTTAAAATGTTCTCACCACAAAGAGAGATAGGTATATGAGGTGATGGATATATTAATTAGCCTGATCTAATCATTTCACAATATATACATGTATCATAATATCACATTGTACCCCATAAATATATATAATCATTATTTGTCGATTCAAAATAAATAATGAAATAAAAATGTTATCTCTTTTTAGTATGACGTGCTGTAAAAATAGTATACATAGTTTCTTTTTATAGTAAATATTTGAGATTTGAGGAAAGGGTTTATTTTAAAATATTGCTTAAATATTTCAAATTTATTATTTTCAAGATTCAACTATTTGTATATAGTAAAATCATAGATTCTTAAGATACGTATAAAGTCTTATAGTTCAAAGAAATAGCCTGTCCACTTTAAGTAATAATAGCCACTTCCTATTAGGTGATTAGTGTGGGCTAGGTACTTTACTAAGTATTTAAAATACACTATTTAATTGTGTTAATATCACCCATACACCTGGTCCTATAAAGCTGCACTTTATTTACAGCCATTTCAACTAATATAAGTTATTTTCCTTGTATTATAACCATTAGTATCTTCATTATACAAATGTTGTGCTTAAATATTATGTGGGACAATTGATTGCAAAATTTCTCTGATTTGGGGATATTTACATATGTATTTTCTTTTTCCCAGAGTTTAAGAATCTAAAGTATTACATTGATAATTGTTTCCTTTGTTGCAGAACTGTAAGAGTAAATGGGTCCAGTAATTGGAATGACTCCAGATAAGAGAGCTGAAACCCCAGGAGCTGAAAAGATTGCAGGATTAAGCCAGATTTACAAAATGGGAAGCTTGCCTGAAGCTGTTGATGCTGCCAGGCCGAAGGCCACTCTAGTGGACAGTGAGTCAGCAGATGATGAACTCACAAACTTGAACTGGCTTCATGAAAGCACTAATCTTCTAACAAACTTCAGCCTCGGAAGTGAGGGTCTTCCAATTGTTAGTCCATTGTATGACATAGAGGGAGATGATGTGCCATCCTTTGGACCAGCTTGCTACCAGAACCCAGAAAAAAAATCAGCGACTTCAAAGCCCCCATACTCCTTTAGTCTTCTCATTTATATGGCCATTGAGCACTCTCCAAATAAATGTTTGCCTGTCAAAGAAATTTATAGCTGGATTCTGGACCATTTTCCATATTTTGCTACTGCACCAACAGGCTGGAAGAATTCTGTTCGACATAATCTGTCCCTGAATAAATGTTTTCAGAAAGTGGAAAGAAGCCATGGCAAGGTCAGTGTTTATGAACATTGCTATATTTGGTGAGGTGGGGGGACTAATTAACATGGAGCCCTTAAAATATCTGGAAATCGGGGAGACAATAAGTAGTCAAGTCAAATTACTTCAGCTGAACTGAATTATATTCATTTGTTTTCACTTGAGATGTTTTAAAATTTCTTAAATATTGATATAAATTTAGCAGAATTATGTTTTGTCCACTATAGGTACCTAGATTAGTCTTTTTATTATTTTAGTTCTTTGTTTCTAGTTTCTGTAGTGTTCCTATAACTATCAGCATTTGATTCTTTATTCAATATGATAATCTCTGCCTTATAATCAAAGTATAGACCATTTAAATTAATGAAATTGATATGGTTGGGTTTAAATCTATCACCTTGCTATTTATTTGATTTTCTTTTCCACTTTTCCTGCCTTTTGTGGGATGAGGTGTTCTTCACTTTTGGTTTTGGTGTTTTGGTGCTTTTTTTTTTTTTTTTTTTTTTTTGTGAGACAGTCTCGATCTGTCACCCAGCCTGGAGTACAGTGGCGCGATCTCTGCTCACTGCAACCTCCGTCTCCTGGGTTCCAGCGATTCTTAATGCCTCAGCATCCAGAATAGCTGGGACTACAGGTGTGTGCCACCACGCCCTGCTAATTTTCGTATTTTTAATAGAGATGGGGTTTTGCCATGTTGTCCAGACTGGTCTTGGAACTCCTGACCTCAAGTACCACCCACCTTGACCTCCCAAAGTGTTGGGATTACAAGTGTGAGCCACTGTGCCCAGCCGAGGTGTTGTGTGTGTGTGTGTGTGTGTGTGTGTTTTATGCTTCAATTTTATCTCTACTATTGCCTGATTATTTATGTATTTTAGTGGTTGCTATATGGTTTTCAGTATACATCTTTAATTTATCATTGGTCCACCTTCAAATAATATTATACCATTTCACGTAACTGGCTCTTTACAGAAAAAGTTGCTTGGCACCTGATGCCCTATTGGATTAATTCCTTTTGCCTGGAGAAGTTTATTTAAAATTTCTCATTATTCAGTTTTGCTGGCAATGGTTATTTTAAACTTTTTTGTGGGGTGCAGGTTTAGAATTCTAGGTTGACATTTTTTTCTTCTATGTATTTTAAAGATGATTTATTGTCTTCTGGCTCCCATAGTTTCTGGTGAGAAGTCTGCTGTCATTATTCCTCTTTATGTAATGTCTCTTTTTTTAATTGCTGTCTTCAGTATTTTTTCTTTCTCTCTTTATCACTGTTTTTCAGCAGTTTGACTATAGAGGGCCTAGATGTGTTATTCTTTATTTTTATCTTGCTTTGGGTTCTCAGTGGTTCTTAAATATATGGTTTATTGCCTTTCATTAAATTTAGGAAATTTTTGCTCATTATCTCTTCAAATATTTCTTCTGCCTCACTCCTACTTTTAGGACTCCAAGTAAAAATATATTAGACCATTTGCTATTTGTCTTACCTCTTGATTGCTTTGCCTTTCCTCCACTCTTTCTCTCTTAGTTTGGATAATTTTTATTGATTTTTCTATAGGTTCACCGTTTTTCTTTGTTGTGTTCATTCTGCTGATAAGCCCCAATGAAGGACTTCTTCATGTTTTTAATTTCTAATGTTTTCATTTTCCTTTTAAAAAAGTTTCTGTCTCTGCTAAAATTCCCCACTAGATCCATAAACATATTAATTATAGTTATTATATAATGTCTGTCAGTTTCAATATCTGGTCCATCTCTGGATCTGGTTTTGCTGACTGTTTTAATCTCTTGTTTTTGTATGTATTTTATAATTTTGGATTGAATATCAGACATTGCAAAAGAATGGCAGGGACGGAAGTATGTAATATTTCTACCCAGAAATAGGCATGCCTCTACTCTGTTAGGCTGTTAGTGTGAACAGGTATTGGTCAGTCTAGTTAGTAATTGAGAAGAGTTTTGAGTGTTTGTGGTTGCAGTAATTACCATCAGTACACCACACTCTTCAGACTCCTACAGAGATGGACTGCCAATACTTTGTGTTTAAAGTGAGGCCTGGAGCAATAGATGACTTTTTTGTCTCAGCATTACTGCTACAACTTCATCTTCTAGCTTGTGCCACATTTGAGGTTGGGAGAGAGGTAAGATAGCTCTCTCTGTTGCCCTTCCTACAGCACTAGATTGCTATTGCTTGTTACTTGGAGCAAGGCTTTTGGATGGGGCAGAGTAGGATCCTTGATTCTTCTCCAGCATTAGTCTTAAACAGGTTCTGCATGCCTGTGCTTCAGGTGTGAGTCTTTCTGTGCCTCCCCCAGGAGCAGACAGTCTCTCCATCTACTCAATATAGAGTCTAGAGCTGCATTTTTCAGTAGCAAAATGTACTCTTTAATGCCAGGAACCATCTCACCACTGCATTCCAGCCTGGGAGATAGAGGGAGACTCTGTCTCACAAAACAAAACGAAAAACATTGGATTCAACTTTGGCTGAGTGCAGTGGCTCACACCTGTAATCCCAGCACTTTGGGAGGCTGAGACAGGTGGATCGCTTGAGCCCAGGAGTTAGAGACCAGCCTGGGCAACATGGCAAAACCCTGTCTCTACTAAAATTAGAAAAAATTAGCTGGGCGTGGTGGTACATGTAGTCCCAGCTACTCAGGAAATGGAGGTAGGAGGATTGTTTGAACCCTCGGAGGTTGCAGTGGGCCGAGATTGTGCCAGTGCACTCCAGTCTGGATGACAAAGTGAGACCCTGTCTCAAAATAAAAAAATAAGCTGGACGTGGTGGCTCATACCTGTAATCCCAGCCCTTTGGGAAGCTCAGGTTGGCGGTTCACCTGAGGTTGGGAGTTCAAGACCAGCCTGACCAACATGGAGAAGCCCTGTCTCTACGAAAAATACAACAAATTAGCCAGACATGGTGGCATATGCCTGTAATCCCAGCTACTCGGGAGGCTGAAGCAGGAGAATTGCTTGAACCTGTGGTGAGCCTAGATCGTGCCATTGCACTCCAACCTGGGCAACAAGAGTGAAACTCCGTCTCAAAAAATAAATAAATAAAATGTGACAGGGTCCATCCTGTGACGTGAGATGTAACATATGAACTCTTACCTTTGACAGAGCACAGAAATGGCAGTCGTAAAAGAATGTAAGAAAAAGAAGCCACCCAAATTTTAAATCAAATTATTAAAGACCAAATGTGAGCTAGCATGACAGCTTAGAATCCCTGACATTCCCAGAAGAAGAAGAGTCTGCATCCACTAGCTAGGTCTTTTTCCACTGGCCTCCATCTGGTGCTCCAGAGGAAGACTGCAGGCAGGCCAGGAAGCCTAAGAGAAACCCTTATGAATGAAGACAGATGTACAGAATCTGCCAAGATTTAGGCAAAGATAGACCTAGAGCTGCATTCTTCAGTTGCCATTTATCCACATGTGGCTAGTGGTTGGCATATTGAACAGCTATAGGATATTTCTGTCATCATAAACAGTCCTTTTAGACAGTGCTGTTTTAGAGTTCAAGCCAGTTTTCTGCTCATTCCCATTATGGTGGAGAAACTCAGCCTAGTCTTAGTGGGAGGTCTTGGACAAAAGTGAGTGACCACTCCCTTTCCCAGTGGCAGCAGTTCTCTGTATCATCAGCAGATTTGAGCATGAGCAGATTTTCTGCCTTTCTTCTAGTGGCACATGGCACATTGCCTTGTTAAATATGGGGATAGCTAGGTTTTATACTTCTCTTTTAGCAACAGCCATCCTTTGCCTGGGACTAGAGTGGGCAAAGTATTTTGCCTCTTCCTCAGTGGCAGACAGCTTTTGCTTTGTTTTAGAGAAGAGTCCAGGATATAGGCAGGTTTGTGTCTGTCCTACACCACTATCTGATCTTCACCTTTTGCTTGTTCAGGGTCTAGAACATGGATGATCTTTGCCTAAACCTTGGCAGATTCTGTACATCTGTCTTCATTCATAAGGGTTTCTCTCTCAGGCTTCCTGGCCTGCCTGCAGTCTTCCTCTGGAGCACCAGATGGAGGCCAGTGGAAAAAGACCTAGCCTAGTGGAGGCAGACTCTTCTTCTGGGAATGTCAGGGATTCTAAGCTGTCATGCTAGCTAACATTTGGTCTTTAATAAATGTTTTAAAATTTGGGTGTTGTTTTTTTCTTACATTCTTTTACGACTGCCATCTCTGTGCTCTGCCAAAAGTAAGAGTTCATATGTTACATCTCACCTCACAGGATGGACTCTGTTACAATTTATTTTATTTTTTTTATTTTGAGATAGGGTCTCACTTTGTCATCCAGGCTGGAGTGCAGTGGCTCAATCTCGGCCCACTGCAACCTCCGAGGGTTCAAGCAATCCTGTTACCTCCGTTTCCTGAGTAGCTGGGACTGTAGGCATGTACCACCACACCCAGCTAATTTTTTCTAATTTTAGTAGAGACAGGGTTTTGCCATGCTGCCCAGGCTGGTCTCTAACTCCTGGGCTCAAGCGATCCACCTGTCTCAGCCTCCCAAAGTGCTGGGATTACAGGTGTGAGCCACTGCACTCGGCCAAAGTTGAATCCAATGTTTTTCGTTTTGTTTTGTGAGACAGAGTCTCCCTCTATCGCCCAGGCTGGAGTGCAGTGGTGAGATGGTTCCTGGCGTGAAGGAGTTTAAGTTTTAAAAAGTAAGAAGGCAAACAGTTAATCATAATACGATATAGAAAGAAATATCATAATAGCAACATGAACAGAGTCAGAGAGAAGTTGATTAATTATTACCTAGCACAGTGGTCCCCAAACTTTTGACGCTAGGGACTGGTTTTGTGGAAGACAGTTTTTCTGCTACCTGAGGTGGGGACATGGGATATGGTTTTGGGATGAAACTGTTCCACCTCAGATCATCAGGCATTAGATTCTCATAAGGAGCGCACAGCCTAGATCCCCTCACATGCACAGTTCACAATAGGGTTTGAGCTCCTGTGAGAATCTAATGCATGGGCTGATCGGACAGGAGGCAGAGCTCAGGTGGTAATGCTTCTCAACTTCCACTCTCCTCCTGCTCTGTGACCTGTTTCCTAAGAGGCCATGGACCTGTACCGGTCTCCAGCTTGGGGGTTGGGGACCCCTAAACTAAAAGATTTGGGAAATTTTTATGGAAAAGTTTGCCATTGAAGTGTGCTTTGAAAAAAGAGAACAGGTTTTAGAAGGGTAACATATGCCAAAGGGCAATAGTATATTCTGCTGGGAGTTTGGGGCAGTAGGCATATTCTCTGTTGGTGAGGAATGTACGAGAGCAGGGTGGAAAAGCAGAGTGATCCAGAATAGAAGTGTGATGAATATCATGCTTGGACTTCAGTTTTGGGCTTCAGTTGTTTGGACTTCAGTTTTGAGAGCAAACCAGTGAGAGTTTTTAAGCCAGGAGCATGATGGAGTTTCTCTGTATTTGACTTGTGACAGTGTGAATGATAGGGCAATATATTACCTTAAACAATATCTGAATTCATTTGCCAAAGGAATGTTACAGTTAGTAGTACCATGCAAACAGAGATAGTTTCAGTGAAGATGTGGGATTTGAACACTTTGTAATCATTGCCCTCCTTATGTCTAAATCCACTGACTTCTTTTCTGTCTTACTCAACCTAAAACTGCATTATATGACATGATTAGCTCTGGGAATTCATCTTTTCTTTGATTTGTATAACACTGTGCTTAATTCTTTGTTTACCTGTGTGGACTCTCCATCTTTTTCTTTTGCCACTTGCCATTTAAACTTTAGTGTTCACTATTTTGTCTTTTTTGTTGATTTAGTATTTTCTTAATCTCATTAATTCCCATGGCTTAATATGTCGTCTGTGATCTTATGACTTCTAGATCTTTCTCCTAAAGCCCAGACGTAAATTTGCAACTAATTATTAGATCTGGAGGTATCTCAAATTCAGTGTGTCCGAAATTGGACTTTATTCCTCTCTCTTCTCCAAGGATCTATTTGGGTCTCAGCTAGAAATCTGAGTCATCTTGGGTACCTGCTCTTTGCAATGCCTAAGTTATTTGAATGTCAAATTTGAAAGGAATATAGACATTATCCTGATGAACTTCCTTATTTTATAACCAAAAAAGTGAGATACGTGGTATTAATTGATCCTGGTCTAGAAAGCCTGTCAAAGCCAGGGGTTAGATTCAAGAAAAAGCAGTATCTAGTAGCACCTATAAATACCTACAAGTTGCTTTTTGATTCTGGCCATTTCTTTTAGTTTCTACCATAACATTGGCCTTAGTTCAGGTCTTCCCCTCATTTCTCATCAAATTGAACTATTATATAAGTTGAGGAGTCAGCATGAAGGATTGGATTCAGGTATGTTCCTAGATCCAGATAGATGTGTGACTTGGTAAAGTTAGACTCTCTGAGCCTCATTTTTACTTCAGTTTTTGTAACTAGTAACCTTTAGTAAATATGACTTACTAAATAAAAGCCAAACTTGTTAACATGGTTTTCAAGACCCTCCCCAGTTTGGCTTCTGCCTGTCTTTGCAGTTTTTTTTCTTCACTACTCCATGATCTACCCCCACAAGACTACTTGCTATTCCAGTATACTATAAATAGTCCTTGTTTATTTTGTTCCTCTATCTACACTGCATTTTCGTAATTCACTTTCAGTGGAGAGAACATTTCCTCAAAGCCCAGCTCAGAAGTCACCTCTCAAGCATTTCCTGCTTTTTTGTACTCATTTTGTGTTTTTATAGCATTCTGTTTGTTACCTTTATAACATACATATCCCAGTTATGTATAGATTTGCTTCTCCCACTAGGGAAGATATGAGAGCTCTCTGAGGTCAAGGCCTTAGTAGAATAGTCACTTAAGACTGTGTGTGTGTGTGTGTGTGTGTGTGTGTGTGTGTGTGTGTGTGTGTGTGTGTGAAAGAGAAAGGGGGGAGTGATATTATTCAATAACCTTTTAAAAGCTCAGCATCTTTTTTCATCTTAATGCATAATTCTCTTTAATTGTGATGTGGATGAACATTTGGGTTTCTAATTTTTTGTTATAAACACTGCTACAGTGAAAATCATCTCCCTATCCTTCCTTCTCTTTGCCTTCTTTGAAATTGATCTCCCTTTATTCTTTTTCCTCTGTTGTGTTGGTATTGTTATCCTCTGTCTTTTTTTTTTAAACACTGTACATATTTCATAATTATTTTATGTAGTCTCCGTTTAAATTTACCCTTATAGTTAACAGTGTCATTGTTTGCTATTGTTTATGCATTTAGAATTTCCTTAGTGATTTTATTCTTGAATTGTGTCACTTAATTCTTTTATACTTTTAGAACTATTGTGTTTATACTTATGATGGTACATAAAAGGTAACCATCTACTAGGTACTTAGAAATATAGGCAGGAATAGAGGTGATGTGGTGAGATTACAGCTCTTAAGTTTGGAATTTATCAGCATTGCTTCTGAGTGGAATAATCTAGGAAAAGTATGGTGTAATGAAGCCAAGGAAGCTAAGCTGAAGTGTGAATGGCCAACAGTGTCAAATGTTGCAGAACACTTGAAAATGATTGGCTAAGAAGAAGTTGTTGAGAAAGTAGCAGCCAAAAGATTAGGATTCAAAATATATAATAAGTGCTGTGCTGGCTGGGCGCGGTGGCTCACACCTGTAATCCCAGCACTTTTGGAGGCTGAGGTGGGCGGATCACGAGGTCAAGAGGTCAAGTCCAGCCTGGCCAACAGAGTGAAACCCCATCTCTACTAAAAATACAAAAATTAGCTGGGTGTGGTGGCGTGTGCCTGTAATCCCAGCTACTTGGGAGGCTGAGGCAGGAGAATCACTTGAACCCAGGAGGCAGAGGTTGCAGTGAGCCGAGACTGTGCCACTGCACTCCAGCCTGGCAACAGAGCGAGACTTCGTCTCAAAAACAAAAAAAAGTGCTGTGCTGATAAATGTTTAACAACTGGCTAGGGACAGGCTGTTTAGCTTTTGCTAAATGTGGAGTTGAGAAGCAATGTTTACTATCAACAGTATACCATTATAGAAGAAACTCATATAATTTAATAAGAAAATGAAAATCTAATAGAAAAATGGGCAAGTATATGAATAGGCAGTTCACAGAGGAGGAAACACAAATAGGCAATAAACATAAACAAAGATGTTTATCTTACTAGTAATGTGTGTGAGGGACATTCAAATTAAAAGAACAAAAAATGCTTTTTTATCTATTAGAATTCAAAAATTTTAAATATTTGAGGACATGAGTAAATATTGATACTTTCACATCATTGATAGGAGTACATTAATATGACCATTCTTGAGGGCAGTAGTTACTAGAATTAGAAATGGGCTCTTCTTTGATCTAGCAGATCATATTCTGATTTCTCCCCTAGAGTAACATTCATAGTTGCATACAAGAAGATGTATGTGAAAATATTCACAGTGGTATTATTTTTAGTAAAAGTTACAAAACCATATGTCCAATAGTATGATTTGTGATAATACTCAAAAGGGAGTTGGTCACATCTATAATTTTTAAATGTATACATTTTTAATGTAATTAATCTGAGTGTTTTGAATGTTCAGAGAAAGGAAGAAATTAAGGAAGTGAGAGCTAGAGAATGGGAAAGGATGCAGTCCAGAGTATAGGTAGAATTTGATAACGAAAAGGAGAGAAATCATCTTACAATTTTAAAAAAGGGATAAATATAGAAATGGTAATATATTGGCATAAAAATTAGCAAGCTATCACCACGAGTCAGGGTGGGAGGGAAGGAACTTGTAAATCGTCTCATAAAAATCAGTTAACTATTTTGCCTAAATGTCTGAGATTTAGACAGAAAGAGATACATTCAAGTAGATTTGGGAATGCATGTGGATTTTTTTTTTTTAATTTATGAAATGTTTCTTGGGTCAGTGACAGAATGACAGTATTTTTCTTCCAATCTGTGGAAGCCAAATATACTTAGTTGCACTAAATGTTAGCATTGCATTTGGCAACCTTGACAGCACTTTTCTGATGAATGGCGGTTATCTAGAGATGATAATCCCAATAGGAGGCAGAATGGCAAGGTCTAGATCAAACTATGAAGGGATAATGATAGCCAGCTGATACAGCTGCTGATTAAGATGTTTTTCTCCCTATCATCATACCATTTTTACTACTCTGAAAAGACAGGTCTAACAATCCTGGTTTGGTATTTATTTGTCTCTGGATTTTAAATTTGTTAAAATTATATATGGTTGTCTTTTGGTTCAGCTTGCTTTGGTTTGGGCTTTATGTTTTAAATGTTAACATCTGGCTGGGCACAGTGGCACTTACACCTGTAATTCCAGCACTCTGGTAGGTTGAGACACGACAATCACTTGAACCCGGAGGCAGAGGTTGCAGTGAGCCAAGATCGTGCCACTGCATTCCATCCTGGATGACAGAGCAAGACTCTGTCTCCAATTTAAAAAATAAATAAAAATAAAAATAAAAATTGGCCAGGCGTGGTGGCTCACGCCTGTAATCCCAACACTTTGGGAGCCGAGGCAGGTGGATCACTTGAGGTCAGGAGTTCGAGATCAGGCTGGCCAACATGGTGGAACCCTGTCTCTACTAAAAATACAAAAATTAGCCGGGCATGGTGGTGCACACCTGTAATCCCAGCTACTTGGGAGGCTGAGGCAAGGGAATCGTCCGAACCTGGGAGGCGGAGGTTGCAGTGAGCCGAGATCGCGCCACTGCACTCCAGCCTGATTGACACAGCGAGACTGTCTCAAAAAAAAAAAAGTTAATATCCAAGTCTTGTATGTACTTTTCTAAATTTTTATAAAGCCCATCTTAAACATTATTACTATGAGACTTTAGCTGGGAAACATGGAATTAAATTTTTTCCTAGTGTGGTAAAATTTTAATCAGTTAATTATTTTTAATTCAGAGGTTCTAAAAGCCACTGAAAATCATTACCACTTTATAGTTTTATCTAGGCCTTGCCATTTTGCCTTCTTTTTGGTAGTAGACAAGGTGAGCAACTCTATTAAAATATACAGGACAAGTTCATAAAAACATTTTAGGAATAATGAACGTTGCCTTTTCTCCCAATCTAGTCTTTACCACTTCTGTTAAGACAATTCTTTTTAAAGTTCACCTTTTAGTATATTCAAAATTTCTTCAAAACCTTTAGCAGTTCTCTACCAAGTAAGTTCAGAAGCCTTAGAGTTCTAAAACGCAAAATAATAAAATGAGAGAATGCTCATTTCCTGTTTCCGTAGCACAGAAGGCTATTTTGTTATAGGCAAATTTAGTTTTAAACAGTTATTATTTGTATTCTCTCATCTAAGCCCAATAATATAGGACCAAAGCTTTTAAGTGGAAAATTAGTTACAAATAAGTTTCTTTTTGCTGTAGACTTTAAAATGTAGATTAGCAAATACAGAGTTTTATCTCTTGTTCATGATAGTTCATGAACAGACCCAGTGAAAGGAAGTGCTGCCATGGTAACGTAAACCAGACTGTTACTTGAGACCATACTCAAGATACTTAACTGCCCTGAAACTGCACGTTTTCAATACCAGTTTTTCCAATTTGCTATTTCAAGGAAATAGCAACTCTACTGTGATCAAAACAATTTGCAGTCCCCTCACAATAGAATTTGAAAAGTAGACTTGAACTAAACAATTTCTAGGAGCGTAATCTCAGGAATTCCAAGGTAGAGCATGGCTAGCATTATTAAAATAATTGTCTTGGTCTGTGTATGAAAAGTAATGCTGCGTATCTTTTCTATATGAAACTGAATTGGCTTTGGGGCAAAAGATGTTGTAGGTGCTAACATTTTAATTCTTCCTTTTTTTTTTTTTGAGACAGCGTTTCACTCTGTCACCCAGGCTGGCCTCAGCCTCCTGAATAGCTGAGACTATAGGCGCGCACCACCACACCAGGCTAATTTTTTCTATTTTTGTAGAGACAGAGTTTTGCTATGTTGCTTAAGCTGCTCTTGAACTCCTGAGCACAAGCAATCACCTTCGCCGGCTTCCCAAAGTGCTAGGATTACAGACGTGAGCCACCGCACCTGGCCTGGTGCTAACATTTTTTTCCTTGTCATCAAAACACATTTATCATTTGGTCCAGGTGACTGAACATATAGCTAAGTTAAGAAGTTTCATTTAATCCAAAAATACATTTGTAAAACTTGTCTTTTATTGAAAAAAAAAAAAAAAAAAAGAAAATGTCAAATACTTTTTTAGTATAGTTAATGTGATATCTTGCTGCTAAACACCAGGAAAATGTTTCTCCTGATAATCCAGTGCATTTCTTTCTTTATGATAGTGTGATATGACAACCATGGTTTTTCTATTTATATAAATTGCCAGCATAGTAAAAAACTGCCTTACACTCAATTGCTACACCTTTTCACAGGCAAAAGGTTTTATTCTCTCCTAAATTAATTTTATCCCGTTTTTTTTTACCACCTAACTTTTGCCTTTTATTCAGAACTAATGTATTTTTTTCTTATTGTCGTTTTTTTTTCAAAATTCCCTCCTCGGTGGAAAGTAAAGGAGTAGGAACATACTATTATTCAACCAACATGCAGCAACCCTTACGTACGTCAGTTTCAGAATGGCCCCTTAATATTCACCTATTTTGCAGCTATGTCTCTTGCATATAAATCCTCTTATTTGAATCTCATTACAATTCAGTGAAGTGGCCTGCATTGTTGTTTTACTTTACGGGTAAAATGTAAATGAGAAGTCTGACTCTCAAAAATTAAATGATTTGCCCAATATCACATAGCCAGTCAATAAGTAGTGATCGGGACCTTGGTTTTTGAACCTATAGAACGGTGTTCTTTCATTTTGCCATTCTGCTATAAAAATTATGAAATGATATTCAGAGATAAAAGAGCGTCAATAATAGACTAGTAGTACCTTGAAAAAGAGTGTGGGAAATGGAAGGACTCTGGAGATCATCACATTAAATCTTAATAGCAATCATAATAGCTTATATCATAGAAGATTTGATACACGCAAAAAGGAGTATGAGAATGGGAAACAAGTAAATTTTGTTGTTATCTAAATAATTGTTAATGTAGTCGTAAAGGTAATTCAAATTTTAAGAAAGAGTTTTTGAAGTAGAAAAGGCATAATATAAAACCAGAAGCTAATAACATTTGAACCTCACTAATCTTGTGAATTAGAGGAAGTTTTGTACATCATAGGATGAATCCCTTTTAGTCACTACAGTGCACACATAGCAAGCTCACTTCAACCTTAGTTTCATACTCAAAAGGTGCTAGAGATTATTTACCCCTGCACATTTATTTAAAACATTTAGACGCTGACTGTTTATGTATAAAAGTTCCTAGTTATTCTTGTGCATTTTATTCTAGGTTAATGGAAAAGGTTCCTTATGGTGTGTTGATCCGGAATATAAACCCAATCTTATCCAGGCACTGAAGAAGCAACCTTTTTCTTCAGCATCTTCACAAAAGTAAGGATCTTCCATATAACTGTCAGTGGTGATTTATAGGATTTCACTGTGTGAGATGGAGAAACTTAAAGGTCCAGGGTATTATGTTTCTGTTTTATTGTATAAAGAAGTATTTATGTTTTATTTAGTTTTTAGTTTTTAGTTTTTGTTTTTGTTTTGTTTTGTGGACACAGTCTTACTCTGTCACCTAGGCTGGAGTGCAGTAGCGAGATCTCGGCTCACTGCAACCTCCCTCTCCTGGGTTCAGGTGATCCTCCCACCTCGGCCTCCCTAGTAGCTAGGACTACAGGCAAGCACCACCACTCCCAGCTAATCTTTGTCTTTTTAGTAGAGACACGGTTTCACCATGTTGGCCTGGGTGGTCTCTAACTCCTGACTTCAAGTGATCCTCCCACCTCTGCCTCCCAAAGTGCTGGGATTACAGGCGTGAGCCACCATCCTCGGCCTGTTTTTTCTTTTCTTTTCTTTTCTTTTCTTTTTTTAAGAAGTATTTATGGATAAGACATTAGCCTAAGTTAGTTTTCCTTATGGTCTAATTTGTGTTTCTAGAATACAGGAAATTGGTGACTTGAGAACATACACTCTGGGAAATATAGTCAATACTGAGTATAAGTAAACCCTAAAGAAAGTTGTAATATAATTTCAGTTACAAACAGGTCAGATCATTTTAATTGTCTGCAATACTAATGCTAACCTAAAAATGAAGGAAATTAAAAATACATTTAAAATTTTTTAACAAGATTATTAAGTTTGTCATTATAACATTTTATATACATATGTAGGTTTCTTTTTCTGTTTTAGGTTTTTTTCGTAGTACTTAATATTTGAAAAGTATGTTCAAGTCTAAAATTTTTAAATGTTTGGCAAATAAAATAATGCTTTGAACTTTGTTTTTATTTTTTCTGGTAAATATAGTTGTACTGTATTTGCTTATAATTTTCCTTGTCTTTGTTTTCAATCCCAGTAACCCCTGTTGATCTTCTAGCTTCCTCATTTTAAGTTAAATCGGAAAATAATATGACCTTCTTAAATCTGATTTTTGTTTCCTTTTTCTAAAGAAGACTTTAGAGTCTTCTCCAATTTATTATATACCTTCATTTGAATTGAAAATCCCAGATTTGGTTAAAATACTTTAAGGGTAGTTTATAATGGCTAACTTGTTTTTTGAAAAATTTAAAAAGATTTTTAATAAAGTAATAAATGGAAATTTTTAAACATGGAAAAAAGTAGAGAGAAAGTTATAATGAACTCCCAGCTGCAGCAATCATCAACGTTTCATATAGTGGTTAATTTGAATTCTTAAAGTATTGTTAGATAACTTGTAGAGGAGTGGTTGTAGCTGGAATACAGTAAATAGCTGGGAAGGCTAAAGTTGAAATATCAGTAATATATTCACTCACTGAGATTTTAAGCTTCTTTACCATATTATAGATTAGATGGATCATTATAAAAAGAATAACTGAGTGGTTTATCTTTATGAAATGAAACCTAGAAAAGAAGTTACCAGATTTTATATTCTTACTTGGAAATTGATATCTTTATTAATTAATTTTGGTTATTATGAGGCATTTTAAATAATAATTTAGAAACTAATGGTGAGTTCTACTGATGTTCACCTATGTGTTTTACTTAGCTGTGTTGGGTTTTTTTTTTTTTTTGCTGAAGATTAAGCCTGGACAACATGGAGAAACCCTGTCTCTACCAAAAATACAAAAATTAGCTGGGCATGGGTAGTGCACGCCTGTGGTCCCAGCTACTCAGGAGGGTGAGGTGGGAGGATCGTTTGAGCCTGGGAGGCAGATGTTGCAATGAGCCAAGATGGTGCTACTGCACTCCAGCCTGGGTGACAGACTGAGACCCCATCTCAAAAAAAAAAAAAAGATTATATGAAAGAATTGGCACCATTTTTTGTAAACCATCACAAATATATTTTGCTGTCTTTGATATATTGTATTTTCATGTTTCTATCTTTTAGCCTTAATCATAAGTTTAAATGTTAAAAGTGATCTTGTGGCTTTAAAAGAAGATAAAAACTATGGTCAGGTGAGGTGGCTCAAGCTTGTAATCCCAGCACTTTGGTAGGCCGAGGCCAGTGGATCACCTGAGGTCGGGAGTTTGAGACTAGCCTGGCCAACATGTTGAAACCCGTCTCTACCAAAAATACAAAAGTCAGCTGGGTGTGGTGGCACGCGCCTGTAACCCCAGCTACTCGGGAGGCTGAGGCAAGAGAATCATCTTGAACCCAGGAGGCAGAGGTTGCAGTGAGCCGAGATTGCGCCACTGCTCTCCAGCCTGGGCGACAGAGCGAGACTGTGTCTCAAAAAAAAAAAAAAAAGATTAAACTACAACATAAGGGTTATATATAACCTTTTGACTTTAAACCCTTAATATAAAATGAAACATTTTGCCCTTTATGTTGTTTGGCAAAATAACAGTTCCATCTGACATGCTTTTGTGTAGCCCTTGCATATAAGAATTTGTAAGTCTGAGGAAAAGAGTGAGATACAGTATATGTAAAACTATGAATAGGAAATAAACTTTTAAGTTCGTTAACAAATAGATTTTTTTTTCATGCTATCATAAATTCCAAAGAAGAGAAGTAGTTTTTCCCAAAAATATTTTAATTCCTGGATTAAAAAAAGAACTGTTGGTGTCTTTCCATGAATATAGAAAGTTTAATTTTATGTTTATTAATAAAATCAGGAACATACCTGTTTGCTATCACTACCAAGTGTTCCTTAACCATGAATTTTGGTAAATGCTTTTATTTTTGTGGTAATACCTATATTAGTATTATATCAAACTTAAGAATCCAATGCAAAACCAAACAGTAACTATCATGTATTATCTATAGTTCCAGGCATTTTAAATGCATTATTATTATTTAATTATCACAACAGCCTATGTGGGAGATTTAATTATTCCTATTTTACAGATGAAGAAGCTAAGAGATTAATTATTTTGCCTAAGAACATCCAAATAGTTGTGATTTACCTCTTTTGGCTCCTATGCTCTTTCTGCTTTGGCAGACTTTCTAAATTGAGTAGTATTAGCAAAGAAAACAAGGTAAAAATAGTTTGTTTTTGGTGGTACAAATTAGCTGTATTTGTGACTAAGTTCTATAAAAAGTGAAATAGTTGGGTGCAAGTGGCTCACGCCTGTAATTCCAGCACTGTAGGAGGCCAAGGCAGGTAGACTGCTTGAGCCCAGGAGTTTGAGACTAGCTTGTACAACATGGTAAAACCCTTTCTCTACCAAAAAAAATTAAAAAATTAGCCACACATGGTAGTGCATGCTTGTGGTCCCAGCCACTCAGGCAGCTAAGGTGGGAGGATCACCTGAGCTCAGAAAGTCAAGGCTGCAGTAGGCTGAAATCATGCCACTGCACTCCAGCCTGGGCGGCCAGCAGAGTGAGAGAGAACCTGTCAAAAATTAGGGGGAAAAAGTGAAGTAAACATTTTTATAAGCATATTTGCTTTTCTGTTTGTTTTTCAGTGGTTCTTTATCACCTCACTATTTAAGCTCTGTAATCAAGCAGAACCAGGTGCGAAACCTCAAAGGTATGTGTGAATATCAGTACAGTCATGCACCACACAACAATCTTTTGGTCAACAACAGGCAGTGCATAACAATGGTGGTCCCCTAAGATTATAATGGAGCTGAAAAATTTCTATTGCCTGGTGCCCTGGTAGCTTGTTGTAACATTGTGGCACAACGCATTTACTGAAGTTTGTGGTGATGCTGGTGCAAGCGGACTCACTGCACTGCTAGTCCTGTAAAAGTATAGCACGTAGTTATGTACATATGTTAATACTTGATAATGGTAATAAACTATGTCACTAGTTTATGTATTTACTATACTTTTTACTGTTATTTTTGAGTATACTCCTTCCACCAATTAAAAAAAGTTAACTGTAAAAGAGCCTCACACAGGTCCTTTAGGAGGTATTCTAGAAGGCATTGTTACAGTAAGATGACAGCTCTCTGTGTTTATTGTCCCTAAAGACCTTCCAGTGGGACAAAAATGTAGAGGCAGAAGACAGTGATATTGATCTTGACCCTGTGTATGCTCAGGTTAATGTGTGTATTTGTATCTTTGTTTTTAACTAAAAAGTTTAAAAAAAGTTAATTTAAAAATAGAAAAAAGCTTATAGGTTATAAATAAAATATTTTTATACAGCTGTATTATGTATTTTATGCTGTTATTACAAAAGAGTAAAAATTTAAAAAATTAAAAAGTTTATAAAGTAAAAGTTTACAGTAAACTAAGGTTAATGTATTATTGAAGAAAGAAAAAATTAAAAAATCAATTTAGTGCAGCCTAAGTGTACACTGTTTATAAAGTCTACAGTAGTGTACAGTAATATCCTAGGCCTCTACATTCACTCACCACTAACACTCTCTGGCTCACCCAGAGCAATTCCGGTCCTTCAAGCTTCATTCATGGTAAGTACCCTATACAGGTGTACCATTTTAAATATTTGTATAGTGTTTTTATTGTACCCCCTTTTTTGTTCCCTGGCAGAAACTAATAGATCATTTACTGTACCTTTTCTGTGTTTAGATACACAAATACCATTTGTGATACAATTACCTATAGTATTCAGTACAGTAACATGGTGTACAGATTTGTAGCTCAGGAGCAATCCTAGGTGTGTAGTAGGCTATACCATTTAGGTTTAAGCACACTCTATGATGTTCACACAGTGACAAAATCACCTAACAGTACATTTCTCAGAACATATTCCCGTCATTAAACAAAGTATGACTGCATTTTTATTTATTTGTTTTATTTTTAAGAGATGGCGTCTTGCCATGTTGCCCACACTGATCTTCTGAATGCCTGGGCTCAAGTGATCTCCTACCTCAGCTTCCCAAATAGGTGGGACTACAGGTGCACATGACTGTATTTTAATTCATAAAAAATTCAGATAAAAATTTGGGATATTTTGTTGTTGCTGTTTAACATTTTTCTATTTTAACAAGTATTATGTATTTATTATAGGAAATTTGGGCAATAAAAACATTTATTAAAGAGAAAGTAAAGTCATTTATCCCATTGTTAATATTTTATTTTTATTTATTTATTTATTTATTTGAGACAGGTTCTCACTCTGTCACCCAGGCCAGAGGGCAATGGCACAGTCATGACTCACCATAGCCTCACAATCCTGGGCTTAAGCCATCTTCCCACCTTAGCCTCCCAAGTAGCTAGGACTACAGGTGCCATTACACCTGGCTAATTTTGTTGTTAACATTTTGATATAATTCCTTTGGGGTTTTTTTAATGCCACATATGTGAATAGATACACTTGCATGCGTGTATGTACAGGGACACATACATAAACACACACATACTTTTTCTCCAGATACTAGATTCACACTGTGTATACAGTTTTATATCCCTTTTCCATTTATTTTTATGGGTATTTTTCATTGAAAATAGGATTGAATTTTTTAGTAATATCAGTAGAGTTATTACCTTTTCAGGTCTATCTTAGACTAGAAAAGGGGTTGGCAAACTATGGCCCATGGCCATTTCTGGCCTGACATCTGTTTTTGGGTGTCCCATGAGCTAAGGATGGTTTTACATTTGTAAAATGGTTGGAGAAAACAAAATCAAATAACAATAAAATTTCAAGACTGTGAAAATTCATTGCAACAGAGACCTACATATTATATCCTGGGTTTTGCCTCTTAGCATGCAAAGCCTAAAATATTTACCTTCTGACCCTTTACTGAAGAAGTTTGTCATCCCTCAAATTAGAATATGCTTGAAGATATTTCTCCTGTAGGTTATTTAATCTGAAGAACTTTAATTTTAAAAGATAATAAGTTGACTTTTTAAAAGTATATCAAAATTCTGAATTAGTGGGTTTTTTTCTTGTAGATTAGTAGTATATTAAAATCAGTTTTCCTAGCGTTGCTTTGGAGCCTGGAGACATTTTCATAACCTTTAAAAATAGAAAATTTCAGATGAAAACCTTTCTGTGTATCAGAAATATTTTGGCTCTTTGGAACTATACTAAACTGAGCCTCAGAAGCAGTGTGCTGATATCTTTAAAAATAAAGGAGGAAAAGAATATGAAAAAGTTCTAGAGAACCCTGCAAAGAAGTTAAATGGATAGGGGATCTGTTTCAAATAATGTTCTGCCTTAACATAAGACAAATATCCGTGTTCCTGTTACCTACATCAGTCAAATGTGGTTTCTCTTTACATTTAGGTATTGCCAAAATGCCTTTATCTTTGTATTGCCTCAATAAAGTCTGACACTTATTCTCTAAAGCTCAGTTCGTATACATATCTTGAGAACATTTTCTTTGTGAATTCTGGAGTTTACTTAAATCTTTTCTTGCTCTTGTTCTGTTCTATCCAAATTCTTTCTTTCTTTGGGGAACAGACATTTCCACAAGTTTTTGCTGCTAGTTTCACCTGCATGTTTTTCATTTACTAGGGCACAGGTACTTCTTCTTCATCTAATGACTTGTACGTATTATGCATCATCTGTCTAGTGCTACCAGCACCTTACCTCCATTCCTATATGCATGAGTCTTAGGCCTGTTCCTCTAGTAATAATTAACTTAGTGGGGAGGTCGTTGGCATTCTAGGTTAAAACAAATGCACATCTGTCCTGGAATATAATACAAAATTCTCCATGAATTTTAAGGGAAGAAAACATAAAACCTCACAAAAATTTAGGGAATTTTATTTTTGAACTTGGTTGTTTTGGGGTATATTTCTGAGGAAATTTTCTCTTGCCTCTTTATATTATTTCTAGAGAGAAGTTTAAAAAACACCAAGTGGATTAGACATTCATTACAACTAATACTGTTGAGCCAGACTCCTTGTGCCAGACACTGTTGGAGGTTCCTTGGGATATGCATAGATGAGAGACCCAGGCCCTGCTCTTAGAAAATATATACTTTGGCTGGGCACAGTGGCTCACGCCTATAATCCCAGCACTTTGGGAGGCCGAGGTAGGTGGATCACATGAGATCAAGAGTTCAAGACCAGCCTGGCCAACATGGTGAAACCCCATCTCTACTAAAAATACAAAAATTAGCTGGGTGTGTGTTGGCACACGCCTGTAATTCCAGCTACTCAGGAGGCTGAGGCAGGAGAATCACTTGAACTTGGGAGGTGGAGATTGCAGTGAGCCGAGATCGCGCCACTGCACTCCAGCCTAGGTGACAGAGTGAGACTCCAAAAAAAAAAAAAAAAAATGATGGAGAACACCTGATTATCAACGATTTGTCCAAGGTACAACCTCAAACTTTGTGGAACAAAAGTTCTCCCTGGCAGAGAGAATCATAACAATAGAGAGAGTTGTCTGGCAGTTGCTAGGAATCTGTCTGGCATGTTGATATAGACCAGGTAGATGTGGTCATTTGCGTGGGCAAGGCAAATGTAGCAGAAGTTTAAGAGCTTATTTAGCATAATAAGGACTTTGAACATCCTCCTCTGCCTAGAACAATTAATAAGCCTTAAGTTGCTTACTTGATGCTTTGCATGCATTATCTAATTTAATCCTTAAAACAACCCTCTGAGGTATTGCTGCCCCTCTTTTACAGATAAGCAAACTGAAGTTTGGGGAGATTAAGTAACTTCTCAAGGTCACACAACTAGTAAGTGGCAAAGAAGGATTCAGATTGAATAATTCTAATTTCAAAGCCTGACTCCTACTAGATAAGTGGCACTGGGAGACCTGCTGAAGAACTTTAAATAGTGAAGTGACATCGTCAGTTTTATGTTTTATAAAGATCACTTAGGTATTATCATTGGCCTCCAATATTAAAACTTACATATTCATCTAACACTTCATAGAATCATCTTTACTGATCATTATATTAGAGCTACCTTTAGACACGGAAAACTAAAGGGAGAGATTAGGCTTAGAACTCCAGAAACTGTTATCAGCCTAAACAGGTGCAGCAGTGTGTTTGTTGTCTCTTGATCAACTTACAATGACTTTTATGTGACAGTATCAATGTTATGGCATTGTATAATAGATAGCAGGAGACACAGGATTCTTACACTGAGATAGCAGAACGAAATTTTTTTTGGTCAATAGTTTGGTTTGGTGTGTATTTAGAGTAAATTCACCTGTTTAAAAATATTACTGAGCTGTTCTAGACACCAAGGTACATCAGTGAAAAAAGCAGACAAAAATGGAACTCACATTCCAGTTAGTAAATTTTAGTAGTTATACTAACTGCTAAAAGCACCTGGTATACTACAAACAGATATAAAATTAAGGTAGTTGATGGTGATGTTAGGGCTACATGTAAAGCTAAGATTTGTGTCTTACTGAAATGAAACTAAACCAGTGGTCCAGACAGCTTAAAGTGTTGGTAATTTATTGAAACTATTCTTCTACTTCAGAGAATTACAAGAGACAGCTTCTCCATCTGGATGCTCTGCAAATGTATATATTAGTTTTGATAGAGACAATAAATCCTTTTGTAATTACTACAAAGCTTATACCATTTGAATTATTTCTATAGTTCTCATATCATTCCTTACACAAATGGACTGAGAGTCAAACAACAGAAATATGCTCGACTTATAACCTTACTCTCATATGGCTAAAACTAGTGTCTGAATTGTTTTTAATTATTTTTAATCATTTCCCAACATCAAGGTTAAGGAAATAAAAACCAACAGGCACAAATTAACAAGTTTTTTAAATTGTTGTTTATTTTTTGTTTTTTGAAATGGTGTCTCGCTCTGTCAACCAGGCTGGAAGTGCAGTGGCACGATCTTCGCTCACTGTAACCTCCACCTCCTGGGTTCAAGTGATTCTCCTGCCTCAGCCTCCCAAGTAGCTGGGATTGCAGACGCGTATGACCTCACCCGGCTAATTTTTGTATTTTTAGTAGAGACGGGTTTCACCATATTGGCCAGGCTGGTCTCGAGCTCCTGACCTCAAGTGATCCACCCACCTCGGCCTCCCAAAGTGCTGGGATTACAGGTGTGAGCCACCACGCTTAGCCAAATTCATGGTGTTGACACGGTTTTGTTTGAACCAGTTATGAAATCAGTAGCATGTTTGAAACTATCAAATTTTGGTTCCTTTTGAACTGGATATGTTAGATAATACAGCTAATAGTGTTATTGTTTTTAAAAACAGAGCCACCTTTAAAATAGAATAAAGTACTTTATCAATGAAAAAATACCATTATGAAGTATTTTCAAATGTGACAATAAACAAATGAGTCTTCAGTTTAAATTTCATAGCAAAATTGGCTGAACGCGGTGGTTCATGCTCGTAATCCCAGCACTTTGGGAGGCCGAGATGGATCCCTCAGGAGTTCAAGACCAGCCTGGGCAACATGGTGAAACCCCATCTCTAGGGCAACATGGTGAAACCCCATCTCTACCAAAAATATGAAAATTAGCCGGGCGTGGTGGTACACACCTGTGGTTCCAGCTACACGAGAGGCTGAGGTGGGCAGATCACTTGAACCTGGGAGGTGAAGGTTGCAGTGAGCCATGATTGCACCATTGCACTCCAGCTTGGACAACGGAGTGAGACCCTGTTGATAAATAACGAACGAATCAACGAAAATAGATTGGGTACTATAATTAAAAATTGTAATTTCTACCCAGAGAATTTTTATTGCTTTTGTTCCACAAAGTTCAAGACTGTACCTTGGACAAATCATTGATAATCAGGTGTTCTCTATTATGATGGTGATTTGGATCATTCATTGCTTATTTTTAATGTTGAAGTTAAACTTTTTTTCACAGTTAATTGGCAAGGCATTGCAGGAAGCACACTTATAAATGTTTTAAACAAATAAGATACAGGCAAAATCCTTTTGCAAAGAAGTGTTTGGTTTCACAAAGTTAATTTCATGTTGGAGATTTCAAATTAATTTGGCTATAAGTTATCTACCATAAATAAATCTATTTAAGGTGTATTTTTCCTACCATTCTACTGTTATAGAAACAGTACTTAATTTGTTAACACTTTACAATATTCAGAAATGGTATTCATGTAGCTTTCTTATGTTATCAGGATAAGCCTCTTACCAGTTTTAGGTGTTGTGTTTCAAAATAATGTTCCTTGAATCATAATGGATGTTTGTTAAAAGAAGTGAAGTTAGGCCAGGCGGGGGTCTCACGCCTGTAATCCCAGCACTTTGGGAGGCCAAGGCGGGTGGATCATCTGAGGTCAGGAGTTCAAGACCAGCCTGACCAACATGATGAAACCCCATCTCTACTAAAAATACAAAAATTAGCTGACTGTGGTTGCGAGTGCCTGTAATCCCAGCTACTCAGGAGGCTGAGGCAGTAGAATCACTTGAACCCAGGAGGCAGAGGTGGCAGTAAGCTGAGATGGTGCCATTGCACTCCAGCCTGGACGACAAGAGTGAAACTCCATCTCAAAAAAAAGAAGTCAAGTTAGAGATATACTAATTTTTTAGTAAGTATATTTTATAGGTGCTTCATTTATAAGATAAAGTTTCTGTAATTGGTTTCTCATTATAATGCATTTTCTTGTTAGATTATTTTACCGTCACCTTCCTCTTTTATAAAATTAGAAACAAGGTAGATCCTTTTTATTAAAAAGAAAATTTAGGCTGGGCACGGTGGCTCACACCTGTAATCCCAGCACTTTGGGAGCCTGAGGCGGGAGGATCACTTGAGCTCAGGCAACACGGTAAAACCATATCTCTACAAAAAATAAAAATAAAAATGAGCCAGGTGCGGTGGTACATGCCTGTGGTCCCAGCTACTTGGGAAGCTAAGGTTGAAGGATCGTTTGAGCCTGGGAGGTTGAGGCTACAGTGAGCCATAATTGTGTCACTACACTCCAGCCTGAGTGACAGAGGGAGACCTTGTATCTCAAAAAAAGAAAAGAAAAAAAAAAAGAAAAATTAGTTTATGGAGAAGTAATCTCTCTGTTGGGGCTTTTGCATAATGCCATGCAAGTTGTGCCCTCTGCAAGTCCACCTGGCTTAAGGCAGTGAGTGGGGCCTGAAATTCAGCCCACATTCCATTCGTCTAGCTGTGTGCCTTGAATAGGGAACCATTCACCTGGAGGAAGATTTGCCTTTTTTCCAACTCACACAGAGACACAATATGGGCTAGCGGCTGCAACTTTTCTTCTTCAGACGTGTTAGAATACTGAACTCAAAAAGAATTGCCTCAGGCTTCATCCTAAAAGACAGGAATTGGAGAGGTCATTGTTTTTGCTAGCCTCTTGGATGTGGCATGTGGGCATCATTGATTCAAATCCTTTGTACTTGCTCTTCTTTCTGCCCAGTACTCTTTTCCCTCAGATATCATTCTTTCTCTCCCTGAGGTCTTTGCCCAACTGTAGCCTACCTTCTCCTTCAGGATTTCTCTGACCTCTATATTTAAAATTGTAACCACTTTCCCCAACACTCTATTTCCCTTTCCTCTTAATTTTTTTAAATTTCTTGACCATTTGTATGTCTTCTTTTGAGCAATGTCTGTTCTGATCATTTGCCCATTTTTAAATTAGAGGATTTTGGTTTGTTTGTTTTCCTGTTGAGATGCTTGAGTTCCTTTTATATTGTAGATGTTAATCCCCTGTCAGATGAGTAGTTTGCATATATTTTATTCATTCTGTAGGTTGTCATTTCACTGTTGTTTCTTTCCTGTGCAGAAGCTTTTTAGTTTGATATAATTACGTTTATTTTTGCTTTTGTTACCTATGTTTTTGAGGTCTCATTCATAAAATCTTTTCCCAGACCAATGTCCTGAAGTGTTTCATCTTTGTTTTCTCCTGGTAGTTTTATCGTTTCAGTTCTTACATTTAGGTCTTTGATCCATTTTGAGCTGATTTTTGTATAGGGTGACAAGTGGGAGTCTCGTTTCATTCTTCTGCCTGTAGATATATATCCAATTTCTTTTGTATCATTTATTGAAGAAACTGTCTTTCCCCCAGTTAGTATTCTTGGCACCTTTGTCAAAAATCAGTCCACTGGCGGAGGGGGTGGGGCGCGGTGGCTCATGCCTATAATCCCAGGACTTTGGGAGGCCGAGGCAGGCAGATCACTTGAGGCCAGGAGTTTGAGACCAGCCTGGCCAACATGGTGAAATTCCATCTCTACTAAAAACACAAAAATTAGCTGAGTGTGGTGGCACGCCTCTGTAATCCTAGCTGTTCAGGAGACTGAGCACAAGAATCGCTTGAACCTGGGAGATGGAGGTTGCAGTGACCCGAGAACACTCCTCTGCCTTCCAGCCTGGGTGGCAGGGCAAGACTGTCTCCAAAAAAAAAAATAGTTGGCTGTAAATATGTCAATTAATGTCCAGGTTCTCTATTCTGTTCCATTGGTCTATGTGTCTTATTTTTATGCCAGTACCTTGCTTTTTTGGTTACTACAGCTTTGTAGTATATTTTGAGGTCTGTTTGTATTTTGCCTCCAGTTTTGTTCTTTTTGCTCAAGATTCTTTTGCCTATTTGGGGTCTTTTGTAGTTCCATACAACTTTCAGGATTATTTTATATTTCCGTGAAGGATATCATTGGTATTTTGATAGAATTTATAGATTGCTTTGGAGGTAGTATTGTCATTTTAACAATACTAATTTTTCCTATCCATGAGTATGGGATGTCTGTTTGTATTGTCTTCAATTTTTTTGTAGGTATTTTAATTTTATTTTTTGTAGCTATTGTGAATGAGATTGCCATCTTGATTTCTTTTTCAGCTAGTTTGTTGTTTTGTGTGTAGAGATATTACTGACTTTTGTGTATTAATTTTGTATCTTGCAACTTTACTGACTATCAGTTCTAAGAGTTTTTTGGTAGAATCTTTAGTTTTTTCTATATATAAGATCATGTTGTCTGCAAACAGGGACGTTTGACTTCCTCTCTTCCAACATAGATGCCTTTTATTTCTTTCTCTTACCTAATTGCTCTGGCTAGGGCTTCCAGTACTATGTTGACTAAGAGTGGTGCAAGTGAGCATCCTTTTCTTGTTTCAGTTCTTAGGGGAAACGCTTTCAGCTTTTCCCCATTCAGTAAGATATTAGCTGTGGATCATGA